>NC_000007.14:117052233-117355263 GCF_000001405.40 Homo sapiens | reverse complement strand
ATAAATTTTGCTCTTCTTATGTCAAATGTATTCCTAAGCATGTTTTTCTTATGCTATTGTTTTCTTAACTTCATTTTCAGTTTGCTCATTGCTACTATATAGAAATACAATTGATTATTGTATATTTGTCTTGATTCCTGCAGCCCTGTTGAACTTATTATTTCTAATAGTTTTTTGGCAGACTTATTAGGATTTTCTGTATGCAAAATCACATTCTCTGCAAATAGACATAATTTTACTTCTTCTTTTACAATCTTCATGCCTTTCATTACATTTTCTTGCCTAATTGCCCCGGCTAGACCCTGCAGTACAATGTTAAATAGAAGTAACAAAAGCAAACATCCTTGTCTTATACCTGATCTTAGGGGGAAAGGATTCAGTCTTTCACCATCAAGTATTATGCTAGCTGTGGGTTTTTCATAAATGCTTTTTATAAGGTTGAGGAAGTCCCCTTCTGCTGCTAATTTGTTGAGTGCTTTTATCATGAATGCATGTTGAATTTTGCCAAATGTTTTTACATCTATTCCCATAATCATGCAGTTTTGTCCTTTAGTCTGTTGATTTGGTGTTACCAGTCTTGCGTTCTTGGGAGAAATCCCTCTTGGCCATGGTGTTTAATTCTTTCTAAATATTGCTGGATTTGATTTTCTGGTATTTTGTTGAGGATTTTTCCATCTATATTCGCAAGTAATACTAATCTGTAGTTTTCTTACAATGTCTTTATCTGGTTTTATCAGGATAATAACTAATAGAATGAGTTAAAAAAAAGTTCCCTCTTGTTTTTTGGAAGAGTTCATGAAGAAATTGGTATTCATTCTTCTTTAAACATTTGATAGTATTTACCAATAAGGCCATCTAGGCCTGCGTTTTTCTGTGTGGGAAGTTTTTTGTTACTAATTCAATTTCTTATGTCTATTTCAGCATTTCATTTCTTCTTGAGTCAATTTCAGAAGTTTGTGTCTTTCTGGGAGTTTTTCTGTTTCATCTACATTATCTAATTTGTTGGCATAAGGTTCATAGTATTCCCTTGTAATTTTTTCTGTAAGGTTGATAGTAACATCTTTCATTTCTGATTTTAATACTTTGAGTCTTTTCGTTTGTTTAGGTCAGTCTAGCTAACAGTTTTTCTATTTTGTTGATCTTTTTAAAGAACAACCTTTGGCTATGGAGACTTCCTTTATTCTTATTATTCATTTATTTAATTACTGCTTTAATCCTTATTATATATTCTTTTTTCCATTGTCTCAAGATAAAAAGTTAAGTTGTTGACTTGAGACATTTGATCTTTTTCAACATTTGTGTTTAACACTATAAATCTCCTTGTAAGCACTGCTTTAGAAGCATCCTGTAAGTATTTGTATATTATGTGTTCATTTCCATTCATCTTATTTTCTAATTTTTCCAGTGATTTCTTCCTTGACCCATTGGTTCTTTTTCTTTTCTTTTTTTTCTTTTTTTTGGAGATGGAGTCTCGCTCTGTCACTAGGCTGGAGTGCAGTGGCATGATCTCAGCTCACTGCAACCTCCGACTCCCAGGTTCAAGCGATTCTCCTGCCTCAGCCTCCCAAGTAGCTGGGATTACAGGCATGCGCCACCATGCCCAGCTAATTTTTGTATTTTTAGTAGAGACGAGGTTTCACCATGTTGGCCAGGATGGTCTCCATCTCCTGACCTTCTGATCCACCCGCCTCGGCCTCCCAAAGTGCTGGGATTACAGGTGTGAGCCACCACACCTGGTTCTTTTAAGAGTATGTTAACTTCCACATATTTGTTAATTTCCCAAACTTCCTTATAGCTATTAATTTCGAGTTTTACTTTATTGTGATCAGAAAACATGTTTTGTATGATTGCCATCCTTTTAAATTTATTGAAACTTGTTTTATGGCCTAGCACACATATGGTCTATCTTGTAGAATAGTCCATGTGTGCTTGAGAAGAATGTGTGTTCTGCTATTGTTGGATGACATATTCTGTAAATGTCTGTTAGGTCCAGTTTGTATATAGTTGTATATAGTGTTGTTCAAGTCTTCTGTTTCCAGATAGAAGTTGATCTTCTGCCTAGTTGTTCTGTTCATTATTGAAAGTGGGGTATTGAGGTTTTCAACTATTATTGTTCAGTTAACTATTCCTTCCTTCATTTCTGTCATCATTTGTCTCACGTTATTTTGGGACTCTGTTGTTATTTTTATATATAATTGCTATGTTTTCTGGATGGATTGACCCTTTTGTCATTATAAAAAGATCCTCTTTATTAGTAGTAACTTTTTTTTGTCTTAAAGTCTATTTTGTCTGATAGTATAGACACTATTGATTTCTTATGGTTGCTATTTGCATCATGGTGTATCTTTTATCATCCTTTTACTTTCGACCTGTTTGTATCTTTGAATCTCTGGTGTGTCTTCTATAAAGAACATATTAGTAGATATTGAGGGTTTTTTTAATCCAGTCTGACAATCTGCTTGTTAATTGAATTTTTTAATCTACTCACATTTAATGTTATTTTGGCATAGTTGGATTCACACGCCATTATACTTTTTGTTTTCTATATGTTTCATATCTTTTCTGTTTCTTTATTTCTTTTTTACAGCTTTCTTTTACATTAAGTGAATATTTTCCAATGTAACATTTTAGTTCCTTTAGTGATTTTTTAGAACTATATTTTAAGTTATTTTCTTGGTAGTTGCTTTAGGACTTACCATATACATCTTATAACAATCTACTTTAGATTTATACTAACTTAATTTGAGTGAGATATAGAAATGTTACTCTTGTATATCTCTATCCTGTCCTTCATCTTCTTGAACTATTATAATGTCTTGAACTATTATAATTCGGTCAATTATATAAGTTACTGACCCAATATTATAGTATTGTAATTATTACTTTACGTAATTTCACGTTACTAAAGAAGTTGAGAACAGAAATATGAGCAAATTTATATTTAGAGTTTGTTATATTTACACTCATATTTGCCATTTCTGGTTCTCTTCTTTTGTTCCTGTGGGTTCAAGTTACCATCTATTGTTATTTTCTTACTCTAATACAACCCTGCTCCCTCTGACTTCTGCTGTTCTCTTATTTTCCAGATATAATACATTTCTATCCATCATAGGCTCAACAATGCAATTGTATACACATTGATATATACAATAGCTTTTCAAACCATTAAGAGACGAAAGAAATAAGCAGTTATACTATCTTTTATAATTACATAGATACCTTTACCATTTTGTATTTTTTGTGTGGATTTGTTACAGTAGTTAGATAGACATTAGCGAGACAAGAGAAGGCTCTTCTCCCTGACCCACTAGAAAAGTCAGGCGATGGTTTGACAATTATCACACTACCTCTCTGAAAACGATAATTCTAATTTGGCAGCTGGCACCAGGGCTCCAGGGAGAGACAATCTCCTGATGATCTACAGCTGTTAACATTAAAGTGTTAACTGAATGCAGACACCAGGGAGAAGCAACTTCCTGGGCATGCATATTAAAAGACAAAATGGTGAAGTATGACCTTTGGGGGCACTACACCAGAAACGGGAGGAAGGCCTCAGATGGGCATGCATATAATTTCCTGAACACACTGCACATGCTCACTTCCCAGAGGTAAGGGGTTGGGGGGCACTGCACATGTGGGCAGCCTACCCTAAGGGCAGAATCACAGGGAAAGGGTGCAAGATGGCAGCCTATAAAGTCCTAGGATCATGGTTAGGCCAAGGCACCCACTTGGATCTCTCCCAAGTGTTCTTTCATTTCTTTCCTGTTCTAAAGCCTTTTTAATAAAATTCCACTCCTGCTCTGAAACTTGCCTCAGTCCCTTTTTCTGCTTTATGCTCCTCAATCAAATTCTTTCTTCCGTGGAGGCAAGACTTGAAGTTACTGTGAACACATAAGGATATGCTGCTGGTAACTCAGATACCTGCCACAAGTAACAGATTTAGAGAACTATCTGGGTTTACTTTCTCTTAAAAACTTTCTTTAATATTTCTGATAAGGTAGGTCTGCTAAAAATGAATTCTTCCAGTTTTTGTTTATCTGGAAATGACTTTATTTTGTTTTTGTTGTTGAAATAAAGTTTTGCTAGATAGAGGATTCTTGATTGACAGGTCTTTAGAGTTTTCTTTTCAGCATTTTAAATATGCCATCCCACTGCTTTTTAGCCCCCATATGGACCTGTGCATGTTATCCTAGTTGGAGTTCACAGAGCTTTTTGGATGTGTAGATTAATGTTTTTCATCAAATGTGGGAAGTTTGCAGCCATTTTTTTTTTAATGTTTTTTCTCTTTCTTTTTCTTTCTCCTCACCTTCTGGTCATTCCATTATACCAATGTTGGTATACCCAAAAGTGTCCCAGGTTTCTCTGAGACTCTTTATTTCTCGTCATTCTATTTTTACTCTCCTTTTCAGATTATATTATCTTTTCATTTATCTTCAAGTTCACTGATTCTTTTTTCTGCTAGTTCAAACTGACTGTTGAGCCATTGTAATGAATTTTTACATTTCATTTATCGTACTTTTTTCAATTTCAGAATTCCCTTTTGGGTTTTTTTTATGATTTCTTTTTATTGATATTCTCTATGATAAGACATTTTGTTCATACCTTTCTTTACTTCCTTAACCATGGTTTCTTTTAGTTCTTTGAACATATTTATAATGGCTTCATTGAAGTCTTTGTCTGTTAAATATGACATTTAGCCCCTCTCACAGTTAGTTTCTGTTGCCTACTCTTTTTCTTATGTGTGGATCAGTCTTTCCTATTTCTTTGCATGTCTCATAATTTTTGTTGAGAACTGGATATTTTAGGTTATATATTCTAGCAATTCTAGATACCGATTCTTCTTTCCCTCCCCATAAGGAATTGTTTGCTTGTTTCTTTGTTTAGTGATTTGGCTGCACTATATTAGTGAAGTCTACTTACCCCAAATTGTGAAGTCTTTGATGTTTCTTCTCAGAGAGAGCAGTCTTGGGCATATATAGTGACCCTGGGGTGACAGTGGTTTTTAGCAGGGCTCTGTTAAACTGCCTGTTTCTCTAATCTTCCTTCTAGGCTGTGTGGCTCATTGTGTGTTTACACCCCGCCCTTAGGCTCCACTAATTACTGGACAATTGCTCTATTGTTTTTGACATAGCTTAGGGAATAAATTACTCTGTATTCTGATAGAATTAAAACTGGACAGAAGTAGTTTTTAAGGCCAGCCTCTGAGGTGTATTCTGACCCCAAGAGGACCCTTCTTAGCTGTCTCTTTCCCTGGGGTTCTCTAAGGTAAACTACTGGCCTAGAATTTAACTTGTTCCTAATTAAGAGGAGTTATTGTTTTCCAGAGTATCCTTAGGCTTGAATTTCCACACATTCTGTTTTAAATAAAGTCAGTTCCTTTGGGGAGAGCTTTTGAGCCACTTTTTTCTTAGGGACTGCTTCTTATCATAGGCAGAATCTCTGAGCCACTATTCTAGGTGCTGGGTGGAGCAGTAGCCTCTGGTCTTCTTGGTTTGCTTCTCACAGCATGGAATCTCTGCCTTTCAGCAAGCGGGGTGAAGGAATTCAGGGTCTTAGTATTCTCAGCCTTCCTTGTCTGGGAGAAGAGTTCTCATCCTATGGTGCTCAGTGAAAGGAGAGATCCCTCAACCTCTCAGCCATACTCACCAGAATTTAGTCACTTCACATTTGAGTCGAAGGGGATAAGAAATGCTGGTAGGCTGCTGCTTCAGATGAGATATGGTAACACTTGTTCGGGAGCTGAGGAGGAGAGGGAGCTCATCTTCTGGGCCATATCCATCCAGAGTGGAACTTCTGCTAAGCTGTTTTGGCTTGGGGCTGGGGATATGGTGACAGTGGATCATGGCTTCAAGTGCTACAGTCTCATTGTTTATGCTGAGTTTTAGTAGATTTTCTTGAATAAATGTTTCTGCATTTGCTCTGTATCCTTGGGACATTTTCTAAAGACTTTAAATGGTTGCATTTTTATAGTTTTCTCCAGCTTTGCTTGTTTCTCTGGGGAGTGCATTTATGACATTCATCATACTACCATCCTGGCAGTAAAATTCTTTAATCAGTATTTCTGGGGTATCTGCTTTGTGCTTAGTATAGAGCTTACCCCAGAATACTGTGCAGGATTCTTTTTTAAAAGCCAGAAACACTAGCTAGGTATCTTTTCTATAAGCTTTAAGTTAACGTTATAGGATGCTGAAAATTTAGGTTAGTACTATAGGATGCTGAAAATTTTAAGAGCACCTAAAGTCTATTTGAAGCAAAAGGAAAAGACCACCTAGGTTTGACAAGATTACATTAGGGCTAGATAAATGATACATAAAGCAAGGCTACACTGTTAATTTTGAAGGCCTTCCTGTGGAAGGTATTTCCAGTAATACCTAATTTATATGAATTATTTTTATTAAATATGGGAAACAAGATTTAAATGTCTAAAAGGGTATCAGTCCAAAAATGAATCCAGGGGATAGCAGGGAAAAATGGCAGCTAGGAGGCAGGGCTAAATTGCAACTTCCTCTCGGATGGACATAGCAGCATGTGGAGACACACATCATGAACTTTTGCTCCAAGAACTACCATAGGAACATACCAAGAAAGCCAAGAGAATCCACAGACCCTCTTAAGGAAGCAGCTTGCTGCTGTAGGCTCTATGAAATGTCAAAAAAAACTGTGAGTGCTCGAAGTGTGAGAAGGGGATGTCTGCCCCAGAACACACCTCCTTACTGGGGAGCTTGAAGGTCCAGATCACAGGAGAAGGATTTGACCTTACCTGGAGCTGAGACTAATTTAGGGAACCGAGCGAAATGTAGGGGTAGAGGAAGGAGCAGGAAGAGCCATGTGGGCACTCTCGGTTCCCAGGGAAGCCATTCCTGACTTTGTCTCAGAGGGGTCCTTGGGGAGGACTCTCAGTGGCATTGGGGAAAGACCACAGGGAGAAGGAAACTTCCAGCTGAACTTTGTAACAATTTTGACAAAACACAAAGTTTCCTGGACAGAATCTGGGGGAGGGGGTGCATGGGGAGTGCAGATATGAGCACAGAAACCGCAGCAGGTGGAGAGGTGTGAAATCTGAAAGTCCCGCTTGCTTTTTCAGCAGGGAGGTTTGTAGCTTGGGGCAAGTTCTCAGCCCTGCTCACTGACTGCCTGGAAATAACCTTGGTGCTGTTGGAGGGGCACAGTGGGAGTGAGAGTTGAGACTGGCCTTTCAGGCTGCATGGGAGCTGGGTAAGGCCTGTCACTACCAGCTTTCCCCCACTTCCCTGGCAACTTATATGATGCAGCAGAGGCAGCCATAATCGCCCTGGGAATGTAACTCCATCAGTCTGAGAAACACACCCCCATCCCCTATAGCAGCCACAGCAAGCCCCACCCAAGGAGTCTGAGCTCAGACACCCCTAACCCTTATGGTCTCCTAATGGTCTTTCTCTACCTGTCCTGCTAGCCGAAGACAAAGGGCATAATCTCTTGGGAGTTCTATGGCTCAGCCCACCACCTGAGAAACACAGATACTTATCCAGGTCACCCTAGGGCAAGCTTATATCCTCTTTATACTATGGCAGCTGATGCTGTCTTGAAAGTACCACCTCCTGGCTGGAGGCCAACCAACACAAAACCAGGGCACTAAATGAAACTACAATCACGGACCCTCACAGAGTCCATTTCACTCCCCTGCTACATCCACCGGAGCAGGTGTTGTATTCACTGCTGAAGACAGATCACGTCACAGGACTCTTTGCAGACATTCCTCGGTACGAGCCTGGAGCCCAGTAGCTCCACTGGGTGGCTAGACCCAGAAGAGAAATAACAATCACTGCAGTTCAGCTCTCAGGTAGCCCCATATCCAGGGGAAGAGGGAGACTGCCACATCAAGGGAACACCCTGTAGGACAAAAGAATCTGAACAATAGCCCTTGAGCCCTGGATCTTCCCTCAGACATTGTCAGAAAAGGAACCAGAAAAACAATTCTTTAGCATCCCCAAAAGATCACACTAGCTCAACAGCAATGGATCCAAAACAAGAATAAATCTCTGAATTGCCAGAAAAACAATTCAGAAGGTCAATTATTAAGCTACTCAAGGAGACACTAGAGAAAAGTGAATACTAACTTAAATCAAAAAAGTAATACAGGATATGGACAGAAAAATCTCCAGAGAAACAGATAACATAAATAAAAAACAAT
This sequence comes from Homo sapiens, assembly GCF_000001405.40. Lineage (NCBI taxonomy): Eukaryota > Metazoa > Chordata > Mammalia > Primates > Hominidae > Homo > Homo sapiens. The sequence goes on along the minus strand of NC_000007.14, from coordinate 117,347,093 downwards.
CACAACTTCTGGAAATGCAGGACACACTCAGAGAAATGCAAAACACACTGGAAAATCTCAGCAATAGAATCAAACAAGTAGAAGAAAGAACTTCAGAGCTCAAAGACAAGGATTTTGAATTAACCCAATCTGACAAAGACAAAGAAAAAAAAATGGACAAAGGCCTCCAAGAAGTTGGGATTATGTTAAACAACCAAACCTAAGAATAACTGGTATTCCTGAGGAAGAAGAGAAATCTAATAGTTTGGAAAACATATCTGAAGGAATAATCAAGGAAAATTTCCCTGGCCTTGCAGAGATCTAGACATCTAAATACAAGAAGTGCAAAAACACCCAGGAAATTCATCACAAAAAGATCATCACCTAGGCACATAGTCATCAGGTTATCAAAAGTCAAACGAAGGAAATAATCTTAAGAGCTGTGAGGCAAAAGCATCAGGTAACCTAGAAAGGAAAACCTATCAGATTAACATAGATTTCTCAGCAGAAACCCTACAAGCTAAAGGAATCGGGGTACTATCTTTAGCCTCCTTAAACAAAACAATTATCAGCCAAGAATTTTGCATACAGGGAAATAAAGCTTCATAAATAAAGGAAAGATACAGTTTTTTTTTTCAGATGAACATATGCTGAGAGAATTCACCACTACCAAGCCAGCACTACAAAAACTGCTGAAAGGAGCTCTAAATCATGAAACCAATCCTCATTGTGCACCAAAATAGAACCTCCTTAAAGCATAAATCTCACAGGACCTATAAAACAGTAACACAATGAAAACAAAAACAAGGCACTGAGGCAACAACTAGTATGATGAATAGAATAGTACTTCACTTCTCAAAACTAACATTGAATGTAAATGGCCCAAATGCTCCACTTAAAAGATACAGAATGGTAGAATGCATAAGAATTCACCAACCAAGTATCTGCTGTCTTCAGGAGACTCACCTAACACACAAGGACTCACATAAACTTAAGGTAAAGGGGTGGAAAAAGACATTCTATGCGATTGACACCAAAAACAAGCAGGAGTAGCTATTCTTAGACAAAACAGGCCTTAAAGCAACAATAGTTTAAAAAGACAATGAGGGACATTATATAATGATAAATGGACTAGTCCAACAGGAAAATATCACATCCTAAATATATATGCACCTAACACTGGAGCTCCCAAATTTATAAAACAATTACTACCAGATCTAAGAAATTAGATAGACAGCAATACAATAATAGTGGGAGAATTCAATACTCCACTGACAGCACTAGACAGGTCATCAAGACAGAAAGTCAACACAGAAACAATGGACTTAAGCTATACCCTAGAATCAATGGACTCAACAGATATTTATAGAACATTCTACCCAACAACTGCAGAATATACATTCTATTCATCAGCAAACAAACCCAAATCCAGCAAAAGGAAAGAAATATCCAAGATCAGAGCAGAACTAAATGAAGTTGAAACAGACAAAAAAAAATGCAAAAGATAAATGAAACAAAAAGCTGGTTCTTTGAAAAGATAAATAAAATTGATAGACCATTTGTGAGATCAACCAAGAAAAAAGAGAGAAGATCCAAATAAGCTCAATTAGAAATGAAACAGGAGATATTACAACCGGTATCACAGAAATACAAAAGATCATTCAAGGCTAAACGGAACACCTTCCAGGATAAATTCCTGGAAATATACAACCCTCCTAGATTAAACCAGGAAGAAATAAAAACTCTGAACAGACCAATAACAAGCAGCAAGATTGAAATGGTAATTACAAAAGTGCCAACAAAAAAAAAGTCCAGGACCAGATGGATTCACAGCTGAATTCTATTAGAAATTCAAAGACACTTCTCATCCAATGAGATACCAATCCTACTGACACTATTTGAAAAGATAGAGAAAGAGGGAATCCTCCCTAAATCATTCTACAAAGCCAGTATCAACCTAATACCAAAACCAGGAAAGGACATAACAAAAAAAGAAAACTACAGACCAATATCCCTGATGAAGATAGATGTAAAAATCCTTAACAAAATACTAGCTATGGAATCCAACAGAATATCCAAAAGATAATCCACCATGTTCAAGTGGATTTCATACCAGGGATGCAGGGATGGTTTAACATACACAAGTCAATAAACGTGATATACCACATAAAGAGAATTAAAAAGAAAACCTTAATAGACGCAGAAAAAGCATTTGACAAAATCCAGCATCTATTTATGATTAAAACCTTCAGTAAAATCAACATAGAAGGGACATGCCTTCAGGTAATAAAAGCCATCTATGACTAAACCACAGCCAACATTATACTGAATGGGGAAAAGTTGAAAGCATTCCCCCTGAGAACTGGAACAAGACAAGGATACTCACTTTCACCACTTCTATTCAACCAAGCACTGAAAGTCCTAGCCAGAGCAATCAGACAACAGAAAGAAATAAAGGGCATCCAAATTGGTAAAGAGGAAGTCAGACAGTTACTGTTTGCCAATGATATGATTGCATATCTAGAAAATCCTAAAGGCTCATCAAAAAATCTCCTAGAACTGATAAATGAGTTCAGTAAAGTTTCAGGATACAAAATGAATGTACAGAAATCAGTAGCACTGCTATACACCAGCAGTGACCAAGCTGAGAATCACATCAAGAACTCAACCCTTTTTACTGGAAAAAAAAAAAAATACTTATGAATATACCTAACCAAGGAGGTAAAAAGACCTCTGCAAGGAAAACTACAGAATACTGCTGAAAGAAATCATAGATGACACAAACAAATGGAAACATATTCCATGCTCATGTGAAAATGAGCATACTGCCAAAAGCAACCAAAAATTCAATGCAATTCCCATCAAAATACCACCATCATTCTCACAGAACTAGAAAAAACAATCCAAAAATGCATATGGAACAAAAAAGAGCCCACATAGTTAAAGCAAGACTAAGCAAAAAGAACAAATCTGGAGGCATCACTTAACTTTATACTATAAGGCAATAGTTACCAAAATAGCATGGTACTGGTATAAAAATAGTCACATAGACCAGTGGAACAGAATAGAGAACCCAGAAATAAAGCCAAATACTTACAGCCAACTGATCTTCGACAAAGCAAACAAAACCATAAAGTGTGGAAAGGACACCCTATTCAACAAATGGTGCTGGGATAATTGGCAAGCCACATGTAAAAGAATAAAACTGGATCCTCATCTCTCACCTTATACAAAAATTAACTCAAAATGGATGAAAAACTTAAATCTAATACCTGAAACCATAAAAATTCTGGAAGATAACATCAGAAAAACCCTTCTAGACATTGGCATAGGCAAAGGCTTCATGACCAAGAACCCAAAGGCAAATGCAACAAAAACAAAGATAAATAGATGGGACTTAATTAAATTAAAAAGCTTCTGCACAGCAGAATAAATAATCAGCAGAGTAAACAGACAACCCATAGAGTTAAAGAAAATCTTTGCAAACTATGCATCTGACAAAGGACTAATATCCAGAATCTACAAGGAACTCACAAATTGGCAAGAGAAAAACAAACAATCACATCAAAAAGTGGGCTAAGGATATGAATAGACAATTCTCAAAAGAAGATGTACAAATGACTAACAAACATGAAAAAATGCCCAACATCACTAATGATTAAGGAAATGCAAATCAAAACCACATGCAATACCATCTTACTCCTGCAAGAATGGCCATAATCAAAAAATAAAAAAATAATAGATGCTGACGTGGATGTGGTGAAAAGTGAACACTTTTACACTGCTGGTGGGAATGTAAACTAGTACAACCACTATGGAAAACAGTGTGGAGATTCTTTAAAGAACTAAAAGTAGATCTACCATTTGATCCAGCAAACCCACTACTGGGTGTCTACCCAGAGAAAAAGAAGTCATATGAAAAAGATACTTGCACACGCATGTTTATAGCAGTGTGTAAATCTGCAATTTCAAAATCATGGAACCAGCCCAAATGCCCATCAATCAACAAATGGATAAAGGAAATGTGGTATAGATATACCATGGAATACTACTCAGCCATAAAAAGGAATGAAATAATGGCCTTCACAGCAATCTGGATGGAATTGGAGACCATTGTTCTAAGTGAAGTAACTCAGGAATGGAAAACCAAACATCATATATTCTCACTCATAAGTGGTAGCTAAGCTATGAGGACACAAAGGTGGACTTTGGGGACTCAGGGAAAAGGGTGGGAGGGGGATGAGGAATAAAAGACTATACACTGGGTACAGTGTACACTGCTCAAGTGATGGGTGCACCAAAATCTCAGAAATCACCACTAAAGAACTTACCCATGTAACCAAATACCACCTGTTCCCCAAAAACCTACTGAAATAAAAAATTAAAATTAAGAAAATACTAATGAAGTAGAATGAGAAAAAAAATGAATTCAGCCACAATTTCAAGGAATGGAATCAAAACTGAGGTTTTTTTTTTAATGGGAAGTTTTGTGCCAACCTTTTTTTGATCTTAACACTATGATGATAGTTAATCTTTCAGAACACAGATAACCATGATGATTTCTGTTTTGCACTCCAAGTCACTCTGTCACTGATTAATAAATAATCATTTTTAGCTTTGTGGGGGTGGAATTTTGGTGGATATTTTCTTTTCGGCATATCCACTAGTGAGTAATACATTTATTTTAAGTGCCAATAAAAATGTTATACTGCACTTATGTGACACCATTCATTAATTATTGGAAAAACTAACTCTAAACCATTTGAACAATGCTATATTTCTTTACCTGTGAATTCAGATTATCTTCTCAATATTTTATATTAAATTAACAAGTTTTAATACTGTATAACATTTTTGGAGGGAGAGTAAATGACATTTTCAAGAATGGCACTATCTCTATACTTATTTCAGTAGACAGTATTTTTCACCTTCTTCTCAACAGATGTTTTATAATTGTTTCCATGAATTTGCTTCCTTTCTGGTATCTTTCTAACACTTTAATCTTCTTTATTATTTTTCTTTTGTGAGTTCCATGTCTGCTGTTGTATGCTGTCCCTTCTCAACCCCTAATCTCTCTCTTATCTCTAAATTTAGAGATAAAAACAGAGGTATCCTAGATTCTAGCCCTGTTGTTTTTAGCTGTGCATTCTCTGGGTCTTGGTTTCCTCATCTGATAGATGATCAGTCTGACTAAATTAATCAGAATAATGCCATCCTCAGAAATGGATCTGATTTGGAATTCTTAAAATTAGAACAAAGCCATTAGGGGCTTTATGTACATGAATCAATGCTTAGACAAAACTGAACCCCTCATAAGTGATTTTCCTTTTGAGCTCACATTTAGAGATTGCTATTATGAGAGTTATTCTTAATATTTGGCTGTTGCCAGCATAATAGTTTTGGGAAGCTGACTTATAAAGACATTTTAATTCATTAAACAATCACTGAGTGCGTAGTATGTGCAAGCACTATAACCATATATTACATTTTTTATATGAGATCAGAGATCAGAAAATTTAAATACTTAGGCCAGGCACATAGCTCATACCTATAATCCAATGTTTGGGAGGCAAAGGCAGGAGGATTGCTTGAGGCGAGGCATTAGAGACCAGCCTGGGCAACAACATAAGCAAGACCCCATCTCTTTAAAAAAAAAAAAATTAAAAACATTAGCCAGACATGGTGGTGCATGCCTATAGTCCCAGCTATTTGGGAGGCTGAGCTGGGAGGACTGCTTTAGTCCAGGAGTTCAAGGCTGCAGTGTGCTATGATTGCACCACTGCCCTCCATCCTGGGAAACAGAGTAAGACCGAATCTCTTAAAAAAAAATAAAATTTTTAAAAATATTTTTTCTATTAAGAGAAACGGTAGGATTAGCATCATTTAAAGATGCAAACTTTTGTAAAAAGAAAAACACACTTTGCTTCATTGGAGAGAGTGGTCAAAATTTTTTTGTTTTTGTTTTTTAACAGTTTTTTTTACAGTTGAGAGTGTAGTGATAGATTCACTTACTTTTCCCCATAGGAGTAGGGGTAAACCTCAACCTATAACCTTCCTACCCAACACTCCTACAAAGAAAACAGCTACAAATGAAAAACTGGCAAAGTTCCCTATGTGTGAAATATTTTAGAAGAGAGTTAAGCCAGATTTAAACCAAGTTCTCATCATGGATTCAAGATTCATTCAATTAAACCAATTTTTGGTGTTGCATATGGAGTTCATAACCCCAGTATAGAGCATGAAAACACCTAGAATTTTCAGTGGTAATACTACAATTAACTATTAAGTTAGGCTGGGCGTGGTGGCTCACGCCTGTAATCCCAGCACTTTGGGAGGCCGAGGCGGGCGGATCAAGAGGTCAGGAGATCGAGACCATCCTGGCTAACACGGTGAAACCCCTTCTCTACTAAAAATACAAAAAAATTAGCTGGGCGTGGTGGCAGGCGCCTGTAGTCCCAGCTACTCGGGAGGCTGAGGCAGGAGAATGGCGTGAACCCGGGAGGCGGAGCTTGCAGTGAGCCGAGATTGCGCCACTGCACTCCAGCCTGGGCGACAGAGCAAGACTCTGTCTCAAAAAAAATAAAATAAAATAAAATAAATAAATAAATAAACTATTAAGTTAGCTGTGTTATAATTAACTGTTACGTTAGTGGTAATATTATAATTAACTGTCATATTAGTGGTAATATTACAATTAACACACATGGTTAGCTCTGGTGTACCAAGATTGAACTTAAAATACGGAAACAAAAGGTTAGTTATTATGCAAAGTCCTCACATCATTTTCTAAATAAAATAGGAATACCAGCATAGGATGAAAGAAAAATAGTAGATTTTTTTTCTTAATGAAGTTTTGTATACTGGAGTGGATGTGTGATGTGGCTCCCAAATCTCCATTTAAGAATAAATGACTTATCTCCAGGGGCTGGAGTGCAGTTAGCAGACAGCCCTAAGCCCTCAGCTTTCTTTGAGAGTTTTCTCCGTCAAAGATAGCTGAGTTCCCTATAGCACTTCCTATTCCCAGAAATGACTGGTCAACTTAGGGATAGAAAGGCCCCAATTTCAGGGCCCCTCATCCCAACTCAAGACAACTCTGAAAGACAATCCCACTTTAGAACTCCCAGTGGGGATGGCTGAGGCCTTCATTGAGAGGGCATCACACCCCATATTCTCCCTCTGCCTAATCCTATTTCCTTGCCTTTCCTCGCACAGGTATTGCTTTCCAGAGCACTCCTAATGTGTCCCATATACTAATCTCCACCAGGATTTTCTTCCCAGGGAACCCAACTCTGTCACCAACCAGAAGTGCCCTTGAATAGGTCATGAAAAAAATGATTATTATTAATAATTATTTTCTATGACACCTAGTTTCCTAATCCAAAACATAAATATCCTGAGTTAGGGTTTTCGTTCAAGTGTTAAATGCAATGTCACAGAAGTTGTTGTAGAGTTTTATAGTTAATGCAGACTTGGAGCCAGACAGATCCAAGTACCAATTTCAGCTCTACCACTTACTAGCTCTGCAGCTTTCAGAAAGCTACCTAAGCCCTTTATGTATCTACCATGTCATCTATAAAATAACAATAATTATACTAAAAATAACACTTTTAATTGGACATTTACTATATGCCAGTCATTTAGCTAATGTAATCAAACGTATATTTTAATAAGCTTATTTAGGCTGGACGCGGTGGCTCACGCCTGTAATCCCAGCACTTTGGGAGGCTGAGGTGGGTGGATCACCTGAGGTTGGGAGTTCAAGACCAGCCTGACCAACATGGAGAAACCCCATCTCTACTAAAAATACAAAATTAGCTGGGCGTGGTGGTGCATGCCTGTAATCCCAGCTACTCAGGAGGTTGAGGCAGGAGAATCGCTTGAACCCAGGAGGCGGAGGTTGCAGTGAGCCAAGATCGTACCATTGCACTCCAGCCTGGGCAATGAGAGCGAAACTCCATCTCAATAATAATAATAAGCTTATTTAATAAAATAAATAAGGTTGCTATAAGGATTAAGTGAACTAAGCCACATAAATTATTTTCTACAATACCTGCTACATGGTATAAACTGAATAAATGGTAGTCAGTAAAATTTCTATTGTTGTTATTCATAATAAAGCATATGTTATAGTGCCTTGCACCAAAAGTGATACTCTGTGTGAGAAAAGGAGTCAGATTTTTCAAATTGCCATATTTTTGTTTGAAAGAAATATTTTCTATAATACAGTGACATAATTAAAAATACTTAAATTATCTAAACTGGCACAGACATATTCAGAATCCACAAGACAGCTAATAGTCAAACAGAGAATAATTTATCTCATAAGACTCCCTCTATTTCTCTTCTTCCTCTTCAACGAACTGTACCTACTCAAATGCAAAGATGTGCAATCAGTTGCAGGTTAGAAGCAGAAACCACTGTATATAAGGCCAAACTTATTAAACCCTCTTGTGATAATGGAGAGAACTAGAGATTACATTCTTGTTGTTCCACAGATGAAGATTGGTGGCGGCGTGGAAATGTACATGACTCAATCTTGTTCAGATTGTCTACTTGGTACTTATCCTAACACCTACCTACACTTTCACCTCCCCAAGTCACACAGAGGACCTCATCTTCCTGAAACATTTTACATACCATCATGGGCACCAGAGGTTATGCACTTGAGATATACATATTTTCTCAGCTTCTTCTTGATTTGAATTCACCTGATTTTAAAAGTATTTACTTACTTCAAGTCTATTTGAAAACTAATACTAAAGACATGGAAAAGCCCAGGTTAATAGAATTGCTAAATAAACTGAAATATTCCATTTTAAGCATTGGGGCTGTTACTAAATATCTCAAAGCCATAAGATGGAGCCATACGCTAAGAACAGTGAGACAGAAAGAACCTTCCTTGTATATATGCTAGAGCAGCTGCACCAGCTCTGGATAGTCTACCTCTGGACTTCTTACAGCATGAGAAAAGTAAACCCCTATTTGATTAAGCAACTGTAGCTAAGTTTTCTGTCAGTGGTGCTAAAGACACTCCCAACTAATATGGGGTTATACTAATGTTGCTTCATTCTGTTCTTTATTTTTTCCATCAACATGTTTTCAGATTCATCCACGTAAAAAGTGAAGATGTAATTAATTCCATGTAACTGCTCTACAGTATGCCATCACATGTTCATCCCATATTTTACCTCTCTATTCCTTCACTGATAAAATTTTGAGTTATTTTTCACTTATTCTTCTCAACAGTATTGTACTATGCATACGTACATGTGTCCTGATGCACAACAAAATGTCTTTAACTATATTTAGCAATGGAATAGCTAGTTGTAGGGCACAAATATTTTCAATTCCTTACCTACTGATGTTGCCAGTTATCTTTTGTTTGCCCCTTCAGAGCCTTCCTTTCTCCATCCTACCCCACCCTGGGAGGCTGACTCTATGAACTATATCAATGGGCCCTTCAGCTCCTGGTTGGGTTTATCCAATGAGGAACCCCAGCAGAATATCCGAGGGAGAGTGCAGTCTAGATATTTATTTACCAGCTCCCTCCTACAAGATTTCTTGTGCTGTGTCCCTCAACCAAGGAGCGCTGCTCCTCTCAAAGCAATCTCTACAAGATTTTCCCTTTCTGGGTTCCATGAACCTTTACTCCTTCTCCTTGTCCCTTTGGGTCTGGAGGTGGTAACAGTTCCTCTGCTCACATCCTCATAGTCTCTTTGTAAATCAAACCTCCTTGAATTATCCTCCATCTGTTTCCAGGGGAGAGCTTGATTGCATCACCGCTATACTCCTCTTCAAGGAGCCTATATTAATTTACAGACTTACTAGCAGTGCACAAGAGTGTTCACTACCCCTGCACTTGCCAACACATAATATTAACTGACTTAAATTTTCTTCTATCTGATGGATTCAACATAGTTGATTTTTTTGTTTTATTTTGTACTTTTCTGATTACAAGTGAGATTGAGCATCTCTCTATGTGATTTTTTCCCCTATAAATTGCTTTTTACTATCATTTGCCTATTTTTCTACTGGATTGTCTTTTTCTTGTTGACTTTCAGTACTTTAAATATTTGAAATACTTATCTGTATCTGTTACGTATGTTGAAATATCTCTTATCTACTGCTTACCTTTTGTCATTGGTGTTTTTTGTTACCCAAATCTTTAAAATATCTACCTATATTTTCTTCTGTTTTAAAGTTTTACTTTTCATATTTTGGTCCTTAATATATCTGAAAATTATTTTTGTGCACAGTATGAAAGTCATCGAATAGCATTTCTTTCCTTATTGTGAGCCAATTTTCACAGCACCATTATTGAATAATCCATCATTTCCCTTTGATTTGAAGTGGTGCCTATTTCCTACACCTAATTTCTAATGTACTTGTGGATCTGTTTCTGAATTTTACATTCTATTCCATTCATCTATTTGCTGCCAATATATTAAGAGTTTATGAAGAGATGGGGTCTCATTATGTTGCCCAGGCTGGCCTTGAACTCCTGGGCTCAAGCAAGCCACCCACCTCAACCTCCTGAGTAGCTGAGATTCCAGGTGCATGCTACCATGACCAGTTTATTCTAATAGTCTTGTTCTTTAACACTTTTAGGTTTTCCATGTACATGTTCACATCATCTGCAAATAATAAAAATTTTCTTTTTGCATTTCTTGTAATTCATATTTCTTTATTATCATAACGTTTTAGAATCTCAGTACCATAGTTGATAATAGTGGTGATAATGGATGTTCGTGTTTTGTAACTTTGAAGATACTTATAATATTTCATTATTGAATATGATACATTTGCTGTAAGTCTGTTAGATTCCTTTCAATTATTAGAAAAGTTTTTGGCTGGGCACAGTGGCTCACGCCTGTAATCCCAGCACTTTGGGAGGCCGAGGCGGGTGGATCACCTGAGATCAGGAGTTCGAGACCAGCCATGGCCAACATGGTGAAACCCCGCCTCTACTAAAAATACAAAAATTAGCTGGGCCTAGGGGCGGGCGCCTGTAATCCCAGCTACTTGGGAGGCTGAGACAGGAAAATCGCTGGAACCCAAGAGGCAGAGATTGCAGTAAGCCAAGAACATGCCACTGCACTCCAGCCTGGGCAATAAGAGTGAAACTTCACTCAAAAAAAAAAAAAAAAAAGTTTTATCCTATTGCTGTTGTGTAAAAAGTTTTTCTTAAAAAAAAATACAATTCATGTCAACTGTTGAATTTTATCAAACATTTTTTCTGCATATTTTGGAATAATCATATTTTTCCCTTTCAAAAGTATTTATGTATTAAATGACATTGAAAGATTTTCAATTTTTTTCCCTGCAGACAGTATGGTGTTTTATTGGCAGATTTTTTGAACTGTTGAAGTATTCTTTAATTCCTTGACCATGATTTATATACACACATGGTTTTATCATATTTTATTTCTTATAGTTGCAGCTAGATTCATAAATATTTTTTTCTTGTGTTGTCTTTATTTGGTTTTGTTTAAATGAGTTCAGGGTCTCTAATTTATAAATCTTACTGAACCTGTAATTCTTCTCCTTTTTTCTTAACAGTGTATGCCTTTGTCATTTTTTCTGTATTTGTCTTATAAGAGACATGTCTATTAATCTTTTCAAAGACTAGCATTTGTTTTTATAGAACCTTTCTAATGAATCTGTGTTTCCTATCTCATTACTTTATGTTCTTTTTCACTTTCTTCCTTCTGCTTTCCTGAGTTTATTCTGTTGTTCTTTTTCTAACTTAAGACAATGTGCACAACTCGTTAGTTTACATTGTTCATCTTTTCTAATGTAAACACTTAAAGCTAGAATTTTTATCTAAATATCACTTTAGCTATATCTCATAAATTATGCCAGTCTTCCCAATATTTTGCATTCAAAATATTTTATAATTCCTATTATGAATTCTGTTTTGATCAATTAATTTTTAAGAAACATTAAAAACTTTCTAAATACGCTTTTTAAAAAGTTATCTTGTAACTAATTCCTAGCTTAACTGAGTTTTGGCCTGAAAATGGGGTTTATAAAAGAGCAGTTCTTTGGTTTTTTGCTGAGAATAATTTTTTAGCTTTGTATATTATTTATTTTTTATAGGTGTATTATGTCCATTTTAAAAGATTTTGTATTTTCTAATTGTAGAGTATAAGTTTTATATATAAAGCATACAAAACTTTTTGTATAGTTCAAAACTTCTTAGAGCCTTACTAATTTTTTTGTCTTCTTGCTCTATCAATATGTAGACTATAAAAATGGTTACAAAATATTTTCCCACCTGAATCTATATCCTTGAAATGAGATAGCAGGTCCATCAAAAAAAATGGAATCTCTTCTTCCACCCCTTGTATCCAGGTTGGTCATATGACCTTTTTCAGCCAGTGGGACATTAGCAAATGTGATGCAAGCAAAGGCTTGCAAAGTGCTTGTGCATTAACATTTGTTTCCTTGCTACTTTTCTGATCTTCCATCACATGAACAAGGTCCATTAACTTAATAGATAATGGGATAAATATGGGCCAGATATCTATCACTCCGGTAAACTCATAGACACGTGAGCAATGCCATCAAACATGCACGGCCCCAGTGAAGATCAACAGAGGAATTACCCAGATAAACCCAGTTTAAATTTCTGACCCACAATATAATGAGCTAACAAGTGATTGCTGTTTTAAGCATCTAAATTTTGGGGTGGTGTATTACTTACCAAAAGCAAACTGATACAGTCAATTACTGAGAAAGATGAGTTAAAATTCTCACTAAGGCAATGGATTTGTCTGTTTAACCTAATATTTCTGTTCATTTTTGGTATGAATATTTGAGACTGTATTGTTAGGTGAAATTAAAATTATTGTTATCTTACAGGTGAATTGTATCTTTATCATGATATCATCAACCTTTTTATCTCTACTAATGTTTTTTGCCTTAACATTTAATTTCACTGATTCTAAGATAGTTATACTTTCATCCTTTCTGTGTCCTTAAGTTCTAATATCTCTTTGAATAACATACAACTTGGTTTAAAAGGAAACCAATCTACCAATCCCTGTCTTTGAATAGAGATGGAAAGTTCAACTCATTTACATTTATTTTGATTATTGATATATTTGCATTTATCTCTACCATCCCTTCTGCCCTCCTTTTAAGCTCTTCTCCTTTCCTACTTTCTTTCCACTGAATGTATGGAGTTTGTTTTTTTATTCCCCCTCCATTTTTTTTGTTAGATTATAAATTACATCCTTTTAAAATTCTTTTTAGTGATGATCCTTAAAATTTTAACGTAATACCAGATGGAAAGTCTAAAGGGAAGTAGTAGCTCTTTTTCCCTTAAAATTAGAAATTGGAAAACTTTAATCATTCTCCTTTCTTCCTCATTAAATTGCTTGGCACTTTTGCTGAAAATGAAGTTGGTCCTATATATGGGTCTATTTTTGCACTCTTATTTGGTTTCATTTGCCTATTTGACTATTCTTGTTCCATATCACCTTCCCCTAATTATTACAGTTTAGAGTAAGTAAGCTTGATATCTCATAATGTAAATCTCCCAAGTTGTTTTTCTCCAAAACTGTGATGACTGTTCTATGCCTATTGCATTTTCATAAAGATTTTAGGATCAGCACCTGAGGAGCCTTATCTGCATTTGTAATTGATTTAGATGACAAGGTCCTGGACTTCAAGACAATGCCATATTGGAATAAGACTTTAGGGGACCTGGGAGAGAGAGTGGGTTTATTTTGCCCATGTGGAAGGAATGTGAATTGTTGTGTCCAAAGGGAAGACTGTAGAAGACTGTTTTCCAGAGATGGCAATAATAACATTTTCTATTGCTACATGCTCTCCTTTAGTGTTACTTTGTTACTCTCCTATCAAGAAGCAGAGTTTACTTCTCCCTCTCTTGAATCTGGGCAGGTCCTGCAACTGCTTTGATGAGATCCAGGTGTAGTTCTTAACTAGTTTGGCAACTTTTACCTCCTTCATCTTGGCATCCTACGCCACAAGTAAGAAGTCTAGGCCATGTAGAGGATGACAGCTGCAAGACATACGAGTTAAAAAGCCTCATGGGACCTCCAGCCCAGTCAATCTTTCAGATGAATCCAGTCCCAGCTGCAACCCCTGAAATGATATCAAGGATCCCAAGCATGAACCACCAAGCTAAGTCTGGTCAACCCACAGAACTATGAAATACAGTAATAAATTGATGTTTTGAAGTGCTAAGTTTTGGAGCGGTTTGTTATACAGCAATAGAAAACTGGAACAGCTATATATTTTGTTAGTTTTTAGTGGTTACCCAGGAGATTACAACATGTATTCTTGACTTATTAGAATCTATATTAAATATAGTTTCACAATAATGCATTTTTATTCAGTTTAAATATTTTCTAACATCCCTTGAGACATCTTTTATGATCCAAAGACTATTAGAAGTGTATTGCTTAGTTTCCAAGCAATTGGTTGATAGTGTTGTTGAGTTTTTCTGTATCTTCCTGATTTTTCTATTTGTTCTATCAATTACTGAGTGAGGAATGTTGACATCTCTAACTGTAATTGTGCATTTGTCTGTTTTTTTCCTTTTAGTTCTGTCAAATTTTTGCTTCGTATGTTTTGAAGGTCTGTTGTTTGGTCTATACACATTTAGGGACAGTATGTCTTCTTGGTGAATTGACCATTTTATCATTATGTTATGTTCCCTCATTATCCTAGGTAACTTTTATTTTGCTTAGATATCTGCTTTAATATTGATATATCAACTTTGCCTTTCTTTTAATTAGTGTTTGTGTCATTTATCTTTTTGTGTACTTCTCCTTTTTACCTACTTGTATAATTGTATTTGAAGTGAATGTCTTGTAGACAGCATATACTTGTGTTTTTATCCATTCAGCAAATCTCTGTTTTAAAATTGTTGTGTATGCATTTTTGTTGAGTATATAATTACAGTGGACTTGTTAAACAATATGAATGCATGTGTTCAGAGTTTGTAGATTCTGTCAGTTTTCCAAAGTGGTTTTACCACTTTTACTTCAACTAGCAAGGAGTGAGAGTTCCATTTGTTCCATATCTTAACTGTTGGCATTGTCAGATTGATAAAATTTTAGTTATTCTGGTTGGTAGGTGGTAATATCTCATTTCAAACTCAGCTATCACTCTTTTATTTACCTCCTCTCTTCATAGATTGTGGTTTAGTATTAATGACGTCTCATGGTTCTAACTGCATTATTGCCTGTTTTCCTGTTTATACCACTTCTGTTTTTTAAGTCTCATTTCTATTACCAAATACCACCTACTATTATTGTTCCTGAATTTTATGTTTATTATAATAAATACATCAATTTTGAAAAAAATTGTGTTTGGACCATGCATATTTTATATAATTATGGGTATGTTTGGATTTAAGTATATCATTTAATTATTTGTTTTCTGTGTGTTATCTTGGTTTTTCAATCCTGTTTCCCCTTTTCTGCCTTCTTAAAGAACTGGAGAGGACTAGAAGAGTCTGTAACTTTTATTCAGATATTTACCATTTCTCTTAGCTTCATATTTTACAGGTTTCCTTTTTATATCATTTCTCTTTTGTCTGAAGAAATTCTTTTAGCAAGCCTTTTAGAACAGGTCTACTGACAATGAATTGTCTTTGTTTTCCTTCATCTGAGAATGTCTTTATTTCACTTTCACTAAGGATATTTTCTTTGTGTATAGAATACTGGGTTGATGGTTCTTTTTATCAGTGCTTTAAAAAAATGTTCCACTTTCTTCTGCTTTCATAATTCGTGATGAGAAATCTAAAGTCATTTAAATCATCTTTCCTCTTTGTTCTCCATAAGTAATGCATCATTTGTATTTGTCTGTTTACAAGACTTTGTCTTTGCCTTTAGTTTTCAGCAATTTTATTTTTATGTATCTCAGCATTAATTTATTTGGAGGTATCCTCTTTGGATTTGCTGAGCTTTCTGAATCTCTAGGTCTATACCTTTGGCCAAATTTAGTAAGTATTTAACCATTTCTGCAAATATTTTTTGCTGCAGTGGACTGTTTCTCCTCTCTTTCTTGGATTCCAGTGACACAGTGTGGCACCTTGGAGTATTATTCCAGAGATTTCCCGAGGATCTCTTCATTTCTTTTCAATATTTTTTTCCTCTGCTGTTAAGATTAGATAACTTCCACTGATCTATTTTCAAGTTCATTCACATCTTTCTCTGTCACCTCCATTTTGTTATCACCTCTATCCATTGAGATAGATTTTTCAGTAAATAAATTCTTCGGTTCTAAAATTTCCGTGTGTTTCCTCTTTAAATTTTTTGTTTATTTACTGAGACTTTATATTGTCCATTTGTTTCAAGAGTATTCATCCTTACTTCTTGAAGAATTTTTATAATAGCTGATTTTAAGTCTTTGTCTGATAATTTCAACATCTTTGTCACCTAGGCAGTAGTGTCTCTTGATGGTCTTTTTCTATTTGAGTTGCAATTTTCCTAGTTCTTTGTATACCAAGTAATTTTTCTTGTATCCTGGACATCCAGAATAGAATGTTAAGAGACTCTGGGTCTTGTTTAAATCCTATCTATGTGGAATGTTGATATTCTTGTTTCAACATATGATCAAGCAACCTAATTGGGTTCAGGCCACAAATTCTGACCAGCCTTATGTGGGTTCTGGTTCTGATGTTAGTTCAGTTTTCAAAGGCTTTGTAATTCTATTCATGCCTGTCTCATGTGTAAAACCCATTGTCTTGTCTTGGACCTGGATTGTGGTCTATCCCATAGTTCCATTCTCAAAGTTTTTGATGTGATCATTAGGGGCAAATCCACATGTACGTAACTTAGAGGGTAAGCACAGGACTTCACATACAACTTTATATGACTGTTTTCCCAAGATTCTCATTCCGCCTGACTACCTAAGTACTTTCTGATTTTCAAGGATTCCTCTTTTTGGTCCTCTGGCCAGAAACTTCAGCTTTAGTTGTCTCACTCTGCCATACATTTCCTGTATGTATTACACCCATGTCTAGGACCACATGGCAGAAGGAAGGAGGGGGAAAAAAAAGCTATGGAATTTCATCTCATCTCTTTGGGAACACAGTTCCTCTGGAGAGAAAGTTTCCCATCTCTCAGAGTTTTAAGCACCTATGGGCTCTCACTGCTGCTGTTGTCACTGCTGCCAACATTGACATAGGTTTGCCTAGGGGTGTGGAATGTGAAAGAATTAAAAGGGGGGAGCCCAGGGAACTTCTCCCACTCACTATGAGTATGTTAGAAATCTCTTTCACACTACTTGAATCCAGATACCTTTCCTGTATGCTTTTCTGTCCATGCCAGCTCCCACTTCACGGTTTTGCTGCCTTGTGTCCAGGCTGCAGGATAGCAGAAAAAAAGCAAAATGGGAAACTCACCACCATTCAGTAGTACTTAAAATGAGCCCAGATGGAATTATGGAATTGCAAAAAGGAATATGAATATTGGGAAAGGTAAATTAATAGAAAAATACAAAATAGTATTGATAATTAAAATGATGATTATGATATCTTTTAAAAGTTTAAAATGTGTAGAAGAAAATATATGACATCACTAACACAAAAACCAGCAGGGGACTCTGATTCCATAATTCCATCTTGGATCATTGTCCTTCAGCTTAAATAACTGGCTTAATATTTATCATCAACTCTGCTAATAAGGGATTTTCTTACCTTTTATTTGAAAGCATCTTTATTTTGTCTTAACTTTTTAAGAATCTTTGCAATGACTATAGAATTCCAAGTTGACAGTATCCTTCTCCACTCCACCTCTTTTCTAAAGATGCCATTCTACCATCTTCTGATTTCAATAGTTTCTGTTGAAAAGTCAGCCATATCTTGTGATTTCTCCCCTCAAATTAATGTTTTTCCCCATCTGGCAGCTTTTAATATTTTCTTTTTGCCTTTGTCAGAAATGTATGTGTGATGTGCCTGAACGTAGTTTTCTCTGTATTTAATCTGCTACAAGTTTGTAGGGTTTTTTTTGAATATGTGGTTTGATTCCTTCCATCAGTTTTGGAAAATTCTCAACTGGTAGTTATTCAAATATTTCTTTAGTCCCATTCTCTCTTCTTCATCTAGATCTCCAGTTGCAATTAGCTTAGACCTTTTCACTCAATCATATTTATCTTGTTCTTTTATATATTTTCTACCCTTTTACTATTCTCTGTGCATTAATCTGGATATTCAATATTGACCTCTCTTCTGGCTTACTAATCCACTGTTCTACTGATTATAGATAGATCCTCAACCCATGTATCTAATTCTTACTTGCAGTCACTGCTTCTGTTCTCTTCTCCCTAGTTCTGGATTTTTAGTTAAGTCTTCTGCCTGGATTCCAACTCTGTCTTAAAATTGTCTGTTCTTTAAAAAAAAAAAAAAACAAAACTTTTTTTTTTTTTTTTTTTGAGACGGAGTCTCGTTCTGTCACCCAGGCTGGAGTGCAGTGGCGTGATATGGGCTCACTGCAAGCTCCACCTCCTGGGTTCATGCCATTCTCCTGCCTCAGCCCCCCAAGTAGCTGGGACTACAGGCACCCACCACTGTGCCCGGCTAATTTTTTGTATTTTTAGTAGAGACGGGGTTTCACCATGGTCTCGATCTCCTGGCCTCGTGATCCACCCGCCTCGGCCTGCCAAAGTGCTGGGATTACAGGTGTGAGCCACCACGCCTGGCCAAAAAAAAAGACATTTTTAATTATTTTGGAGTCCCTCTCAGATAAGTCAGAACTCTAAATTACCTGTGGGTCCATTTCTATTTTCTGTCGTTTTTTTTTCCTAGGTTTTGTTTTGTTTGGAGTTTTAAAAAATAATTTTTAATTTGCTGAAAATTTGTGGAGATCCTGAATGATATTATGTTCCTTTAAGGAGGGTGGAGTTGGCCAGGTGTGGTGGCTCACGCCGTTAATCCCACCACTTTGGGAGGCCAAGGTGGGCAGATCACCTGAGGTCAGGAGTTGAAGACCAGACTGGCCAACATGGCGAAACCACGTCTCTACTAAAAAATACAAAAATTAGCCAGGCGTGGTGGTGGGCACCTGTCATCCCAGCTACTCAGGAGGCTGAGGCAGAGAGAATTGCTTGAACCAAGGAGGCAGAGGTTGTAGTGAGCTGAGATCATGCCACTGCACTCCAGCCTGGGCAACAGAGTGAGACTCTAACAAAAAAAAAGGTGGAGTTTTCTTTTGGATAGCAAAAAAAAGTACCACTGGGAAATCGTGATCCTGTCTAGGGTTGGCTTTAGACTTTATTCAGGTTGCTCTGTTTTCATTTTGCTCTTATTCATGCAATGTGGTTCTTATTCCTAAGGTTAAGTGAAGAATAAGAAGCAAGAGAAGAGTTCCACTTCATTTTCAGAGAGTATTTTCACTGATTATAGATTTCTATGTGGACTTTTTTTTTCTTTTAGCGTGTTATAGATGTCATTCCATTGTCTTCTGACTTCCATTGTTGCTGATAAGAAGCCAGGTGTAATTCATATTCTTGTTCTCCTACATTTAATGTATCTTTTTCCTTTGGCTGCTTTAGAGATTTTTCATCCATGGCTTTAAATAGTTTGATGTGTGCCAGTGTGATATGCTGAGTAATTATTCTTTTGGGGATTTTCCACCTTTCTTAGATTGGTAAATTTATGTTTTCCATCATCTGGGCCAAATTTGGGGCATTATTTCCAAAATATTTTTTGCCCCATTTTCTTTCTGCTTTCTTTCTGGAATTCCATTTCAGAAAGTACAAATTTTGCAGATTAGATAACTGTACTAACGGGGTTTTGAATTTTCATTTCTTTCTTTTGGCTTCCATTTTTCTGCTGAGATTCTCTATTTGTTCATTGTCCACTTGTTCATTCTATTTTCCTTTAAATACCTGAACATATTTATAATAGTTACTTTAAAAATTTCTTTCCTGCCAATTCCTCCTATATCTGGGCCATCTCAGGATCAGTTTCTATTGACTGCTTTCTCTTAAGTATAGATCACTTTTGTGTGTTTTTCACTTGTCCATATTTGTTTGTTGGGTTTGTTGGTTGGTTTGTTTAGAAACAGAGTCTTGCTATGTTTCCCTGGGCTGGTTTTGAACTCCTGGACTCAAGCGATCCTCCTTTGTTAGCTTCCCAAGTGGCTGGGACTATAGACGTGCACCATCGTGTCCAGCCTATTAAATTTTTTATTGTTAATTATCCATTGTAGAGAATCTGTATCATGTTGTTTTTTTTTTAATGGGTGTTGTTTCATTCTTATAAATTTCCCTGGTCCTGTCTGATTTCTTACCATTCTTTGTTACAGTATGTGCTATGGAGAAACAACATTTTGATTTTTGCTCTAAGACATGCTTTTTAGCCTGACTATTGCTTTTAAGGCAAGGCCTTTCCAGCATCTCAATTGAATCCCTGACATGCTCAGTGAGGTCTCTCTGCCCTGCTGTGATGGAACTCCAATGTCTCTCAATAATGCACTACATGCAGCAGGTAATCTCTGTTAGGCCCTGCAGAGTTTTGTCATGTCTATATTCAGCTTAGCTGTTGGCCCAGACTGGTGGTGAATCTCCATGTAGACTTGCGGGGGAGTCCCTGTTCCACAGCTACTTATCTTCAGAAATTTCAGCTGCTTCAACAGCCCAAAACTCCAGTCTCTCCCTCCTTAACTGAAACTACTGCCTTGCCTGTATTCTACCTTCCTACATTCTAGAAAAATGTTTTTCTCTTCAGCAGAAAAACCTGGACAATTGTAAGATAGTTGTGGAGCAAAACTAATGTGTTTTCCTTCTCTCAAGGATCACAGCCGTGTGGGGCCTACTGTCCAATACCTGAAAAGGAGAGCTACTCAGGTACTTGCTACTCTCTCATGGCTGGAAGCAAAAAACTTCGGTGCACATTAATTTAAAGGCACACTGAGATTTAAACGATTGATACTATAACTTATCCTTTGGTTAGTGAGTGGCTATCTTAGGAGTCATTGCCTGAGGAAGAAGTCAGTTCAGACTGGAAGACAAATGACTATTTGGTTGAGAAGTAACTCTCCATTTTTAAAGGGTGGAGATGGCTCAGTTGTAAATGAGTTCTCTTACACTGCCCTGGGAGATTAGACAAACAATGGATCTAACTAAGAAAATAGACTGACTCATTTGGCTACAGTGCTATACTGAAGTTAAAAGCAAACTAACATTAAGCTCCAGAAAGAGAATTGGGTTCTGTATACTGTAAATGAATTTTACAGTCAATTCTGAGATTTCTCATTGAAGAAATCAAAAATCAGATGTTTAAATTAATAAATCTAAAGACACTCTGACCCTTTCTTTCCTTACCTCATCATCTGCTATAGCTAGGCTGAAGTCATATGCAATTTACTTCATTATTTATTAACTCTTCTTTAGGATGGTGGTTTTGATTGTAAAAGAAGTAAGGTTTGCTGTAACCTTCTTTCCTCCTAATTTTCTTGAGCATTTCCTAACCATGTCTACTAGCGAACATCTTATCTTCAAAGCGAAGGGGTCCATCGAGAGAATAGGTACAGACAAGGAGGGAGTAAAGGCCTTCTTGGCAGGAAAATAAGTTATACTGGGGCTAAGTAATGGTTCATAAGTGAAAGGGGTGGAGAATGGGAGGGAAATGGAATCACAGATCTGGAAGAGACAAGTCATTGAGTCCAGACGGCCTCTAGACAGGTCAGGAAGGGGTGTTTGGGTGGACCCCTTTTTCACATCTGGATTTAGCTTCACTCGAACATTTTCAGCCTTTTGCCTTTCACCAAAACCAATTTCTTCTCTGTGAGACATGTGGCACTCCTCCTCCTCCTGCCCCAGGATGAAGTCCTCTGGCGTGGATTTAATTAGCTTTTGGGGATGGTCCATTTCTTTTCCAGGAGGTCTGTTTCAGGTTTAGGTCATTCCATTGGCCTCACCATCAACTGAAGGGCAGGTCTCCTGGCCACTCACTAATTCCCTGGGCGGAGAGCAAGGGCCTGTAAGCTGATGGTCACATTCCATGTACTTCTAACACCCCTTAGCTGTGAGGACACGATGTGCTGAGATGGGTGGAACTTGAGTTGGAGTTTTTTAGGTGGTTTCAAATCATAATCTCCATGAGAGAATCATACAACTGTCTACCTTTCCCAACATACACATCCACACTCCTACTTTATTCACGGTAGAAGTGAAATTTTGGCAATGTTTCTGGTTCCTCGGAGCCAACCACCTTTTCTTTCCTAAGTGTCTGGATTTACTTCAAGAAAATGCGGGACAAAGAAGGGTGGAGGTAAGCTTTCGTTTATTCCCCTGCTTCACGGGGGAAGGAGGTTTGTGAGCATAAGCATGTAAGTACATGAGAGGCGTGTTGCTCTTTGGTGCCTATCATACCCTCCCCATGGCCGGCGTGCACACACGGCGAGCAGAAACGCTCCCCCGCCCCGCTGCCTGCCGCCCCACGCGCCCTCCCTGCACCTCCCGCCCGACCGACGCAGACCAAGCAGAACTTCCCTGGGTCGCGGCCCAGCGATACGGAGCGGCCCTGGCGAGGAGCCCTGCTCTTCCCGAGTCGTGGGTGGCGCGGTGCTTGTTTCCCTCCCCTCCCTTTCCGGACCCAAACGGGGATGTATCTGGGTCAGCCTGGGAGGGGCCGGACCTGCCAGGGACCAGCGTGGGGGAAGGGGGTGGCGATGACAGCATCTTTCAGGTTTTTGGCGTCTCTGAGCTTCGCCTCGTCCAGCCTCTCACCGCGCTCGCTGCCGGCGAGGGCTGACGCTCTGGCCAGTCCAGGCCCGAGGGTGGGCTGGAGAGAGGGAGAGCCCGTCCTTCCGATCTGGGCGGCACCCCCTCCCCCACGCCCTGCGAACAATTCGCCTCCCACACATACACACAGGCGCATACTCTATTCCCCAGAGCACGCTCCTCGGGCGGGCAGTGAGTCCCTCCGCCCCAGGAAAAGAGCAATGGAACAGTTCACGGCCGCCACGAGTTCCTGGTCTTCCTTCCTTTCCGGTGATAAACGGCGCGGCTACAAGCCAGCTACTGCTCAAAATGCTCCACCCGCGGGCCCAAGCCCCTCTCTCTTGGCTGGGCGGGGGCCCAGGTCCAGGACCGAGGGTCCCTTAACCTCCACAAGGCGCACAGGCTGAGCGCCCAGGCGGCAGGAGGTGCAAGGGCGCACACCCCCGGCGAACGCCTGGCTGCCTCGGTTCCTCTCTATGTGATCTTTTGCGCTCCGCAGCTCCGGAGAGGAGCTGGGTGTGCGTAAAAACTGCATCTTTCCTGGGTGCTTTGGCAGATACTGCTGGGTTAGGTCCCGAGGGTCATGGACCCTCCAAGTTCCCCTCCCTATGGGCTCTGTATTTAAGCCCAGCACCAAGGAATCAAAGCCAACAGGTCATTTCGCAGAGGCCTGGCCCCTCCCTAACCTTGCCCTGCATAGACGCGGCAGCTCCAAATTTACAAGTGCTAGCTCTTCATCCCAGCTTCAGGGAGAGAAGCGAAGCAATGAGTTGAGAATCATCTCTGGATTCTTGTATCCCATGCATAGTAATCTCCTTATCCCCTGGCCCCCTTCCTCGTTTCCTCACATTGCACGCTCAGGGACTTGTTTGCCAGCGGATGGCCTCGGCAATCCGGAACGCACGCTCCGAGAGCCCACGGATGCTCTTTGGCCTGGAGCTTCCCTAAAGGTTCCTGTATTCGCGTGTGCTCGTAACCATGCAGCGATGTTCCCCCTTCCCCGCCTCACCTCATCCCCAGACATCTCTTGCCATCATTTCATGCACCCGTGTCTAAAACCCCGCGTTTCTCCCCACCCCCGCCAGGCGCAGCACCCCCTCCCTCGGCTGCGCCCGGAGGGGAGCAGAGCGGACGGGGCGCGCGGGAGGCGCGCAGAGCTTTCGGGCTGCAGGCGCTCGCTGCGCCTGGGGAATTGGGCTGTGGGCGAGGCGGTCCGGGCTGGCCTTTATCGCTCGCTGGGCCCATCGTTTGAAACTTTATCAGCGAGTCTCGCCACTCGTCGCAGACGCGAGCGGGGGGCGGGGGCGCGGCGAGGCGCCGGCGGCCGTGACGAGGCGCTCCCGGAGCTGAGCGCTTCTGCTCTGGGCACGCATGGCGCCCGCACACGGAGTCTGACCTGATGCAGACGCAAGGGGGTTAATATGAACGCCCCTCTCGGTGGAATCTGGCTCTGGCTCCCTCTGCTCTTGACCTGGCTCACCCCCGAGGTCAACTCTTCATGGTGGTAAGTCCACGCGCACGGGCGCGGGGGATTTTGGAGATCGGAATGGGGACCGCATTGGCCACATAGACCCTTCCTGGCTGCGTTCCCCCGCGGCCGCAGCAGTCTCGGATTCTGGCCCGAACCCTGGCTACTGCCCTCTTATCGCCCCATGGTGAGCCCCTTCTCTTTTCCCAGAAGATCATTTCAGCTTTGACAACTCCATAAAACCACATTCCCCCTCAAATGAGAGCTCCGATGTTTGGTTTATTTGGATCCAGCTGAGCGACAGCAAAATCAGCCAATTTCTTATCCTGTTGAGAGACGTGCTAGCCTGGTCTCCAGCTCTAGCACAGACGTGTGTGTGTGTGTGTGTGTGTGTGTGTGTGTGTGTAAATTCACCTTGAAAACTACAACCGCCTCCCCCATCCCAGCCCCCACCCCGCCAAAACTGCCTCAAGGTAAATCGACGGGCCAATTCAGCCAGTCAGGAGTTGTAGAACCTAAAGCGTGTGACTTTGTATTATTTCCCGTCCTTCCACATTCCAGGTTCACCCCAGTGGGGCGGAAGAACATTTTGCTGCCTCCAGTTAGAGACTATGGCTTTAATGCAAAGCTACAGACCCCGGGGTCTGTCTCTAAGATGTTACCTTGTTCACAACCGTCCCCGCGAAGAGTAACTTTGCTGCTTTCCTTTGTACGTTGGTCTGCAATTTATTTATTTATTTTTGCATAGTGATGGAATGTTGAACCATACCAGGTCGCTAAAAGTTCCAAAGGCAGATTCCCTCCCCATCTAGAAACCGTTCTCCATCTGCCGACTTTCTGGTCTTGGAAAGAGATAGAGTTGATAGCCCTGTAATTTCCTTGCACCTAAAAGTTTCAGAACAGATATTAAAATATTGATTCAGAGACACCCGTTATCGTGGGCTAATTTTTAAAGAATCTGGTAAGGGGTCTCAGCTAAATTACAGACTAGAGCAGGGAAATTTTTAGGAAGACACTGGAGCTCTTCAAAGGAGCAAGGCAATGCGCTGATGGGAAGAGGGGTTCAATTCCTTCCTAAGCCGGCTTTGAACAGGGAGGCGTTTAGCCTTGACATTGCTGACACAGGATCAAAGATTGATTTATCAGACTGACCATTTTTCAATAAAATGACTATTTCTGTTTCCATGGGTGTATAAACATTATTTATTGCTCAGGCTTTTTGTCACATTGTCTCTCAGCTGTCACTTAAATATATTTTTTGGAAGTCACAGCTGTAACGATTTTATGATCATATAAAATAATGAAAATACAAGAAAAAGACATTCTCCTTGTTTGATCGCTTCAAAAGACACCTATGGCAGCTTGGGTTATATAAAAGGTACCTTTCTAAACATTTCACGACTAATAGAGAACATCTGGGTAGAGATGATGATGTAATTTTTTGTTAAAGTTTCTTTTCAAAAAGTACTTTATGGAGTTATAGCACTGTTTGATTCTTCCAAACATTTAGTGTCCTTAATAACAATAGAAAGAATTTTTTCCAAAGGATCTTTATAAAAGCCAAAAAGAGCTACAAAATGGAAATATTTAAAAGGCTCTTCAGTAAGGAAAGAACAGCCTGTCTGTGAGGAGAGTGTAACATCAGATACCAGCGGGTGTTGATTAGACAGATACAGACAGTTTTTAAGACATTCTGTCAAATAATGGGAACGAAGAGCTTCTAAGGTCAGCTTCCCCCAAAGCCAAGTCCAGACACATTGTGTCACTGAGATCTGAGCCTTCTTGAGAACAGTCTTCCACACATTCTCCCCAAGACACGTTGCTTCTTACCCGTCATTCACTTCCCCAAATGCCGACTTTGCCTCTGTGCCCCTGCCCAGAGCATCATCTGGTAGACCTAGCTTCATGTCCAACAGACAGTCATCACAGCATTTTGGGGATGACTTCTGCAAGATCACTCACTACGCCTGCCTGCCTTGCCGGTTTCTCCACTAAATTAAAAAGTAAATACCCTTGCTTTCTAATATCACCAGAAGGATAAGGAATTCATATTTGAAAAGTGCTTTGAACTCCTTAGTCTCCCAGGAACACTGAGCCAGGCCTCCCTGTTCACGTTGCCCTCACCTCTGTGTTGGTTGGTCCCTTATAGGTACATGAGAGCTACAGGTGGCTCCTCCAGGGTGATGTGCGATAATGTGCCAGGCCTGGTGAGCAGCCAGCGGCAGCTGTGTCACCGACATCCAGATGTGATGCGTGCCATTAGCCAGGGCGTGGCCGAGTGGACAGCAGAATGCCAGCACCAGTTCCGCCAGCACCGCTGGAATTGCAACACCCTGGACAGGGATCACAGCCTTTTTGGCAGGGTCCTACTCCGAAGTAAGTCTCCTGCCTTCACCCAGCCCTATGGCTCTCCACTCATGCACAGCTCCCTCACTCCATCTTCAAAGACCCTGCTTATCTTCTATTGCATTTTATTCCATCAGAAGTTTGTTCAGTTGGGCGTCATTGTCCCTGTTCTACAGGTGAGGACTAGAGAAATCAAGGAACATGTCTAGAGGTTTGTAAGAGGTGAATCAAAAGGAAGAAGTAGAACCCCAGGCTGTTGTCTTTTCACTCTTTGCTCTGTCCATCACTCCAATATGGCACATCCTCCAGGTTCAGACTTCGTCTCTAAGAGACGAGAGGGAGGAGCCACAAGTCTCTTTTGACTTTTTCCTTGGCTTTCTGGGGCTTCCTCCAGAAGAATTTGAGCAGATCATCAGCATAGAATCTTCAAATCTTTTCTCAGCAAAGGATTATCAGTATTGCAAAAACACCACTTAAGTGATATTAAGAAGCAGAGACAAATCTCTACTCACCACTTTTCACCTTCCATTTAGCTACTCAGCCTTGGTGCCTCTGTGTCTAAATTCAACATTTTTCCTCCCAACAGATTGTAAATTCTGTAAGGGCAGAAACTAACCTATATTCCCTGCACCTTGCTTGGTGCCTTGTGTATTGCAGGCCCTGTTCATTCATTATGATGAATGAGTGGATAAACTTGTAGTGGCTACCTATTATTTTCCAGCTACATTTTAAGCAATAAGGATAGCTATGGAGGATAGAGGTGGGAAACATGAATACATAGAGGTTTTTTCTTCCTTAGCAGGAACCTTAAACATTTTCTAATTACGTAGTAAACTTCTTAAAAGTTCTGAATATGGAAAGTAGCTCACTAGCTAGGACACAATCAAAGAAAATTAATTGAAAATCATATTTCATTTTCAAATAATACCCATCTGCTAACCTGGCATTATTAGCATTCTCCAGGAAACACCACAGTCCATTTGCTATTAGAAAATCTGACAGAAAACACAGCAGTTTATGTGCAAACCCCCAAAATAGGAAACTTTTTACTTGTTTTTGCCTACCCCCCCCCCCAATTCCTAAGAAAATCATCCAGACTGTGCACTTGGTAATGCTTAACAGAGGGTGTTTCTATCATGTAATCATCACAGCCCTAGGGTTTTATGAGGCCAAATGCATAACTGAATGTCTCTAAAATCCCCCAAGGGCGTAGTACTCTCATTCTTAGAGTATCCCTAAAGTTAATTTACTGCGATATTCTGCAATTTTATTCTCTAGTTTAAGAACTATATTCTTCTGCATTCCTTTTGGAGTTTCAATATGACATCGCAAATTTTTGAAAGGTTAATAATAAATTTCAGCTTCATGGAATTTTAAGACTTCACCTAGATTATCTTGCCAGTGAATCAATTAAAGAAACTGGACCTTGTTAAAGAGAGTTTGCAAATATCTAGCACGAGTAATCTTTGGATATATTATGCATGGCTCTCAGTGTTTAAAACATATCAGGATTTTTTTTCAAAGTGCTTACAACCATTTTGCAATGATTTCAAATTAGATGTACATCTCATTTATGAAATGATCATCTCTGGATCTATTAAGATATCTACATATTTGAATAAAACCTTTAGATCACATATCAAAGGAAGCAATATTGACCAGTGATCCTAAAGAAAATATATCCATCAAAGCTGGGGATTCATTTATAAAATACTGTAACTTAATCTTGACACTATTATTTTCTTCAGAGCTGTAGAATTGCTGAGATGAAGGAGGTTCGAACTAGAGGTAACAGCCAGGCTCACTCCTATAATCCCAGCACTTTGGGAGACTGAGGTGGGCAGATCACTTGAGGCCAGGAGTTCGAGATCAGCCTGGCCAACATGGCGAAACCCCATGGGTGTGGTGGTACATGCCCTTAATCCCAGCTACTTGGGAGGCTGAGGAATGAAAATCACTTGAACCTGGGAGGAGGAGGTTGCAGTGAGCCAACATATTGCCACTGCACTCCAGCCTGGGTGACAGGACTGGAGGAAACAGAACTAGTTTAAATTAGTCTAGACCTCAGGTAAATAAGAGATTCTAACTTGTACTTCCTTCAGATTTTTTTCAGATGAAGCAGAATACTTTGCCACAGTACTCAGAACTTAAACCACTCATGCTACACAATTTCTTTCCATTCTTCACAGAAGGCCAGGTTCCCTCTCAGACATTTATGCAAACTCTTGTGACTGTCAGTGATGATTTTGTGTTGGTTATGGGAGGGCTGAATTTGGCCTAAAGCAGCTTATCCTGGAAATAATCAAGAAATTCCAATGAAGCTATCCAAAGATTTCTACAATTAGTTGCTTGGAGAAAAAGTTACGTCTTAGAGTTGTGGACACCTAAATATGCTCATAGATGAATAGGAAAGGCAAAGGGCAAGACCATTTATAAGAAGAACATAAAATTACCAAAATGTCCCGTGGTCATAGAGAAATGGAGAACATTTGCCTGTTTGACTTTAGAGAGTCAGAATAAGACAGTACAATTTTTAGAAACATTTGTAATTTACTCATTCAACAGATAGTTACCAGTCACAGGCAGAGAAACAAGGACAGAACTAGCAAAACTAAAAATATTCCTGCAAGAATACACCTCCAAAATTCTAGAATTAGCCTTAGAAAACACAAAGGTAATTAGTTCTCATCCTTATAAATATTTTCTTATAAAGCAAATACTTTAAAGAGAATTGAACAATCCATAACCTTCAAGAAACCCTAGCTTCTAGAGTTTTGCCTTCCTAGGTAACAATCTCTCTACCCCAAATAAAAACTGTGCCTATGTACTTAATAGGCATTGCTTGATTTATCTCCATACAAAAATTAGAGAAACTTCAATAGCAACACATTAGGAAATACAGATGTCACCACTTAGATTTGGATTTTGTTTCATTTTGTGATAGCTGTAAAAAGGATCTTTCTAAGAAAAGGCCCAAGATCAAAATTTGTTTTGTTACAAAGCCAGCTCTTGAAATGTGCTACTACTTCACACATAACATTTTAGTGATTCATCTAAACACGTAACTGAAAACATTTTAGGGCTATTATCTACATGGTACCAAACCATCTGGAGGTAAAATGAAAAACCAGTCAATGTGCTAAATTTTTAATTTAAATAAAGGAACATCTAGCTATTTAGTAATGTGTTTGAATAATACATGACAAATATTTAGAAAAGTCATATTTTTGCTTTGGAAATTATTTCTGAAATGAAGCAGATTGTGATTTGTTTTCTTTCAGTCAACAAGTTAATGTAATTGTTTCCAAGTTATACCAGGATGAATTCTGCACCTAGACAATTTATTTCTCTTGTTGCTTTCGAAATACTGTCTGGTTACCTGATATAGTATCATCCCCGTCTTCCATGTCTTTCCCGTAATAGACCACTTCATAAAATGTCTCTTCTTTCTCCTTAAAAAATAAGACTAGTGCTACATACTTAAGCTTTTGGGAATTTCCTCCTCTATGTGATCTCTCTAAACATGGGCGCCGGCTTCTAAATCCCAAACCAAGCTTTAGAAGATAAATGGGGTAACTATGGAAAAGGTATTTTCCTAAACTGTAAAATGGATATAATAAAAGTTTAATTTATCTGAAAGCCACTATCTGAGATTAAGTCACATTAGCATGTATTAGTCGCCTTCTTTTACAAAACATCTCAATTCCACTTAGAATATCTGTGGTCTATATAGTATAAGCTGGGACTCTTTAAAACAGCTCTCGTAACCATCATATTTCCCTCTGGAGAGCACTACCTGCTACCTATGGCGAATAGTCATATAATTGATTTTACCTAACTACAGGGCATGATTGATTCCTTTTTTGATGGTTAGAGGTTTGGGGGGTAAATATTTTCTGAAAGCTGAGGTAAGTGCCATTTAATATGGTGTAGATATGTTTTCCTGATTTTTAATAATGAGACTAGCAGAGCAAATATTGCAAGGGATGTATAATAAATTTTAGCACTGAATGACAAACGGAAACAAGCAGGGCTTCAATGTGAAAAGGTGGTTTGCTCTCCCAGCTGTGTGGTTCAAAAAGTCACACTCCTCTTGACATATTGAATCACCAAATGGTTCTCTGTTTTCTGCCTTGCATTGGCATTAGGTTATCCAGCTTCTATTTGGATTGTTAATATATTTGCCGCAGCAACCATTAATAAAAGGGCATGCTAATAACAATGAAATACAGCTCCACTTGAAAAATGAGGTGCACACGGACCCTAAAGAGCCTTATATCTGTCACTATACCACAACACCGTGTTATGAGTTACTACAGATTATTAAAATAATTTAATGTAGTTATTGCACTGAAATATGTACCTTTCAGCCTGTAAGTGAAAGTAGCCTGTGCTCTAATAAAGAACAATTCTAAGAAAGCACCCCAAAGGGTTCTTGCCCAAGTCTAATTATAGGCGGTAAATTTGTTTCCTTCCAGAAAAACCAAAGAAAAACTTTTCACTGTCTTTTACCCAATACCAGTGATTAGTGCAGGTGTTCCAGAAGAAAGTAAATTCACCTTAATAGTTAGACATATAGTATGTAACTCAAGGATATTGCATACTGCCTTCAGCAATCTCTCAATTACTTATGAAAGTCAATGCCAAGCCCAAGCTCTCCAGTGTTAATGCAAGGGGCTGGTTACTGCCAGAATTCTCTTCCCACCTTAGTCCCTAGATTTCTTTGAATTCAGTATTTCATTCTCAATAATTTAAGTGCATATGAGTATCTTCAGTAAGTCCTGGAGGTTTGGAAGGATATTTTGAGGAAAGCTGTGGTGTCATGAGTACCCAACTATATTGTGGAATGATAGAATTGTAGCATTCAGACTGTAAAGAAAAAGGCCTAGAGATGCTATGCTCCTCTCTTCTAGGACATCTAGAGCTCTCTGTTGAAACAGGGCAAGCCTGTGTTTGAGACTAATGTGAAGCCAGGAGCTGGGCAAGGCCATCTTTTTCTTTGATACTGCTTATTTAAGAAGAGCTGCCACACAGATACCTAAATTGACAAAAACCTATATTAGATGGAGATGGTTCATATTAAAGAAAGAGCCTGGGCTCTAGAAAAGAACCCTTCAAGAATATCAGTACCTTGTTGTCTAGTGGCAAAGGTTGTCTGAAACAGAGCAAATATTAAACAATTGTCATATGAAAGTTATTCAGAAATAGTGCTACCGGACCACTTTTAAGAAAAGCATTTTTGTTTCAGGTAGTCGGGAATCTGCCTTTGTTTATGCCATCTCCTCAGCTGGAGTTGTATTTGCCATCACCAGGGCCTGTAGCCAAGGAGAAGTAAAATCCTGTTCCTGTGATCCAAAGAAGATGGGAAGCGCCAAGGACAGCAAAGGCATTTTTGATTGGGGTGGCTGCAGTGATAACATTGACTATGGGATCAAATTTGCCCGCGCATTTGTGGATGCAAAGGAAAGGAAAGGAAAGGATGCCAGAGCCCTGATGAATCTTCACAACAACAGAGCTGGCAGGAAGGTATGGAAATGCAACGGTGCTCATTTTGTAGGCTGCATGGCTTTATAAACCACTTAGGCAGAGCTTATCTTAAACTTCCCTAGAATTGATAAAATGCTGTGTAGTCACAACTTCCTACTGTCCCCCAGCCATTAGCTGTTTGTTCGGAAGAATACCAACAACTAGGTTGAAATATTCCCACCCACACTCCACCTTCCTTCCTATAGCTAGTTGAAGGAGTCCACCCATTGTGTTTGGCATTGTGTTGATTCAAGTCTTTTATGGTCTCTCTGGACACTGTCATTTAAGCAGAAGATATGAACTGTGGGTTAGGATAGTGCTTCATCCCACATAGCAATGTTACACTGAATGCTTATATCTAAGGGATATAAAGATTAGACCCAGAGCATCTTTTCTTACATGTATCATGAAAACAACTCATCAAGCATGGTTTGTTGGCTTCTTCTAGATTTAGGGATGCCCTCTTTGGGAACCTGACCCAAGTCTCACTCATAAAAGCCCCACCTTGTTGTTTCTGGTGCTGGATAAGTAAGTGGACCAGGAGAAGACATGATCCTCAGAGGGTATTCTGGCCCCTTCTCCTCTAGACCTGACTAACTTCCTGGGCTCCAGTCAGTGTACACCCTTTAACCATCATTTGTTAAATGAGGAAACTGAAGCCCTCAAGGTACTCAAGGTCACAAGGAAGTTAGTAGAAAGGACTAGAAAGTTAGGTTTCAACACGTAGTCCAGGGGTGCTTTACCCTAGGATTAAACCATTTCAATGCCAATGTTCAGACCCACTGATGACCCATGTCTTTTGGTATGGTGGTATGACCAGAATAACTAGAGAATTTAATGCTGTACTTGATGCTTTTGTGTGGAAAGCATTAACTGGCTGGGTGAATCAAATATTTGTTCAGAACTATTCTAGAATAATCTAATTGCCAATAGGAAGAGGTAACGATAATTTGTCTTTTATCAACACAACATAAAAATGTGTTTGATATTAATATATAAAGAAAGATAAGCATAAAATTGAAAGGTCCCTGGGGGGGCTTTAATAGGAAAAATAATAGAAAAGAATGGATGAAAACCCCTTTACTAGGCTCCTGGAGAGAACAAATCTCATTTAAAGGAAGTTAGAAGGAAAGAACTCTTGCTTAGCACATGGTATAACATGAGTGTGACCTGAACTGTTTACAAATAGTACCTTTCTTGAACTTTAAAAATCAACATTCCTAATTTTCATGAATTTATGAACTTACAGTCACTACTGCCAAGAAAATAGACTATGGTTGTGCAATCCTACAACTATTGGTAATTACTGTTTGTGCAATGATTTGGATAAAAAAATTTACACTGACCTTTGTCCTAACATTGATAGTACATGTATAAGTTATAAAGTGTGGTGACTTTGATAGGAGTGTGCTGCTTAATTGTTCAAACAGGGTATATAGTTAGATTTCTCTATTTGGAAAGATAAAAGATATTGTATCCAAAAGAACATTGACTTATCAAAATAAATGTTAATTTCACTAAATAGGTCATTAGATATTGAATGTTTCAACTCTTCAAGACAATAGATCATAGCTATTATATTTTAGGCCCTGAATAAACACAACTTTTAATGTAAATCACATGATTCTTCACCGTGTAGAGGTGAACAGCTGTCAGGCCTCAGATATTCTCCTGCCTGCTCTGCAAAACTTAGGAGGCTACTTTTGATTGGAATAAAAGTGCACACACTGACTTTTTAAAATGTGGCTTTAATTAATGGTGGGTGGGCAGACTTTTTCAAGGAGATGCATGATGTCAGTGAATATGAACTTTAATGAGAGTAAATGTATTGAGATAAACATGCGTCTCTAATTCTCTTCTTGCGGTCATTAGACCCCCAGTCTCTACTCCCCCTTTGTACTAGCAGAAGGTCTGTGGAATCAAAATGAGAACAGCCTGGGCTTGTTTGAAGGCAGGCCTCCTGAGCTAAGCCTCCAACTGGCTTGGCTCTAAGGCTCTAGAAAGCCCCCACCTCCCAGGGCTGACGGTAACATCAGTCCACTTTTTTTCTTCTTCTTTGTGCTTTTCAGCATTTTCCAAATTGGCCAATATGAACATCTACTTTTTAAACTGGGAGGGGTAGGGGAGAGCAATATATTTCATTTTTTTAAAAACCATCTATTCTAAGATTGCTCTGTTTAGCTAATGTTAAAAGTCAGAATTCATCACTGCCATTCATAACGGGCCTTAATTTTTCCCCAATATTTGAACAATTTATTTATTATAGCAGTTGGTTAGAGCACCCTCATGTGTCTCTGTACTGTAATGTCATTTTAGATCCTCTGTGCTATATCATTTAATCATAGTTTCAGCAGAATTCATAATGATTTCTTTCTTTCATGTTTACTTAAATGCTCATCCTTGATTGAGTCTAGTTTTCCACCTCCAATTAGGACTATGAATAAGTACTAAAAAGATAAGCCTGTCTTGTTCAAAACAAATATTCTATCAGGAAGGAAATTCTATAGCATCCTTCAGCAGCTCTGTTTAGGTCTAAAGAAACCATGCTATAAAAACTTCCAAATTACATTTTAAGATAGTTTTAGGTAAATTACATGCAAAAGGTCAATATCTGCCATTTATTTCCTTTGATGAGCTTGCAAACAAGCACCTTTTAAATTTGTCCACTCTTCCAGCCTGGGCAACATGATGAAACCCTGTCTCTACAGAAAAATATAAAAAATTAGCCAGGTGTGGCAGTTCTACTACCACAGCTATTCAGCTACTATTCCCAGCTATACTCAAGAGGCTGAGGTGGGAGGATCATGTGAGCCAGGGAGGCTGAGGCTGCAGTGAGTCTTGATCACACCACAGCATTCCAGCCTGGGTGACAGCACGAGACCCTGTCTCAAAAAAAACAAAACAAACAAACAAACAAACAAAAAAGTTAGTTCACTCTTTCTTCTAAGATGAAATAATGAAATAATCACAACTTCTTTAAATGTTCCTAAGGGAATCTGTATGAAAATAACTCATGTTTCCAGTCTTACTGCCCTTCCATCACTCTGAAAGTTTCTATAAGAGTAGGAATTTCCATAAGAATAAGAGGAATTCCATGAAAATACTTTCCCTAAAAGGTGCCTCTAACTTAAAAATAGAAAAGAACATGGGACTTCAAATCAGATGCACCTTTGTTTTAATCTTACAATACCAGTGGCTTTGCTCATTGAATCTCGGTTTTTCTCATGTATGGAAGGGCATTTTGTGGTGCTACGGGAAGACAAGTGTAAGGCAGATAGCACAGAACCTGGCATGTAATAGATGCTTAATAAAAGTTCCTTTCCCTTTTGTGAAGTTAAGATTATTTGTAACTCAGGTAACAGAGCTAGGCAGAAGTCCATCCAGCTGGAATTATTATTTAGGATTCAATCTGATCACTCCATCTATCTATAGAGTCATCTTCTATTCAGTTAACATACTAATAAAACCAAGCATATAGTATTTTTTAATTGATAAAATACTGTCAAATGTTTTATAATTTGATATTTCCAAAACCCCTGTAGGAATAAAAAATAGTATTCATATTTCTACTTTTCAGATGAGCAACTGGGCCTGAGAGGGATGGAGAGACTAAAGCAGGGTCATAGAATCATGAAGTACTAGATCCTGGGAGTTCACATCCGCTCCTGTTCTCCCATGTGCCCTTGTCTACATTTCCATATTGCTTTTGTTGAGAATTTCTGAGAAAAGAAACAATATTTCTATATGTACGGGGGAAAAACCAGCAGCTACTACCTTTGGAAGGTAGTTTACTGATGATTTTTTTTCTTTGTGTGTGTCTTCACACATTTTCTAAAATGAATGTGTATCGGTTTTTAACGACAAGGAAAAGTGGTTTTAAGTGCTGAAAACCTAACTGCCAGTCATCGTGAGCACACCCAAACCAATTTAGCCTTCTTTTTGGAGGATTCGCAGAATTTCAACAAACAGCACTGCAACTTTCAGAGCTCTGTTCTTGTATTTTGGGACTAACTTTGGTTCAACAGTTATTTTATTAAGGAATTACTTTGGGAAAGGCATCAGTTTTGGTACTAAATCAATGTGGAAAAGAATAAAACAAAGCAGCCCCTGACCATAAGAAACTAAATTTTAGTCAAGGAGAAAAGAGTAATACAATTGCAAGGCAGGCAATGCTATGTGGTATAATAACATAATCAGCCACAGGGCCAGTTAGCTGAGGAGATAATGGTTGTATCATAAAAAGAACTGGGTGTTTGAGCTGGAGATAAAAGATTTCCCATGGTTGAGATATGGAAAGCACTTTCCAGGATGAAGG
This sequence comes from Homo sapiens, assembly GCF_000001405.40. Lineage (NCBI taxonomy): Eukaryota > Metazoa > Chordata > Mammalia > Primates > Hominidae > Homo > Homo sapiens. Next base: position 117,310,755 of record NC_000007.14, on the reverse strand, counting down.
GACTTCAAGACAAAGACAGATATTGGAGCAGGAAGTGTATCATAAAGTTGAGGGATACAAGAACTCTAGGGTGGAGTTCAAGACTGAGATTTAATAGGAACTGAGGCTGAAAATTTGAAATTTGAGTCCCAGCCAGATCTGGAGAGCCCTTTTTTTTTTTTTTTTTTTTTTTTGAGACAGGGTCTCGCTTTGTTACCCAGGCTGGAGTGCGGTGGCACAATCTCGGCTCACTAGAGCCTGGACCTCCTGGGCTCAAGCAATCCTCCCACCTCAGTCTCAGTAGCCGGGACTACAGGCACTTGCCACCATGCCTGACTAATTTGGGGTGTTTCTTATTTGTTTGTTTGTTTTTTGGTAGAGATGAGGTTTCGCCATGTTGCCCAGGCTGGTCTTGAACTCCTGGGCTCAAGAATCTGCCCAACTTGTCCTCTCAAAGTGCTAGGATTACAGGCCTTGAGCCACGGCACCCAGCCTGGAGAGTCTCAAATACTGTGCAGAGACATTTGGCTGCCACTGGGAAGGCAAGAGGAAGGCATTGAACAGTGGGAGAGAAAGTTAAATACTTAAGTTTAATTTTCATGCATTTGTTAATTTCTCTAGAGTCCACTTTGAAAGAGTGATAGCTATCAAAGTTTGACCCTTCTGTAATATGCTTGAGTTCATGACTTAAAAAATTAACTGGGCAAGGTGGCATGCAACTGTAATCCCAGCTACTGGGGAGGCTGAGGTGGGAGGATCACTTGAGCTCAGGAGTTTGAGACCAGCTTGGGCAACATAGTGAGATCCCATATCAAAAAAAAATAGATTTACTAGGAAAATTGTGAGAAATTTGCCTCTCTTTGAATTTTATTTTTTGCCTTAAATATACATATAAGTACTGATATAGAAAGCTTCTGGGTGTTTATTAATATTAAAAAATCAGCATATGGCAACTGTTGATATTTACATTTTCAACATGATAGTTAATGTTATTATTGGCTACTCTACTCATTGGGAGCTCTTAGTTTAGGAGTTCTTGACTGAGGCATTATGGAGGATAAGGCCCTGGCATCAGAAAACTGGCTCTAATACTTGAGCAAAACCTTGCATAAGTTACCAAACTAGGGTTGCCATATAAAATAAAATACTTATGCATATACACCAGGTGGTAAGCAAGCCTCAGGGGTAGGTACCATTATTATACAGTTTGCATATGAGGAGACTGAGGTTTAGCAGGGTGGCCAGAATCAGCAAATAAATTGAATATATTTGCTCATTGAAATCATCTGAAATTCAAACTTAACTTGGCATCCTGTATTTTCTATGGAGAAGCTCAGAGGGTGAGGGGGTCCAAAATTTCTAGTTCCACTCACTATCCAAACAAGCACCACCGAAGATCAGTGCTGCAGAGCACTAGGGCCTGCCCCTGAGCATGGCCTACCTGGGCGCTGGGACAGACAAGATACTTCTAAGTTCCACCTACAGAAAGTGCTTCAAAGTAAACAGAAGTGGATGTTGTACTACATGTAAGTAAAACTTTACAAGCAAGCAAATCTAAATTCTAATAAAGACTTAAAAAATTTTTTTTTTTTGGAGACAGGGTCTCACCCTGTCACCCAGGCTGGAGTGTGCGGTAGTGCAATCATGACTCACTGCACAGGGCTCAAGTGATCCTCCCACCTCAGCCTCCCAAGGAGCTCAAACCACAGGCATATGCCACTGTGCTCAACTAATTTTTTTTTTTTTTTTATGTTTCATAGAGACAGGGTCTTACTATGTTGCCCAGGGTGGTCTGAAACTCCTGGGCCCAAGTGATCCTCCTGCCATGGCCTCCCAAAGTACTAGGATTACAGGCATGAGCCACTGTGCCTGGCCAAGACTTTAAAAAATTGATCCCTTGATGCCACTTAAAATGAATAATAATAAACAAATAATGGGTCTGACCTAAGAGAACTGGGGCATGATGACAAAGAAATCACACTCTTAGAAAGTAGGGAATATCAATAGGAAAGAAAATGCCAAAGCCATACTGAACTGCAGAGCCACGTTGCTTTCACCTCCTATTCATCCTGACCCTCCCTTCAACAATCTTGAGCATCTTTGTGGGGCATAAATTTCACTTAGTAGGTATTTGTTTACTTACTGGTCTCCTTAGTTCATAAAATGAAAAGCATTTTTAAAAGTTAGATCAGTTCTGCCAGGCTCACTTCTGTCTTGTTGGACCCCAAAATAATATGTGCTTGATATTAGAGATCTTTATTTATCATATGAACCAAAAACTAACCAGAAGTCAAGTCCCAAGACAGGGAATAACTCTTAACAAAATTGTTGCAGTTCCATGTAAAGTTCTATTGTTAGTGGAAAATGTTTTTTAGACTTGCCTCATTAGTCAATAAGAATTATTATATATATGGTTAGTCAACGGTAATGTTCTTGAATTCCACAAATGTAAATTCCACACCTTATATTTTCTAGCTAAGCCCACCCACAGTCACTGTTTTTAAAGAATGACAGTGCTCAAGAAATCACAATGTCTTAAGTTAATAAATGTTTGCATAAGCAAATCAGCTGCACAATTTTTAATAAATTTTTCTTCTTAGTTCCAGAGTGTGTATGTTTAAAAGGTATGAGTTGGCCCAATTTTCAGTAACTTCTATCTGAGAGATGTGGACCTGTCAAAAGGATTCAATTGTGAATAAATGTACTTGGCTTCAAGCCAGCAGGTGAAAATTAAATAATATGTTTTTAATGAGAGTTTCCCTCAGGAAAACTGATATAGAACCAGAAATATATTAGTGACTTTGTAGAATATACCCAACTAAAAAGTGAAGTACTAACACTTCTTCAAATGCTCAAGTTTAACTAAATAATTTAGTGAAAACACAGTATATGGGGACCTAAAATAAATTCTAACTAGGATTTCTAAGACAAGTTGTTAAGTTGGCAAATATTTCACACAGCATACAATGGACTGCCTTCTTTCTGATAGGAAGAAAATCAGTATGACATGACACAGGGTTCATAAACTTTGCAAAATGCAGGTACCTACAAGAAAAAAATTCTCATGTTCTGCAAAGAAGTTTTACAAAGACACTGTAAGGGCTGCTTGGGCTCAGTCTTCAGAAGAACTGACTTAAGAAACCAAAACTTCCTTAGGAGAAGTTTGTCTTTATAACTGGCAATATAATTCCTTTTAGACTATAATTAGATACGCAAACACTAAGTGTAAAAGCTTATAGAACTCACTGAATCCAAGGAACATGAGCCCCAGAGACTGGCAAACCCTAATATGAAAAACACCAGCAGAGTGATGTCGACTTTGGTGTCAGACAGGCTTGGCTTATATCCTGCCTCCCTGGGTTATCTCACTTACTGCCTGTGAGATCTAGGGCAAGCTCCTCTACTCCTGGGTGTTTCAATATTCTTATCTATAAAATGGGATAATAATAGTATATACCTTACGTGGTAGTGTGGACTAAATAAAATAGTGAATATAAAGTGCTTAGCATGGTTTGATATATGGTAAGAAATTAAAGAATGTGATGCCTCAGTATTATACTGACACAAAGTTAGAGCAGAGAAATATAAAATAGAATTGTTCTAGCCTACACAATGCATGTATTTTCTTCTTCCATAGCTCTTTTTTTTAAACAGACTTCTGCGTCTGGTATAGAATGCTAATATCTAGAAGTTTGTTTAAAAGAAAAAAAGAACACTAAAAAATGGAAGTTTCTTAAATTTTAAAATTAGAAAATAGCCTCTGCAGGTCAAAGGCTTAAAATGCTCAAAATAAATAAAAAATGAAGGGCCACATAAAAAAATCTGCTAAGATTTTAGCACTGAAGCAGTTATGAGCCTATTGAAGAGCTTTTGTTGAGAATAGTTATATATTAAGCTAAAAATGGTTTCTATGAAGCTAAACACCAAAAGAGTCCTGCTGTCCTTAGAAGTCATCAAAAAACTACTTTTTTAGCATAGCTATGTCACATGAACAAGTATTTATTGACAGGATGCCACGTAGTAAAACTTAGATGGGATTAAGGCACATGGGGAGGAGTGGGGACTGATTAAGAATTGTGCTGGCCAGTTGGTGATATTAAGAACCATGGGGGCTGGGAGAATTGAGAACAGGAGCATACGAGAAGGCTGAAAATGGAATCTTGACAGCGACCTGCATTAAGAATCAAAGAAGAAGGAAGTAGAACAAGAGACTTTTCAGGAAAGATTCAAGAGACAAAATAGAAACCAGGATGTGACTGTGTCATGGGCTATGGCCTTGAGGTTCTGAAGGAAGCTTTCGGTATCCCACATTAGCAAGAGGCAGCAAGTCATTGTAATTGATTCTTATTCTAATTCTTTCTCTTCCCATTGTAAAAACAGTGCTTGCACATAGTATCAAAAGCAACAGCTTGAGCAGTGCAGAAATGTATAAATTGGTACCGTTTTCTCCCCTCACAGTCCTTGTCTCCTTCCAGAACATTTCAAAGTGCAAACTGACTCAAGAATGTGAATGGGACATGTAATGTTTCCCCTCTTCCTCCCAAACTTCATTAAAATTGTAGTAATAGAAAAAAAAGGGTTTAAATTGACAATAAGAAGAATAGTAAAAGAAATGAAAGAGCTAAATGAATTTCTGGAAAATGGAAAGCAAATGAATAAATTGTAGCTCACAAAGAAGGATGGAGAAGCCACAGTCTAGAAGAATAAAAGCAAATGGGGCAACTGCCAACATGGGAGGGAAGAAGCCCTGAGAATGCCTCAGATATAAATAAGCCCTGGAGAGAAACATAGGCCTGAAAATTGGGAATAACTGAAAATTCCATTGATGGAATAGGGAACCCCAACCCCTCCCTTCTCCCCATGAGCAGAACTCCGCGGAAGTCGGTCATTTAACATCCCAGGCTTTCTGGAGTAAGAGTCTTCAGCATAAGAGCCAGTGTCCTGGGTGCAGTGGCACCTGTGTGTAGTCCCAACTATTTGGGAGGCTGAGGTAGGAGGATCACTCGAGCCCAGGAGTTCAAAGCTGTAGTGCCCTATTATGGTGCCTATGAATAGTCACTGCACTCTAGCCTGGGCAACACAGCAAGAGCTCATCTCAAAAACATAGTCATTGCCCTGCCAACTCACCAGAAAGCAATATTTTTTGGTCCACAAGCCCCACCTCTACAACCAGAGTTCCTAAATGCCTTTTTACTACTTCATTCTTAAATATGAAGAGACTGTCCAAGGATTATCATATATTAGATTCAATACAGCAGCGTGAAAGAAAAAGACAAATAAATTGCAGGAAAATTACTCCTGCAATTACTGCAGGAGAAAATGCAGTAATTCAAGGATAAAAGAACTTTTTTATAGCCTAATCAGTTTCCTCACAGAAACATAATATTGACACCCACAAATAAGAACGGAAGCTTTGAAAAAGTGACGATTAGAGAAAAAGAAAGAATTTGGAAGAGAAAGCCAAATAAACCTCTCAGAAAGTACATCAAAAAGCCCAAAAGATAAATGTTTAAGGAGGTCCATAAACATCCCCTGCTCTTTTCCACTTGAGTTTGAAACCAACTGAAAAATGGACAAATGGATGGACTAAAAGTATCAGTTTTGTGATTGAAGAAAATGCTGCCCTAGAGGACGCGGGCTGGAAGCACGGTGCTCCCGAGCAGTCCAACCCTGAGCCAGGCAGATTCACCTACCACAGGCTGGCCCTTGGAGCCCCTGCAGCAAGGGAGCCACATGCTAGATGGTAGGAGCTGATCACAACTCATTTCCACAGGCTACCAGATCCCCAAAGAGAAAGAACCCAGGCACACAAGCCCTGCTCCTTCCTCTAAACTTACCAGTTGGATGAATCACTTATCTTCCTCTGGGTAGACATGAGTAAGGGGGTGGAAAGAGCCAGGACTGTTACTCTGATGGAATTTCTTCCTCAAGAAATCGGGAAGAAAGTATTGAAAAGATGAGAGAAAACATAAGTGACATAGAGGACCAATTCCAAAATTTGGCAACCGGCTAATTAGAATGCCATTAAAAAAGAAAAAAATGACCAGATGCGGTGGCTCACGCCTGTAATCCCAGCACTTTGGGAGGCCAAGGCGGGTGGATCATCTGAGGTCAGGAGTTCAAGATCAGCCTGGACAACATGGTGAAACCCCGTCTCTACTGAAAATACAAAAATTAGCTGGGCGTGGTGGCGGATGCCTGTAATCCCAGCTAGTTGGGAGGCTGAGGCAGGAGAGTTGTTTGAACCTGGGAGGCGGAGTTGCAGTGAGCAGAGACCTCGCCATTGCACTCCAGCCTGGCCAACAAGAGTGAAACTCTGTCTCAAAAAAAAAAAAAAAAAAAAATGTGGAGGAGAGGATTGAAAGGGGCTGCTGAGTGCTGAACAAGATTAATGGGGAATAATATTGTGATATTTCAGAACCCAAGAATAAGGGAATGATTCTGGGAGCTTTCATAGGGGAAAAAATACAAAGTAAAGTGAAAATAAGAACAAATCCATTTTCAAAGAATCCACCAGACTTCCCATATCAGACTTCCCATCTGCAACATTAGAAGCCAAAAGCCTGTGGAGGTATACTTTCAAAGTTTTAAATCCAGAATTCTATACCCAGCCAAGCTATTAATCAAGTGTGAAGGCTGACTGAAGACATGTCAGACATGCAAGAATTCAGAAAATGCGTCCACGTTAAAGGAGTTATTCAACACTGTACTGCAGCAAAAAGGAGGAATACATCAAAAGAGAAAACATGGCATCTAGGATACAGCGTGTCCAGGCTAGCAGGGCATAACGTTAGGTCTGAGCTGTGGAGCCAGTCCTGGTTGGCACAAGAGGACGGAAGACTGTGGCTGCCCCCAGTAAATGAGGAGAAGTGACGAGCAGGTGGAACAATTGTGAGGTGGAAAACGTGAGGTGATAGCCAATGCAACTGGTAGCAAATAGAACGAGAAAACACCCAACTTCACTTTAAGAACATCCTTCATTGATACAAAGGTTTGTGATCTTGGATCAGAGATAATGAACTGCAATCCTGGCACAGTTCTTGGCTGTGCAGTTAATAATATTATGTAGATGTTTATTGTTTTTAAATTTTAGAATCAAAATTTACTTATAGTTACAGAACAGAGGTCCTCGACTTTAGTCACTCATTCTTTTATCATCCAAATAAAATGTCTCCAGTCCCTCCATCAGCGGCTGTGCATGGGAAACCACCCTCCCACCCCAACCAAGCTCCTTGCCCAGTGCCTCTGAAGACCCCAGGGGGAGTATCCTGCCGCTATAGCCTGTTGCTCTGGTGTGGCCCACTTATCCATTGATCCATTGGTATTTGGCTTGGACACTGGCCACCACCCATCTTTCATTCCCTCCAAAGCAGCACTAGCAGAGATTGTCACTGGTGACACATTTTCCTTGAGATTCTGATGTCTTGGAGGCATAGGGTAGGAAACAATCTCTAATTGAATAACGATTTCCCCGTTCTTAGAAATGTAATGCCAGCTTCTGCCGCAGGAATTCTTCACCGCTGTAACCCTCCATAGGCCCCAGACTCCCGCCACGGTGCAGGGGTTTCTCACCTTCTCCTCTGCATCCCTGGGTCTGGATGATTCTGAACCCTGACTGCATATTAGAATCAATCAACTGAGGAACCACAAGTACCTTCAAGGCCCAGGCCTCACGTCCACCCTAGGTTCTAATTTGCCCAGTCTGGGGAGAGGCTGGAAATGATCCCCAGGTGATTTTAATATGTAGCCAGGAGTGACACCTACTGACCTGCCCTCTCCAGTTGCCAGGAAGAAAGCCTCAAATTCCTGTTATTTTACTATGTGGAGTAATTTCACCCTTTTTGTTTCCCCTCTCTTTCAAGACCATGAAATCCCTCAAACTGTAGCCAGATTGTAAAAGAACATTTTTCCCTTTTTCCGCCAGCTATACACACATATGCAGGCCTTTAAAAACTGGATCATACCACATATATTGTTCTACATTTTGCTTTTATCGCTTGACTTTCTTTCCTGCCTGTAAGACTGACCTACTTCATTGTTCAGAGACCACATAATATTCCATTATTAAGCATATACCGTAATTTGCTTAGCCATTTTCCTACTGATGTCATTTGGGTTTTTCCTCATATTTTGCTGTTACTAATTATGCAATAGCTGCATGAAGATCCATGTGGGTGTGTATCCTTCCAAGCTTGTGCAGATGTTTCCAGAGTGGAATCACCAGGTCAAGGATACGTACATTTAACATTTTTGCAGGTATTGCAAAAACACTCTTCATTTAAATGATGGATCGCTATACTCCCCCACCAATGGTTTGTTAAAGCATCTCTTCCCCTGGACTGTTACTAACACCAAACATTATCAGTCTTTTTACTATTTTACTATATTTTTATTCTTCAAGTTAAAAAAATTGACATTTTTACAATTTTTGCTAGGCAAAAAAGGTGTATTATTTCAGTTTGCATTTCTCCAGTTACTAATGAAGTCGAACACCTTTTTGTCCTTTTGTTAGTACTTTGTATTTCTTCTGTGAATTGTCTAATAAATTTTTAATGATTAGTTTGGAAGATGTAATGTAATCCCCCATTATTTCTCTCTCTACCTCTTCTTCCTCCTCTGCCCCATTATAACAGGTATGTAATATTTTAAGTCAATTCTTGATTATTCAAAAGAATGGAGGGGGTTGGGCACAGTGGCTCACACCTGTAATCCTAGCACTTTGGGAGGCTGAGGCAGATGGATCACCTGAGGACCAGCCTGACCAACATGGAGAAACCCCGTCTCTACTAAAAATACAAAAAAATAGCAAGGCGTGGTGGCATGCACCTGTAATCCCAGCTACTCAGGAGGCTGAGGCAGGAGAATCGCTTGAACCTGGGAGGTGGAGGTGGCAGTGAGCCGAGATCACACCATTGCACTCCAGCCTGGGTGACAAGAGCAAGACTCTGTCTCAAAAAAAAAAAAAAAAAAAAAAGAATGGAGGGAAACAGAATGCATAATTCAAAATCACAATTCAAATCATAATTCAAAATCACAATGTGATTTATAGTAGAATTTTAAGTGTGTTTTCAGAAATAGCACACATCTGAGATTCACATCTTTGTTCTACCTTTAAATAGCTGGGTGACCAGGGATTTTCCTTTCCTCGCAGAGCGCAGGTTTTCATAAGCATAGAATGGGAACGATAACTTACTTTGCCTGACGGTGATAATTAGATAATATGTGTAAACCACCTGGTGTGGAGCCTGGCACATAGTTAAGCACTCACTCAATACATGGTTGTTATTGTTATCATGTTATAACATTTGAATACTGGAGTTGCTCTAAACTAGGAATCCTCATTGTAAGTTTCTTGCCCTCATATCCTTACTCTCACCTCAGTTACTCTTGAAAACAGGCTGCCTCAGCTTACATCCCCTTCTCTCTGCCTCTCTGATTGAGTACAGTTTTGTCCACTTCAAGGTTAAGGGTTTGAATTTCAAGTCTGCAAACCCAGTACATAGAAGAGATGAAGGTAGCCCCAAACTGCAATTGAGCACTGAACATGCTGTGCGTTAACAGTGGGTGCTGGAGACGTGAGCAAGCCCAATACTAGAGATGCTGTCTCAATTTCCTCCCAGGTTAATTGTCAGATAAAGCCTGTCATTAATCCACAACCAAGAAGTGACCATGGTACCTGTTGAAATACTTTCTGCTACAAGTAACAGATCCCAAAGGCACTAAAAAAAGGAGGAAAGTTTACTAACTTGGATCACAAAAAGTCTGGCGGTAGGGCAGGTCCAAAGTGGGCTCATCGAGCAGCTCAACAGCATCCCCAGAACCCAGATCTTCACATCTGTCAAGTGTGCCTGCAGCTTGCTGCCTGTCGGCATTGCTGCCCTCAGGTTGCAGAGAGGCTGCTGCAGAAACCAGCATCTAGAGACAGAGACAAGGTATTTCTTCTTATGTGACTCTTTTATTTTATTATATGTTATTTTTGAGACAAGGTCTCACTCTGTCACCCAGGCTGGAGTACAGTGATGCAATCATAGCTCACTGCAGCCTCAAACACCAGACTCAAGCGATCCTCCCACCTCAGCCTCCTGAGTAGCTGAGACCATAGGCACGTGCCACCACCTCCGGCTAGTTTTTTCTTTTTTTGTAGAAACAGGGTCTCACTGTGATGCCCAGGCTGTTCTTGAACTCCTGGGATCAAGTGATCCTTTTGCCTCAGCCTCCCAAAGTGCTGGGATTACAGGCATAAGCCACCGTGCCCCCACCTCACGTGTCTCTTTTAAAGAGTGAAGAAACATGGCCAGGTACGATGGCTCACGCCTGTAATCCCAACACTTTGGGAGGCTGAGGCAGGTGGATCAAAAGGTCAAGAGATCAAGACCATCCTGGCCAACATGGTGAAACCCCATCTCTACTAAAAATACAAAACTTAGCCAGGCGTGGTGACCCGCGCCTGTAGTCCCAGCTATTCGGGAGGCTGAGGCAGTAGAATCGCTTGAACCAGGGAGGCATAGGTTGCAGTGAGCTGAGATCGCGCCACTGCACTCCACCCTGGCAACAGAGCAAGACACAGTCTCAAAAACACAATAAATAAATAAAAAATAAAGAGTGAAGAAACTTTTTTTTTACAAGACTCCTAAGAGATTTCTCCTATCATAGGATTGGCCCAAACTGAATCAGCACATGCTCCAAGCTGGAAAAAAGTTAGTGGCAAGACAGTGAAATTACTATTAGCGATTTAGACTACTCTGGGGTCAGAAGTCATTTGTAACACAAGGCTGCCCAACATCTGAACAAAAACTGTTAGCAAGGAAGGGAGGAGGTTGCACAGATGATCCTGTCACCACCACATGTTTTTTTAAGGATTTATAATGTTATTTTTAAGATCCAATTTTAAATTAATATGCAAATTCTTCAATTAATTGTATAAAAATATCAGTTTTGAAGTTTATGATCTGGAAATTCAATACTAGAAAGGGAGGGCAGACCAGATGCATTGGCTCACACCTATAATCCCTCACCATTTTGGGAGGCTGAGATGGGAAGATTACCTGAACTCAAGACTTAGGGACCAGCCTCAGCAACACAGTGAGACCCCCATCTCTACAAAATATTTTTTAAAATTAGCTGGGCATGGTGGCATGCACCTGTAGTCCTAGCTATGCAGGAGCCTGAGGCAGGAGGATCGCTTGAGCCCAGGAGTTCAAGGCCGCAGTGAGCTACAGTCACACCACTCCACTCCAGCCTGGGCAGCAGGGTGAGATTCTGTCTCAAAAAAAAAAAAAAAAGAAAGAAAGAAAGAAGAGGAGGAGCAGTAATATTTCCTGTCATTTTTAAAGCTAGGGATATTACTTATGATTAAATAACCTAGATTTAAAAAGAATAAACTTGGAAGAATGAGCATTCATATTTAATTCCTAAGTACTTGATGTGGAGTGAGTTTTGTGTGGTGCTCTCCAAGATCTTAGGAGGGACAGCTCCTGGACAGGTGAGAGCCACATGGGGAAGAGTGGTGGAGCCCAGATGGCACTCCCAGGGTTGTGTCTGTGGCAGAGGCCTGCCATCCAGGCCATCCTGTGAGCTTCCTACCAAACACTCATAATATAAAGATGGGGGTGGGGCACATGGGGCAGTGTAATTCCGAAGAGGAATTTCATTCTAAGACATCCTTTAAAGATGCCCAGGTCCCTGTAACTGGGAGAGCCAAGCTAAGCACATGCTTCCTGCTCACTTCTCCATCCTTGCCCTCCAGGGGTGGCTCGTGCTGAGGAGGATAAATTTCAAATGTAGTGGGTACCCCATCCACAACGGAGGTGGGGGTAAAGTGGGAAAAACACCTAGTGCCAAGGCCCGACCTGGGGAGAGTGGGAGTGAATTCTTATTACTGAGCTTGGGCAAGTCACCTGCCTTCCCCATCCCTGGTTCCTCATCTATAAAATGGGAAGAGCAGTAGATCAAAGTTGTTGTGAGGACCAGGAGTGCTAATAATCTCTTCACTTGAGTGAGCAAAGGAGAAAATGGGCCAGGGCAGGATAACTCTCACCAAATTGCTTTGGGGAAAGTGCTGCTCTGCTGGCTCATGAAAACAAAGCAGAAGCTTCCCTGGAAGTTTCAGGCCCACCTGTCCCCTCTCCTCTCCACAGGCCTCGCACCCACAGAAAAGGGGTCTCTATATTGGGAGCCAGCCGAGATGAGCTTGTCCCAGTTTCCTTTGCTTCCTGTCTAAGAAAGATCAAAGCAAACCCACCCCTGTCATCTAAGCTGAATCTCCCCAAGTTACTGTCAGCCTCAGGGTCACTAACTGACTTTGCAGTACAGCCTGGCTCTGTCTTTTCCTGGCTGTGTAACTTTGGGTGAGTGCTTCCACCTCTCTCAGCCTTGCTTCTCGGTCATCTGCAAAATAAATACAGTAGCATAGAATTGCTATAGTACAATTACCCTGATTGGTTTATTGCAGGATTCGGACTTAGCAGTTATTTTGTTAATTTAATTTGCATAATACATACATTTTTATATTATTTTATTTTAAACTGGACAGCATTAATTGGATAGTATACATTTTTAATATAATAAAGCTCTATTTATTTAGAAAATAATTCAATCCCTCACTCTTCTAACTGGCCACATGCCCTGTTAAATTGTGAGGTTTCTGTTATACTGATAGCCAGTGGGGTACACAGTTAGGTGCTATCCCTCCCCTCTCCACCCACTGCCCCTGCCTGCTGCAGTCAGGGCAGGTGGCTAATGTGGCTAACAAGTGACAAGCAATGCTTCAACATTTCCCAGTCACTTGCCCCAGGATCCAGCATCCTGAGAATCACTTCTGGATTGCTGGGAGGTAAGGAGAGTTGGAGCATGTGTCACCTGCTCGAACCTCACTGAACTTGCCCCTGTCTTTTTCGGCAGGCTGTAAAGCGGTTCTTGAAACAAGAGTGCAAGTGCCACGGGGTGAGCGGCTCATGTACTCTCAGGACATGCTGGCTGGCCATGGCCGACTTCAGGAAAACGGGCGATTATCTCTGGAGGAAGTACAATGGGGCCATCCAGGTGGTCATGAACCAGGATGGCACAGGTTTCACTGTGGCTAACGAGAGGTTTAAGAAGCCAACGAAAAATGACCTCGTGTATTTTGAGAATTCTCCAGACTACTGTATCAGGGACCGAGAGGCAGGTAAGTTCAAAAGACTTTCTTTATAGTACCTAATTCTTTCAACAATTGATACTCCACAATTTAAATGAGGTTCTGTATTTTCAGCCTGCTCTCTTTAGGTTCAAAGCTCACGATCCTTATCATTCTTATTGAAACTGTACAGGGCTGGGCGCGGTGGCTCATGCCTGTAATCCCAGCACTTTGGGAGGCCGAAATGGGCAGATTGCTTGAGCTCAGGAGTTCAAGAAAAGCCTGGGCAACTCCATCTCTACCAAAAATGCAAAAAATTAGCTGGGCATGGTGGTGCGCATCTGTGGTCCAGCTACTCAGGAGGCTGAGGTGCACTCCAGCCTGGGTGACAGAGTGAACTCCATCTCAAAAAAAGAATAAAGAAAAGAAAAGAAACTGCACAGAGAGCTCTCCTAAGCAACTGGAGAAATGGATTGACAGTGCACAGATTCTGGAGAAATTGAAACCCCACAATGTCCAGGGCAAAAAGTCAAGATACGCAGATTAGCAAAATTCTTCAGCCTGGGCAGATTTCTAGTTAGTGGACTATGCACACTAGGGAGAGCAGCCCAGCATCTTTCATGTGATCCTGAAGCTGAGAGCAGGATACATTAAATCCCACCACTGTGACTATGGAAAATGGTCCCAGGGCTTTAAATTTAGACTCTTCTGAAATCTGCCCTACTTCACCTTCCCTGCTCTTTTCAATATGCTTAGAAATTGCCAAAGATAAAAAGCAAGAATGTATCCCCACTCTCTTGGCTATAGGTGGGCAGTGTATAATAAAGGCTGTGTCAGAGGCCCTTCATTTATTAAAGCCACACCATTCCCTTCCAGATGGTACCTTCTCCATCCCTCAAAGAACAGCTCTGTCAGCCTCAACACCGCAGCTGTCCCACCTATCAGGTTTACACATGTTCATGCTCTACCTCTCACTCCTCTTGATCAACCCTGAGCTCCAGGTTTAGCTCATTCTTTGTAAAGATTCTAGTGCAAAATAAGAATGAGTACAAGTCTAAATTCATAGGAGGTGATGGGAGTCCACAGCCCAAGTCAATTTCTAAGACTTGGTAGAAAGCAAAGGAATTCATTATCAGAAAAAAAAATCCTCTTAGAGTCTGATTTTTTTTTATTTCAAAATAATTGCAGAGGCACCAATAAAATGGTATGGATGGCAGCCAGCTGTCAGTTAGATTGACCAAGAGGCAAAGTTACCAGGGAATGTCACAAGGAAGCCAAAGCCTTTTTTTGCCCCTGAGTGGTTGAATTGCCTTCATGGTTTGATGAGCTAGTTCTCCGCAGCATTTGAGCAGGTTGCTACATGCAGCCCAGGGATTAATGACAACGGAGCAGAGGACCAGATGCTGTGCCCCGCTGCATTCCTGACATGCTTTGGGACCTCTAACAAGTCATCCTACCTGTCAGGCCAAAGTTATAGCCAAATCACCATGAAACCTGTGCTTGGATACAGGATTGTCCCAGGGGTCTGACCCCCCTCTACCAGTCACTAGCTGTTTAACCTCAGCCTCCTCACACTGAGCATGGAGATGCTGCTGTCTTGATCATTTAAGTCCTATGCATTGACTCCTGTGCACTGGGTACTGGGCTGAGATCATTGCACACATGGTCTTATTTTATCCTTACAGTAGGATCCTTACAGCAGCCCTATGACAGCAATACATTGAAACTTGTTACTAACCAGAAAAAATTGAATAAGAGGTGGCTCCTAGATGATCAACACCAACCAAGAACCACGTTCACATCTTACTTTTTAAGTCAGATAAGCAACCCTAGATATCACCTTCTCCATTGTACAGATAAGAAAAGTGAATGACCTGCTCACGATCTCACCGGTAGGAGAGGGTGGATGTCTGATCCCTTGGCCTGTGCTTTGACCCATTAGACAGTTGCTCCTGCCTGCCTCCAAGGACACATATGTGAAAAGGCCTTGGGGAGCAAAAACCTTATTTCAAATATAAGAGGACCCTCTTCCCCAGCATGTCTTTTCTGGTTCTTTGGATTGAAGCAGTTTGCACAGGGAAGCAGGCTGGTGTACCTGAGGAATATGTACTGCCTTAGGTATAACAGGTATGACATTTATTGTCAATGAAATATAGACCATATTTTTTTTTACCCCACAGAGGTGATTCTGAATCTAATCCCTGCTGCCTCTTCAAGTTACTAAGTTATTCTTGCGTACTCCGCTTTTTCAACTCTTTGTATTAGAAAGAAATTCTCTTTCTTAATCCTAAAATAGCAGATATATCTGTAGTACCCATCACATGCCAGAGCTGCAGCTACATTCTCTCATTGACTCTCACAGAAAGTCTATAAGGTGAGTATGTTATTATCCCATTTTATGGGAGGACACTGAAGCTCTAAGAGGTTAAAGATTTTCCCTACCCACTTGTGGTTAGTAAGAGGCAGATCAGGGACTTAAACCTGAGCCTGGCTGTCTCGTCTCATCTCATCTTGTCTCGTCTCATCTCATCTCGTCTCGTCTCGTCTCTCTTCTCTTCTCTTTTCTTTTTTTGAGACAGAGTCTCGCTCTGTTGGCCAGGCTGGAGTGCAGTGGCACAATTTTGGCTCACTGCAACCTCCGCCTCCTGGGCTCAAGCAATTCTCCTGCCTCAGCCTCCCAAGTAGCTGTGATTACAGGCATGTGTCACCACGACTGGGTAATTTTTGTATTTTTAGTAGAGACGGGGTTTCACCATGTTGGCCAGGCTGGTCTCAAACTCCTGACCTCAAGTGATCCACCTGCCTCAGCCTCCCAAAGTGCTGGGATTACAGGCGTGAGCCACTGCACCTGGCTGTGGCTGTCTTTTCAACAACGATTTTACTCTGCCTCTCGCTGCACACAGCCGCAGGTGCTGGCTTTCTGAAGAAAGCTATATAACTTACTTTCTCTCTTATCTGTCTTCTGTCTTAGACAAATTTTAGCTTATCTGACTTTAAAAAATTTGAAATTGGTTCTCAGTTGGTGTTGATTAACCAAGATCTACCCTATTCTTTTTTTTTTTTTTTTTTAGTTGCCAGTTCCAATATATTGGATCAGATTTCCAGTAAGATTCCTAGATTATTTATAAATTATTTGAACTGTACTTAGTTAATGTCCTTTTTGGCTGAGCCTAAGAAAATGCCAAAGTGGTTGGTGCAAACCTTGCAATATTTCTTTTTAATTCTGTTGACCATCAGATGATTATTTTAGTAAAAATATGATTTAGGATATTTGATATTATGCAAGCACAAGTCCAGATAGTTAAAATTTTTTTATTGTATATATTTGGAGTCATATGCAATTAGCCACATGTATGAGATGTATGAGATGCAAGTTTTATCTGAGAAAACCTGCTTCCATCCATATGGCTGCTGAGGGCCTTGCTCTTGGTTATGTGACCAATGGCCTTTTAAGGATGAGGCTTGGCCAGGCACAGTGGCTCATGCCTATAATCCCAGCACCTTGGGAGACTGAGGCGGGAGGATCACTTGAGGCCAGGAGTTCAAACTCAGCCTGGGTAACATAGTGAGAGACCCCATCTCTAAAAAATAAAAAATAAATAAAGTTGAGGTTTTATCCTGGCCACTTTCTACTAGAAATTTCTGTAGCATGTGCTCTAGCAAGTCAGTCATCCTGGAGAGAACAGAGTCATCCTGGAGTGTCCTCTAACCTCTGGTTAGTAGAGGCAGGGGGTGTAACAGAGAATCTGAGACCTGTAAGAAGGGGCCTTAAAGCTGCCTTTCACTCAGTGGGATCTGGGAGCCTCTCTCTTCTCAAAATGAAGGTGTTGGGTCAGTGTATCATCTTCTCAGTCTGCACTGGAGAGCTACCAGCATGCACACATTATTGAGTAAGCACACCACCGAGGCCCCCAACCCCACCGTGCTAAAATCCTATTGCATTAGGAAAGGCCTATTTTCTGGTGAACGGAACTCTCACGTGTTCAAAATGGGCTATCATCCTGGGATAGCCAGGCTCCAAAACAAGTCAAAAGTTTGCAGTCAAATTTAAATCAAGTAATTAATATAGAATTTCTTGTTTTTCATTTTCTCTTTTAAAATCAGCATTAACCCTTCCTGACATTGCATCTCATACTGCTCACTCTACTTCGTTGTGGTTATTTTGTTTGGTTTTGCTTCTTTCTTTGCTTTCCATCATTGCTTTTGTTTTTAAATCGTGCACACTTAATATTCAACTTAGTGGGCGCCTTCTACTTGCCAGCACTGGGGAAGCGATGGTGGTGAGCAGGTTGAACATTATTAGGGAATCAGTATTTGGAACTGACTGGCTTTACTCTTGCTGGTCAGCAACTGCTTCCTGTCCAAGGTAGCTTGTTGACTGATGTGAGCTGGCTTGTTTTATCAATTAGGTTTGTGCAACTGATGCAGTCTACAGGTCTGGTCTACTTTTTTCCAAAGGAAGTGGCTCTTCAGAAACCTATTGAACCAGCATCTTAGGGAGCTGTTCCCGAAATTATATAAGTTTCTCTGTTTTTCATCATTTTAATTTTTTTTTTATTGCTCTGTTGCCCAGACTGCAGTAGCACCATCGTGGCTTACCGCAGGCTCCGACTCCTGAGCTCAAGTGATCCTCTCACCTGAGCTTCCCAAGTGGCTGAGTCCACTGGCACTGCCTCTGCAAACTTTTCAAACTTAAACACCTCAAAGTTTGAAAAATCAGTGATTTAGGCAGTGTATGATTCCTAATTTTCCCTAATTATTAGGCAAGAAGAAATTCAGGGAGACATGAGTTTCATATATATATGTTTTTTCAGTACCTGATTTCTTGCTAAGGAAAACTAGATAACTCTAAATAAACATCTCCCAAAAAACATCTCCCACCATGTCTTGCCCAGTATAAGAGAGTCATTCTTTCACTCCTAGGCCAGCATCCTCAGGAACCCTCTTTGACTGCAAATAAACAAAATTATTTCAGCCATCAAAGCTTTTACTGACAGCAGTTACCAAGTCAGCCTCTAGAGAAGTCCTGAAGTAACGCTACTAGGCTAGTGAACTTTGATGCGAAAAATTGCAGAGTCGAGACCCCAGGTTATTCCTGGATGGGGACAGACCTAGCTGGAGAAGGATGCGAGAACATTTGTTGATTTCCTGCTGCGAGTCAGGCCCTGCGCTACACACCTTATGTACATATGCTCTGACTCTTCAAGGCAATTACCTCCATTTATAGAGAAGGAAAGTGAGGTTCCGCAAAGTTACTTAACTTGCCCAAGATGGCATGGCCTGTGAGAATAAAAAAAATAAAAACAAAAACCCATACCTTTCTCACTGTGCCACTTACGTCCCAGTGTGTGTGTGTGTGTGTGTGTGTGAGTGTGGTTGGGAGTAGGTCCTGTGTGATGAAGAGGCAGCATGAGGACATGGGAACTTTATGGGGTGAGGTGCCCACAAAGAGGGGAGGTCAAAAGTAATCAGAATCAAGCTTCACCCACATTTTGGTTAGGTTGCCTTGAAGCCCTTTTCAATTACAAGCCCCTCAGATTTTCAAAAGCGTCAATGCCTTTGATTGCTCCTAAGAAATAGAAAGCTGGCCAGGGGCAGTGGCTCATGCCTGTAATCCCAGCACTCTGGGAGGCCGAGGAGGGCGGCTCACCTGAGTTTGGGAGTTCGAGACCAGCCTGACCAACATGAACAAACCCCATCTCTACTAAAAATACAAAATTAGCCAGGCGTGGTGGTGCATGCCTGTAATCCCAGCTACTCGGGAGGCTGAGTCAGGAGAATTGCTTGAACCTGGGAGGTGGAGGTTGTGGTGAGCCGAGATCACACCATTGCACTCCAGCCTGGGCAGCAAGAGTGAAACTCTGTCTCAAAAAAAAAGAGAAAAGAAATAGTAAGCTTAAAAACCAATTAAGGAAGATATTATTATGGCAAGAACAACAGCAAAAGACATTTTCCTCTAGTCTTCAACTGAAGAAAGTGAGTGCTCTGAGGTTCAACTATAATTACTCGCCCCATGCAGCTCAGATCTGAAGAGTACGTACAACCGTGTGATGTTGTGCATGTGACATTTTGCAGGCCAAATTGGAGGCTAGATCTTGGAAGCTGGACTGTCTGGGATGAGTATCCTGGTGGCTCTATAGTTATCTACTCTGGTTACTGCTCCAGGCATCTGTAAATCAAAGAAGCCCTTAAGGTACAGATAGGTTCATCTCTAACTGAGGAATGCTGCTGCTCTCCCCTCCAGAGAATGCGTCTGCACCTAATCACAGGCCACTTTCACTAGTTATGATGTAAAAACCCTGACCTGGGCCAGAGGTCACCCTGAGGTCTCCTCTCCAACTGCAGGAAACAAGCCACACTCCACCTCTTCTCCAGTCAAGTTCAAAAAACAAACGGAGCTCAGTCATTGTTTAATTTGTTGCCTGCGAAAAACCCAAAAGCCTGGTTGACAACTCCAGGCTGTGAATGGTGTAAGCACCGAGGTATCACATTTTTCCCCCACATAAATCATATTTGGCAAACAGAACTCAGAACCCATGGGTACACAATCCCAATCATGGTTTTCAGAGACTGGTGTTCTCTCATGCCCAGTGGTGTGGCCTACTTTGCAGAAGCTCATGAATGCCGGGATTGTGTCCCACCAGCTGATTAAAAACAAGGGAACATGTTTTTAATGATTAAACATGATTAAAAATATGTCAGCCAATAGCAATGGGTGGATCTTACTTAGATACTAATATGTGAAGTTCTAACCTGTACACCTTAAGTCCCTCATTTCTTCATTGCACAAATATTGATTGAGATCCTCCTATGTGCCAGACACTCTTATAATCACTGGGAACGCAGGATTGAGGAAAACAGACTCAGTCCTTATCCTCGTGGTGTCATCGACTTCATGGTCCTTGAAGCAGTAGCCAGGCACTGGGACACAGTCTAGGTGCTGGAGAACCCTCACACTGGGGCAGGAAAGTGGTGGTGTTTAGGTTTCAGTCCTTGTTGCATTGCTCTGTTATAAGGTCTTATCTTATATATGTCATTTTGACAAGGTAAAGAATAAGTTATTCATCTCCTTCTGCTTTGACACTTATAGAAATTCATGGATTGATATCTAAAAGGTGCTAAGATAGCTAGACCAGAAGAGAATTGTAGAAAAAAATGTTTCACTGAGGCTTATAAGTCACCATTTTCATGGGTAGTTATTGATTATACTCTAGAATTAGTAGTAATTACTATCCATTGAGCCTTCTTTTCAAACTCTTTAGTGGCATATAGTATAATTAGCCTTTCCCTCCTTCCCAAAACAGTCTTATTTCCTTGACTTTATAACTACACTCCTCTGCTTTTCCTCCTGCTCCAATAACTAGTCCTTTCTGATTTCAGTTGCTAGTTTCTCCTTCTCCAAATTTTGAAGATCTTCCAGGCTGTCTGAACTCTCTTTGCTCTCTCTCTGTACTTTCTCCCTGGTTTGGTCTCTCCATTCCTATGGTTTTAAATGCTGTCCCTGTCCTTGTCTGCCTTCTGTACCATCATCCTGTATCCAATTCCCTGCTTGACAGCTTCACCCAGATTTCATACAATTATATCAACCTGCTTCTGCTTAAAACTGGACTCCTTATTTGCCCTGTCCCCTGAAACTTGTTTTCCCCCAGCCCTCCTCATCTCAGAAAATGGTACTGCCTGCCACCCACTTCCATGGTCAAGCATAAACCTGCGAGTCATTCCTTACACTCCTTCCTTGTCACCTCCATCATCCCGGGTACCACTGGGACCTCTTAAATGTGTCAAGGACCTATCTGCTTCTCCATCCTTACTACCAACCCCTAGGTCCAAACAGAGCTATGTTCTTTTGAGCATAGCATGTGCCACAGTGTGTATAGCGAATTTGTATAAACATGTGTTTGTGACCTGCCTGTACCAATGGAGTCCACTGAGGATCCTGTGACGGCAGGAACTGTATCTGCCTTGCTCACTAGTTCCCCAACTCCTAGTACACAAACATGTGTTGAAGTGAATTGAATGGCAAATTATAAAAAAACATAAAACAGTTTCATTAGATTAGCTGCATTCTTCTGTGTGTTAGCGCTGCTTCATAGCTTAAAGATAACTTGGTTCCTTTGAAGGGGATTACTAGGCACATCTCCACCCAGCACTGCTTAGCTTTTAACTCACAGCCTATGAAAATTCCCATTTAAGCTTAAGTGTTCAATGGAATTTTTCCTCATATTCAGGCGCATTCATGAGGCATTTATGGAGTTTCAGATGTTGCTTGCCTGGCTATTCCCCTGGAGATAAAAAGTCTCAAGTGGGCCGGGCGCAGTGGCTCACGCCTGTAATACTAGCACTTTGGGAGGCCGAGGCAGGAGGATCATGAGGTCAGGAGATCAAGACCATCCTGGCTAACACGGGGAAACCCCGTCTCTACTAAAAATACAAAAAAATTAGCCGGGCGTTGTGGTGGGCGCCTGTAGTCCCAGCTACTCAGGAGGCTGACAGGAGAATAGCGTGAACCTGGGAGGCAGAGCTTGCAGTGAGCCGAGATTGTGCCACTGAACTCCAGCCTGAGCAACAGAGCAAGACTCTGTCTCAAAAAAAAAAAAAAAAAAAAAAAAAAGTCTAACGTGAACTAATGCATCAGCAGACTATATCTATCGCTTTTAACTGGCAGCAGAGACTCAGTTCTTTTACTCTTGGAGGGGCATTTTTCACTCACTACTATCAGTGGCCTCCCTGAGTAGTTCCTAATTCTCATATTAACAGCAAAAATACTTTTCACATCCAATGCTCTTTGATGTTGTAGGCAGAATCTATAAATCTGTGTTATTTTTAAAATACAAACTTAGTAGAATTACTATATTTTTAGGATACACTAAAATGTGCCTTAATTTGAATTGACAGTGGTAATCAGATTGAATTGTGAATACTGAAAAAAGGATTTTTTTTCTAAAAAAAAAGATACTTTTCAGGAAAAAAATGTTTATTTTCTTATTTCTAATTCTTTGACATAGTTTGAACTACTGACAAATACTTTACCAAATAGATGCCCTTTTATCTTTGTATTTTGGAAATAGAAACTACTCATTTCGAATTACCAATTAAATGTGTTGCAAACAAAAGGATGACGTTAAAATACTTTAAAATAACAAATTTGCTTACTTCATTTAAGCTTTCCCCATGACACCTATTTTGTACTGGTAAATATCTTTTTTAAAGATATGCAAATTTCATATTATTAGGGAAAGAGCCCTGTGTGATCTATAAGGAGACTTTGGTGCTACAGATTGCTGCATATCACTATTTCTCCAATTGGACTAATGGGCAAATTAACTTCTCTGGGTCTCTTAAGAAATGGCTGTTTCATCTAGCAATTTCTAAGGTTCCTTTGATTCAGTAAGTGAATGAATTAATTATTAAGTTTAATTAAGTTTGCAATAACAGAACCTTAAATTGATACCACAAACTTTCTTAAGTTGTCATTTTTAATTTCTATCATTTAAAAATGTGCCACGTTTTTGGTATGTGTTTTCCATATACCAAGCAAGATCATTTTAACAGAGCCAAGGTTTAGCTGGTCTGCTGCCACCATGGTGCCTGAAGACTGGGTGACCAGTCCCTGGAGAAATGTGCCCTCATCAGGCAAAAGGAAAGCTGATCTTAATTTTTTTTTTTCTTTTCCCTGAGACGGAGTCTTGCTCTGTCACCTAGGCTGGAGTACAATGGCCCAATCTCAGCTCACTGCAACCTCTGCCTTCTGGGTTCAAACGATTCTCCTGCCTCAGCCTCCCGAGTAGCTGGGATTACAGGTGTCCACCACCATGGCCAGCTAATTTTTGTATTTTTAGTAGAGATGGGGTTTCACCATGTTGGCCAGGCTGGTCTTGAACTCCTGACCTCAAGTGATCTGCCCACCTTGACCTCCCAAAGTGCTGATATTACAAGCATGAGCCACCACACCCAGCCTTGATCTAAATTTTTAAGACACTATTTTTAATGTAATATTTAATAAATCAGCACATATGTGTTGACCACACAGTATATAGAAGAAAGCATAAGAAGAAAGCATAAGACCCAACCCCTGTCCCTGGGGAGACAAGATGCATGAAAAAATGATCAAATATTTCCAAACAGTGCATGAACCCTGTGGCGTGATGTGCATTACAGGCCTAATGAAGGAGGTTAGCTGGGCTTGCAGACCGAAAGTGCTGTATAGAAAATGCTGAAGTAGGCCTGAATCTGGAAGGATGGGAAGACTTCTGATGGAAGGAGTTACAGGAAAGGCCAATGCAGCAGATGAGAGTAACTTTTTGTTTTTGTTTTTGTTTTGAGACAGTCTCGCTCTGTCGCCCAGGCTGGAGTAGAGTGGCACGACCTTGGCTCACTGCAACCTCCACCTCCTGGGTTCAAGCGATTCTCCTGCCTCAGCCTCCTGAGTAGCTGGGACTACAGGCACGCCACCATGCCCAGCTAATTTTTGTATTTTTAATAGGGACAGGGTCTCACCATGTTGGCCAAGATGGTCTCGATCTCATGAACTTGTGATCCGCCTGCCTTGGCCTCCCAAAGTGCTGGGATTACAGGTGTGAGCCACCGTGCCCGGCCGAGAGTAACTCTTATGAGGAAACAGTCTACATGACTGTGACATCAGAAAGTCACCTCAGTGGGACAGTGAAGAGATACCCTGGTTAGCAGGTATAGGTGGACTACAGTGGGAAATAGCTTTGAGTAGGCTATGTAGTGCCAGATATGGAAAGCCTCACAGAGTCTGACCAGAACAACTTTAATTCCATTACAAGATTTGCTAATTTAATGGGACATGCTTTCCTGTGCCAGTCAAACTTTTCCAACTTACGAAAACACTGAATAAAATCATCTGAGATAAGTGAAGATATTGTCTTTCCTATGTAGCTTAAGCTGTGCAGTCCAAATGTGAGGAAGGGGTGAGCCTGACCAGTGGATGAATGTGCGGTCTCTAACATTTGCTCTTTAACATACTTTAGTTCCCTCAATAAATCTGTGTCATTAATGACAACATGTAAGACAACCAGAGGAGAAACAGCCTATTGGATGACAGGCTTAAGTGAATCTTGGTTTATGCCCTAATAGTCAACATATGGGCCTCTGTCATCCTAGAGTGGCAGGAATTTCCAGACACAGGTCTATCCAGAGAGAGGGGATGGGGGGAGAAGGAGGTGAGGAGGAGAGGGAGAGATAGAGACAGAGAGAGAATAGGGAGAGAAGGGCGGGGAGAGAGAGAGAAAGAGAGATTGAGAGAGGAGGGACCCCTTCCTCCGGGTCCCAGAGGTATGGGTCTGGGAACTATTAGCAAAAACCCCTCTGTTCCTCCTCTGCTGTCAGCAAGATGCATGTTAGTGGAGACAGAAATGTTTTTACACTGGGAACCCTGACTCCATTATTAATTTTATAGCTCTAGAAATGGGATGCTCAATTCCATCAAGTTCCCTCGGCATTGCTCCACCAAAAGTGTTACATGGTCCCAAACTTATGTGATTTAGAAACTCCAATTCTTTGTCCTTTTTTTTAATCTTATGCATTTGTGAGCTCTTGTGCGAGTCAGGATGACAACACATATGGGCAAGCAAAAGGTCCATCTGGCTGGAAGCAGCTCCTTCCCACAGCACAGACATTGCCAAACCTTAACGACTTTGCCTGGATCTTATAGACACTGGGTTTAGGACGATGATCTCACAATTGTTTGGTATAAAGATGACAAGAAGTTTCGAGTCTGCAACCTTCTGTGTCTGGGAGTTGGGCTCTGGACTCAGGCAGGCCACACATCCTGGGAATACTTCACAAATATAAAGCAAAAGGAAGTCAGGGAAAATGAATTTCCAACTTGTCACTTTCCTCTTAGGTGAACTATGTAAATCAAACTGCAATAAGAAATAACATTATAAACCAACATGAATGATTTTGTAGAACAAACATGTTAAATGTGAAGCATCCAAATATATGTTTATCCTTTTAAAGTATCAATTTGGGAGACTCTAATGATAGGACCGGTAATTGAAACTATTTTTAAAATGTCTCTTCTGGAGTATTTTTAAGAGCCAGCTACACTTGTTTTGTAGATACAGTGTAGTACAAATATTTGTCCTATAAAGATCAAGATGGCTGTTGGAAATGGCTCAGAGAATCTTCAAATGAAGTATGAAGAGTTAGGTAGATGATCAGACTGAGTAATTATATTCTTGATGAGATACAAATTGATGCTATTGGCTTCTCTGAACCAGAAGGTTCTGCCTAGAGAGGGCTCAATGTCCTCAGCATTGGCCACATCAGTGACATATTAAAACCACCTTGAGGGCACACATAATTTGGAGACATGCATCCTGGCATTACAAACAAATTATTCTCATTTCTCTTAAAGGTTACAGGCATCCAGTAGGAATATCAGTATAGGAAAAATGCAGCATGAGCAACTGACACCATGTTAACCCAGTCTTTTTTTCAGTTTCTTACATAACTTTATGTGTTGTAATTGTCTACAGCATATCATGAGCTGAAGAAAAAGGCCCTCTCCCCAAAAAGTTACATGTCAGGATCTTTGCACGTTACTCATTTGATAAAAGAATTAGAAGAGAGTACGGGAAAGACGCTGCTGCACTGGTCACATAATGTTATAAAGCAGGCTGCTTTCTGGTGCCTGGCCGGGCACCAGGACTGGGCACTCGGCAAAGGGTCAGAATGTCACGACTGTCAAGAGCTTGAGCTCTACAGTCAGGCAAGCCTGCTTGCAAATCTTGTCCTTGCCACCAGCTGCCTGTGTGATCTTGGGCAAGTTACTTAATCTTCCTGAATCTCCATTTCCTCATTTCCAAAATGGTGATAATAATAGTACCTTCCTTATAAGCTTATGAGAATTAAATTAGACAATGCAGGCAAAATGCTTAGCATGGGGCCTAGCTCACATAAGTGCTCCATAAATATTGGCTCCAGTTGTGAACAGAAAGAAAAGAAAGAGAGTGAAAAGAAGATAGAGGGAAAGGAAGAAAGAAGAAGAAGGAATGGGAAAAAAAAGTGAGAAAGGATGAATGAACTTTCACTCCATTCAGCTTGGAAAATGTGAAAACTCACCCTTATGGGATTAAGGCTGATAGATGTAGCTGGGTTTGTCTCCCCAGTGGTTCCTGTTGTGGCCCAAGCAAGGGTGAGTGACTCAGTTAACAAGTTTGTATATTATTTGAGAAAAAACATCTAAAAGTATGTGTCCCAAAGATTTAGAACTAAACAAATAGGCAGTTGGTAAAAGTCAGTGGCTCCTTTTCATTAAAACACACACACATACACACATACTCTTGGTTCTTATATTTTATTGGAAACATAATGGTGATGCTTTCTGTTTTGGAAAGACCAATGGAACAGTATGGCCCTACTGCTATTGATAATAATGAGTCTTTATTGTAATTCATTAAGGGGAAAGTAATGCCAGCGATTTTGTATAGATTCTGCACTCTGGAAATGTTCTTTTCAGGGTTTCTATGAAATGGCTGTATGTTCTGCTAAAATGACAGCAAGTGTCAAAACTGCCCTTCTGCCCTACAGCCTGTCATTAGATCTAATTAGATCCAAACCCCCAAACAGGGCCAATTTGTCATCCATCACTAGGCAGCCTCATCCTCCCTTCCAGCTGCAGGGACTGCCCTTTCCCGCCCAGTTGGCCCATTCCTTGGTGCCCCGATGCCTCATGGGGGCCCGTCACAGCTCCAGGCTGCGACCTCACTGCTGTTCTCTCATCAGTGGCTCTCAATCCTCAAAAACCCTCTCTCATTTTCCATCTTCTGGGCCCTCATTATGCCGTTTGGGCAGCCGGTGGAGAGTGGCATGTTCAGATTGTGTTTTCCAGCATTTTATAACTGAACATTGAACTACTGAGACATATTGCCAGAGGCTTTGTTCCCTTTACTGAAACCACTTCTGAGTTAAGCTTTTGTCAATGGTCATAGCTTTGTCTGCTCCTCTCTCTGAGTTCTGATGGTGTTGAGGTCACTACACTGAGCAATCCTTCTGTTCAGACAGTCTGGTTCAGTTTTCTGCATCTGGGGGACAAAAGACACCATGACCATTACAGAAGGCTGAGTCAGACCACAAGCTCAAACCTTCTTAGGCTGGAAGCCACTCAGGAAAGAAAGACTACCAAGTTAGATTTCAGTGAAAGGCCAACAGTCTGAGTCAGGAACGAGACACTTCACCTCCTTATCCTGGCCCCCTTAAGCCCAAAGCCCTACGGCAGATAAAGAATTCTAATGCATGGTACGGTATTCCCATTTTGATAAATACAGATCAGTAGAAGGGAAGAATGTTTACTGCTGCTCAGCGCATGTGAACAATAACAAAAAAGTAAAAATTAAGAGTCACTTCTGGGATACCAAGTGAGAGCACTTTTCACACCCACTGGGGGTCTCATTCACACCCGTGGCTTCAGTTACCACCACTGCACAAAAGATTTCTAAACCTGAGTCTTCATGCCCACCTCTCTCCTGAGTCCCAGAGAGTATTTTCAGCAAACATTTCTACCTGAATGCCCCACAGTCACAGCAAACTCAACCTGTTGAAAACTGAATTCATTATCTTTTCTCTAAGCTGACCCCTAACCAAGTGTCCCCCATGTCAGGGAATTAACAGCACCAACAGTCACTCAGGCCAGAACCTGAGAAACCTTGACTTTTCTCATCCTCCCCCAGTCTCCACTCAGTCACCATGTCCCACAGGTCCTGCCTCCTCACCTTCTCTTGACTCTAGTAACCGCTCCAGTTCCCACTACCACTGTCTTAATCCAGGCCACTCATGTCCTGCCCAGAGTCTGTATTGGTCTCTAACTTGTCTTCTTGTCCTCAC
Organism: Homo sapiens; assembly: GCF_000001405.40. Taxonomy (NCBI): domain Eukaryota; kingdom Metazoa; phylum Chordata; class Mammalia; order Primates; family Hominidae; genus Homo; species Homo sapiens. The sequence goes on along the minus strand of NC_000007.14, from coordinate 117,282,809 downwards.
TCCAGCCCCCTCCACTTCATTCCAGCCCCACACCCTTGGAGATCCTTCTGAAACACAAATGAGAACATGTTGCCCTTTTGTGTGAAGGCCCTTAATAGCATTCTGTTGCCCTCAAGGTCAAGTTGAAACCCCTTGACCATTCCCAGTGCAGCTTCCCCTCACCACTCCAGCCTCATCTCCTGACACTCTCCCCTTTGAGTACTGTATACCAGCCACAGGGAACACTTTCCTGCTCCTCACACGTTGCAGAGCTTTGCTCATTTCCTGGCCTTGGCACATGCCACCATTGCTTTCTCCTTCTCTTCCTCCTCCTCTTCCTTTTTCTTCTTTCTCCTCCTCCCCCTCCTCCTTCCTCTCCTCCTCTTTCTCCTCTTCCTCTTCTCTTCCTCCTCCTTGTCTTCCTCCTCCTCTTCCTCTTTCCCTTCTTCCTCTTCCCCTTCTTTCTCCTCCCTCCCCTTCTCCTCTTCCTCTACCACCTTCTTCTTGTTATTGAAATATGAAATGCAGAAGAGTGCCCACATTCCATGTGTACAGCACAATGAATTTTCACAAATGGACACACCCACATGACCTGTGCCCAGATAAAAAACCTGAAGGGGCCCAGTATTCCAGAGGCATGTCTCATGCTCTTTTTCTCTATTCCCCAAGGAAAATCACCTCCTTTTAATAGCAATGACTAGTTTTTCCCATTTTTGTACTTTAGGTACATGAAAACCTAATCTGAAATGAAAACCTTGTGCAGATATCTACTGCTGCAAAACATACCACTGGAAAATGTAATGGCCTAAAATAATCTTAAAGTCCCACCCTTGCTTTTATCACCACTCTTGGCCCTACTCTCTTTCATCCTCTTCATCACCAAGCCTCTTGAAAACTTTACCTACACTCACTGTCCCCATGTCCTCTCCTCCACCACATTCATCTATGTCATCCACTGAAACTGCTCTCATCGAGGGCGCCAGTTACCTCCTTGGTGTGCAGCCAAATTAACTTTTTTTTAGTCTTTTCCTACTTGACACTCCCTCTACTCCTTAATTCAATGAGTCATCAAGTTCTAGTGGTTCACCCTCTTCAGCCAATCATGTATTTGTTCTGCTTGTTTCTTCACGCAATATCTCTTGTCTGAAGTATTCCAACAGCCCTCCTCCCTGCCCTAAGCTGCTCTTCCAGACTTACCTTCGCGACCTAGTTTTCAGAATTAAAGGTCTAGACAGGTCCACCACCCACCTTGTAATAAAAATCAAACTGTGGCATGGCATAAAGACCCTTTAGGCCAGGCGTGTGAGTCACGCCTGTAATCCCAGCACTTTGGTGGGGGTCAAAGCAGGAGGATCGCTTGAGCCCAGGAGTTTGAGACCAGCCTGGGCAACATGGCAAGACCCTGTCTCCACAGAAGATACAAAAATTAGCTGGATGGGGTGGTGTGTGCCTGTAGTCCCAGCCACTTGAGAGGCTGAGATGGGAGAATTCCTTGAGCCCAGGAGGTCGAGGCTCTAGTGAGCCATGTTCGTGCCACTGCCCTCAAGCCTGGGTGACAGAGTGAGACCCTGTCTCAAACAACAATAACAACAACAACAACAGACCCTTTAACCTGTTGCTCCAGCCTCCCTTTCTATGCTCATTGTCCCTAATAGCCTCCCTGAATCAGCAGTCTGTTGTGAACTTGCCCTCAGAATTTCTGCCAGAAGGTTCTATCTTGCCCAGGTTGCTGTTTACCCCATTCTTTACCTGCAAATCTTCTAGTCATCCTTTACACCTATCTCTAATGCTACCTCCTCTGTAAAACTGTGCAGTTGATGGATCTATTTGCTACTATTAATACCAAGAAATATCACTATTATAATATGCTTGGCTCATGCCCTTAGAACATAAGCTCCTGAGGGCAGGATCTTCATTTTTTTTCTCTGATATATCCCATGTTCCCAGAACTGTGCCTAGCACATAGTAGTCACTCAATAAACACTTGCTAGATGAAGATATGGATAGTTAACATTTATTGAGCACTTATTTTATGCCAGGCACTTTCATGCACTATCTCATTATGTTCTCACCAAAAGCTCTATGATGAAAGAACTATTTTTATTCCAGTTTTGCACAGGAGGAAACTGAAGCTTAACAAGTTTAAGTAACTTGCCCAAGGCCACACAGTTGATACATGGCAAATCTGGGATTTGAACGCTGATTGTCCAAGCTCTAAATAACCTCATTTGACTGTCTTTGAGCTCTGTTTGCTGTGGTGCTTTGCACATGACTGTACTGTGGGTTACAGTAGGTCCTTAGCAAATCAAACAACCCAAAGTAGTGGAAGTATCTCTTTACATATTTAACTCTGCGCCATATAGAGGGTTCACTGAGAATAGGAACTTGGTCCTATTTATTTTATTCTCCCTTGTGCCCCAAGCCCCAAGCAGCTGGCACAGTGTCTTACATATGTTTATGTTCACTAAATGTTTACTGAATGAAATAATGGGTGTGCTGTGAAGAGGCAGCATTTGGCAGTGAGTCCTTTCTGCATAATCAGTAAATTTTGAGGACTGTCCTGATGGCTGCCTGGAATCCAAGCTGAGCTGCTGCCTCTTCTAACCCCATGCTTCTTCAGCACGATGCAGGCTCGGAGCCATCCCTGGCTGACCCACCCTCCACCCTGACCCCGGCCTTTTGCCATCCTTCCTGTCCTCATGAAGTTCCCCGGCCAGTCTTCCTGCTCTCCGCCGCCAATCATTCTGACCAAACGCTGCCCCACCCTCTCCTCTTCTTGACCCCGTGCCCTGCTTGAACCTTGCTGCTTCCCTGGTCATCCCGAACAGGCAGGGCAACATGACATTTCTGTAGATAATTCCAACACAGAGCGGACTGTGATAAACAGAGAGACAGTCACGAGGCATCGTCAGAGATATCAAAAGGAAGACATTCCTAGTTAAATGATGGAGAAACTGAAAATGAATTAAGTCACTGTCTTTTTCATCCTGATATAAGTCGTTTTGTTTTGTTTTTTAAATAAGAGTTTAGCTTCTCTAGGTTTATCAATTAGGTGGGATTGTTGATAGCAAGCAATAGAAACTGGGACAGTTTAAGCCACAAGGGGAAGCTTCTTATAAGGATACAGAGTCTCTAGGAACTCAAACGTTCGAATGCAGTCAGGCCTCAGGGAGAAATGGAAGCAGAACCAGAAAATAGTCCAGGATCTGGGCAGCATTTCTTTCCATGTCTTGTCTTCACTGTCACTGTATATTTGCTTCATTTCTGTTTTTCTGTGGACCTCCTCGAGTCCACAGACCTCACCATGGTGTACAGCTGCCAACAGCAACTAAGTGGCAATAGTGATCATCTGTGTCAAAATCACAAATCAACAGAGAATTTACCTGATTGGCCCAGCACAAGTCAGTTGATTGCCCCTGGTCCAATCATTGTTCACCAGTGAGCAGGGTGATGTTATACAACATGGCTGCCAGGTGCCCATCTCTGTGGGGGAGGAAGTAGAAAGGATCATGGTAAGCCCAGCATACTCTCCCAAAATGTCTACAATGCTTTGTTCTGTTGTCTGATAATGTGCTTATAAAAGAATTCTGAGTGCGTCCCCAAGAATAGAGTAAATGAATAAAAGGCTTTCTAGCTTTAAAATTATTTTTCAGAAACAAATACTTAAATATGGATTGCCATTTAGCAAACATCACCCTGATTAACTAAGACAATATTCCATTGGTAATTCCTGGCAGATTTTCTATGCCAATTTTGTTTATTGAAGGCCTTGAATCCTGGCTTCGCCTGGGACCTCACACACATCTATATGTCCTGCTAGACTGCAGCAGGAGAGACAGTTAATATGATAAACCTGGTGGGGCCTTTCTCCTTCCTCAGGGTCTCACACAAATGATGCCCATGTCTCCTCTTCAGAACCAGAGTTCTATTCCCTTTCTCATAAGCCAGTGTAATCAGGTCTATGGAGATAAAATTCCCTCCCTTTGAGGGCTCCATGCCCTGACAAATTTGAAGAGAGCTAACCTTGGTCACTGCTTCCTTAATGTGGTTTGAGGTAGGGAGAAGGAGCCAGGATGGATCCTTCTTTTATTCTGATCTGGCTCTGCTCGATCAAGGATCCTTAAATTCAAGGCTGGGTAAGGATAATCTGAAAAGTCGATCCAACTCAGAAGTGGGAGAGCTGGATTCAGGGTGTCCAAGGAAATCCAAAGTTTCATGTTCACCTTTTTGGGACTCGGCCCTCTCAGCACCACTGCACTCTCTGCAGCTGGCATAATGGGATTTGCACACATGGCATGGGCCCACAGAACGAGTATAACAGCCCCAGGCTGTAGGAAGAGAGGGTCAGGGCTCTGTCCTGGAGGATGGACCTCGTGACTCCTCCTCTGGAGGCATATTGGATTCCACCCAGACCTTTTCAGTAACACTCCCTGGCTTGTCTTCCAGGCTCCCTGGGTACAGCAGGCCGTGTGTGCAACCTGACTTCCCGGGGCATGGACAGCTGTGAAGTCATGTGCTGTGGGAGAGGCTACGACACCTCCCATGTCACCCGGATGACCAAGTGTGGGTGTAAGTTCCACTGGTGCTGCGCCGTGCGCTGTCAGGACTGCCTGGAAGCTCTGGATGTGCACACATGCAAGGCCCCCAAGAACGCTGACTGGACAACCGCTACATGACCCCAGCAGGCGTCACCATCCACCTTCCCTTCTACAAGGACTCCATTGGATCTGCAAGAACACTGGACCTTTGGGTTCTTTCTGGGGGGATATTTCCTAAGGCATGTGGCCTTTATCTCAACGGAAGCCCCCTCTTCCTCCCTGGGGGCCCCAGGATGGGGGGGCCACACGCTGCACCTAAAGCCTACCCTATTCTATCCATCTCCTGGTGTTCTGCAGTCATCTCCCCTCCTGGCGAGTTCTCTTTGGAAATAGCATGACAGGCTGTTCAGCCGGGAGGGTGGTGGGCCCAGACCACTGTCTCCACCCACCTTGACGTTTCTTCTTTCTAGAGCAGTTGGCCAAGCAGAAAAAAAAGTGTCTCAAAGGAGCTTTCTCAATGTCTTCCCACAAATGGTCCCAATTAAGAAATTCCATACTTCTCTCAGATGGGAACAGTAAAGAAAGCAGAATCAACTGCCCCTGACTTAACTTTAACTTTTGAAAAGACCAAGACTTTTGTCTGATCAAGTGGTTTTACAGCTACCACCCTTAGGGGTAATTGGTAATTACCTGGAGAAGAATGGCTTTCAATACCCTTTTAAGTTTAAAATGTGTATTTTTCAAGGCATTTATTGCCATATTAAAATCTGATGTAACAAGGTGGGGACGTGTGTCCTTTGGTACTATGGTGTGTTGTATCTTTGTAAGAGCAAAAGCCTCAGAAAGGGATTGCTTTGCATTACTGTCCCCTTGATATAAAAAATCTTTAGGGAATGAGAGTTCCTTCTCACTTAGAATCCGAAGGGAATTAAAAAGAAGATGAATGGTCTGGCAATATTCTGTAACTATTGGGTGAATATGGTGGAAAATAATTTAGTGGATGGAATATCAGAAGTATATCTGTACAGATCAAGAAAAAAAGGGAGAATAAAATTCCTATCTCATATTATGCATGTGACCCATGGAATCTCATAACTGAAAGACTTGAAGGATGAAAATTTTGGGGATACAAGATTGGTGAACTAAAATGCTGACAGAGAGGTTTCCAGAGCTAACTCGTGCCTGGGGCGGCCTTACAATAAGCAGATGCCTGAAAGAAGTCGGCCACGTCCGCCGTCTGCTAATGCCCATCACCCTTCAAGCCCAGTTTAAAGACCTGTCATATTTAATTGTATTTATTTGATGCTTACAAGATGATGTGATACTGTAGCCTAAAGCAAATGACACATAGCATTGCTTATAAAGTTGGTAACCCTGCTATATTATATTGCAAACAAATCGTAACTTGGAGACTATGTTTAAGGGACTCAACTGTAATTATGGGAGCATCAGTATGCAAATAGTGGTTGGCTTCTGCCATCAGCCAAAAGATGACATTCAGGGAAAATGGAGAGGCTGCCTGCACCGTTTTTTTATGTTAAATGAAAGAAAGGTGAAATAGCTACTTCTCGTCTTCTTGAAAAATTTGGTTCTTATTCTGTATATGACTTCCTTACAGTGCTACATTAACAGGATATTTCATTACATGCATCTGGTATCAAATTATTGGTTCTTCCTCATTCTTTAATACCATACAGTAAGGTCATTTAGACTGAGACTCGTACAAAACAACCTACTGGAGTACTTTGCCATAGTTAACATTTGCCTCCAGCCCTCTTAAAAATGTCAGAATTCATCCCCTTTCCCTCATTCCCAAATTGTTGTCTAACTTTTCCAAAGTGACTCTTTCCTCCTTTTATTCTATGGATTCGGATGGTGGGAACAGTGGAATGACAGTAGCTGCTCTGAGCTTGGTGTGAAGAAGGCCAGGCACATGGGCAGCTGCTCAGTCTTCAGTTACCCTGAAGGTTGGTGTGAATTCCTTCATGAGAGTGCGAAGGCACTTTCATGGGGGTCCCACAGCCATCAGCCCTTCCTCCTGCTGGATGAACTGTGAAATCATCAATCCAGGCTGTGTTTCAAATTGGAAAGGATCTTAGGAGACATCTCAGCTTCCTTTAGTTTGGGGAAATTGAGACCAAGAGAGGCGAAGGGATTGGTGCACATATCAGGCATTGCCCAATGCTCCATCACAAATAGGACCACACTCTTGAGTGTTTGAGATAGTGTAGGACTTTATCCATTAAATGAAACTAGCTTCTCCCAGAATTAACTCAGTGGATTTTAAATAATTTTAGCTTCCAATGGTGTGTTTGCTACTTTTTTTATGCCTGGTATGTTTAGATCTGACATTCTTTTTATGCTGAGATATATCCCTCCTGGTAAGTAGCAAGGGGACAAGGATATCCACGTAGGAACCTACATAAATTGTCCTAATCCATAAGGGAGATTATGGCAACCATCGCAAGTGGCAGTGGGTCCTGCCACTGAGGTGGGAAAAATAAGAGAATGAAATATTGCTATCGGCTTTTACTTCTGAAAGAGGAAATGTCTATTGTTCGGGAAAAAAATTACACAACAAATGAAGGTAATTTTAAACTCCTTTGCCTTAGAGCTTGGTAGAGGATCAGTATTCCAGGAACCTGAAATACACTGAAACTCTCAATTATCTGAGGCTTTTAAGGGGAATATATGGCACAAATTAGCCAAAACAAAATAATTGGGAAATCCCCTTATAAATTCCCTCTTTATTAAAATCTTACTATAAATTGAAGTTTTCTAGGTCCAAGATAATGTCCATTAATTTTCTACAATATCTGAAAAAGTTTCCACAATAGGACATAAACTAGTTCACTGGAGTTTTCTACAATAAAGATATAATCTGCACGTGACCCTGAGACTGAGCATATAAGTTGTTTTCTTCAACAGATTTGGTTCTGTAAGTTGGTTCATGGTGCTGACTGATATTTGTCTCTATTCTCGGAACACACTTTGTCAATGTGCATTCAGTTTCAGCATCTTGGGTAGCCCCCCAAGGCCTGAAAGAGTTAATGCTCTGCCTTAAGAGATCGATTTATCCACTCAAGTGACTTAAGCTCAAGCACGCTAGTCCCCAGTGCCATGACCACACTAAGCTCTGGCTCTGTGCCCCTCAGGGATGAGAGAGAGCTCTGGCATGTTACTGGACTACAGATGTCTCAGAAGGGAAGCAGGAGAGGCATAGGGCAACCCAGAATGCTATCTGCTCTCCCTTCTCCAGGTGTCACCAGATTGAAATAAACATCTGAAAAGAGGGATCTATCATGTGGCATCTGGGTGGCACCAGATGTTGGGAGGGAACGTGAGAGGGAAAGAACCTGGTAACTTTTGCCAGGTGACTGGCCAAGCTTGGTGATCAAGGGCAGTGGCTTTTTCCAGGCCAGGCACAGTGGCTCATGCCTGTAACCCCAGCACTTTGGGAGGCCAAGGCGAGTGGATCACTTGAGGTCAGGAGTTTGAGACTAGCCTGACCAACATGGTGAAACTCCGTCTCTACTAAAAATACAAAAATTAGCCAGGCGTGGTGGGTGCCTGTAATCCCAGCTACTCAGGAGGCTGAGGCAGGAGAATCACTTGAACCCAGGAGGCGGAGGTTGCAGTGAGCAGAGATAGCGCCATCGCACTCCAGCCTGGGTGACAGAGTGAGACTATGTCTCTTAAACAAAATGGGGGGTGGGGGCCAGTGGCTTTTTCTGCTTTTGTTGGTAACCCCCACCTTTCTTCCTGCTGTCACTTCCCTGTCCCTACATTCAGCACCTACTTCCTGAGCCATCATGAGGCCCACTGGGCTCAGGGACCCCAGCCATGGCTCAGATTGTCCATACCTATTGTGTAGCTCTGTTCCAGGCAGCCAATATTAATTTCAAGAGGTGTTTTGAAATGGTCACAACTGTATTCTTTTTTTAACTAGAATTATTACAAAGTCTGAAAAAAAATCAGGCATTACATTTCTTTTTCAAAGAAGGTAGCTTTAAAGTCAGAAAATCCAGTTTCACATCGACGTTTCTAGGCCATATTAATTTATGAAGGAACCTCACATCAACTCTAACAGACCTAAAGCAGGGCTGTCTCAGAAGCGGACAACATGACCGTGCATGCGCTTTCCTGGCCGGCTTGTTCAGGCGGGTTATTGTTATTACTTCTGGGTTATTAAAAGCTGGCCCGGGGCTGTTGTCTCGCTCAGCTGAAAAACATTCATCTCTCCTCTTGCCGACTCTCAAAATAAAGGCTCAGAGGGGTGTCCAATGGACCAGAACCATTCTTTCGTGTCTATTTACTGTACCTCAACGTGGGTTTCCTTATCTTAAGAGCAAGAGTTGTACTCAACAAATAAACCTTGCCAGTTCCAAAGCTGGTAAATAGCTTTTGTCAGGTCCACACTGAGCCTCTGAAAAGCAATCTGCTGGTGGGAGCTGACAGCTAAGCTGTGCGTCTTTTGACCTTCTCCTTATCTAGGCAGAGAAAATTTTCACTCATCCATGAGACTGTTCTTTACATTTTTCTGGGGATCAGCAAGGTGACAGGTGGTTTGCAAAACCCAACATGATTATTATTTTTCTAAATCATAGTTGTTCCAGCTCTAGCTTTCTTCCCCCCAATATTCACATGGATTCCTGTTTAACCAAACCTCCCACTTCCACTAGCTAATAAAAGTGTCATGCAGATTGTTACAAAGAACTATTGTTATTTACAAGTCTACGTTTTCTTTGAAATCAAAACATAATAAAGTGAATTTTCAGTGTTAACTCTGTTATTTTAAACTCATGGTAGTCTTGCCAAACCCTCTGGTGAAAAGAAGTCCCTGCAGGTTATGGGAACTATTCCCTTGTCTTTTCTCAGGACCGTACTTCAAACAACTCAATCAAGAGGCATCTTTCAAGTTTGTAAAGATGTTCAAGGAAGGCAATTGACTTGCCTCACTGATAGCTATTCTTGTGAGTTGATTGGTAAGACTTAGGTTAAAAATTGAGAAATTATGCCACATTTTCGCCCTGTGTTTTCCTGTGTGCACCAATCTGAGTGCTTGCCCTCTCTTGATGTTAGCATGTTTTGTCAGTGTTTATACATTTGGTGTCTTTCCCTAGCAGCTAACTCACACCCATCAACTTCTCAAATTATTGCGTTCCCTGTAAGTGCTGACTCTGGGTTGAAATAGCATTTTCTCTGCTTGGTGAGAAACATGGAGCATCCCTTGCCTGGTTACTGAAATCTGTGCATCCTGATTTTGGGGGCTACTTCTATCAAGCAGTAAAAGCTCAGAAAATGGGAATAAACTCTCCTCTGAAAAGGAAGTCCGCCCTCCCCACTTTTTCCTCTCAGATGAGCTATATTTTGGGGCAACCTGGCTGACTAAGGCACGGGTTCTGCACTTCAAGCACCGCATTGTAGCCCCGTGATTAGACTGCACACTGTCCCTCTAGGATTCCATCCACCCATCTGGAAACTACCACACCTACTTAGATGATCTGAAAAAGAGAGAGTGGCCGGGTGTGGTGGCTCATGCCTGTAATGCTAGCACTTTAGGAGACCAAAGCAGGAGGATCACTTAAGGCCAGGAGGATCACTTAAGGCCAGGAGTTTAAGACCAGCCTGGGCAAAATAGCAAGACCCCTGTCTCTACAAAATAAAATAAAATAAAATTAGCTGGGTGTGATGGCACACACCTGTAGTTCTAGCTACTTAGGAGGCTGAGGTGGGAGGATGACTTGAGCCCAGTAGTTTGAGGCTACAGAGAGCTATGATGGTGCCACTTCTCTCAAGCCTGGGCAATACAGCAAGACCCTATATCTTAAAAAATTCAAATAAAAAGGGGTGGTGATTCATGTGTCTTTGTGTGTTTTTCAAAGGACATCTCCCCCAAATATTTTTGCCCTGAAATTGTCAATGAAATTTTCCTGTTTTCTAACTTCTTGTGTGACAGGGCTGTCCTAACATTGTAGGATGTTTAGAAGCAACCCTAGTCTCTACCCCCCAACTATATGCCAGAAGTAACTCCCTTGACTCCCTGCTGTGACAACCAAAAATGTCTCCAGACATTGCCAAATGTTCCCCAGGGAAGGAAGGAGGGGTGAGAGTGAAATTGTTCTCAGTTGAGAACCACTGGTCTAACACTTTGGGTTAAGCCCTCTATTAAAATGCAAGCCACTTTCGGTTAGGAACACCTCATCGGGAACATTAGTTGAATGGGATTCCTTCTTAGTATTAATGTATCAGGCTTCCTAGGAAGGAATCTTTAGGAAAAGGGGTAGTTGTGAAACCCCTCAGCATCATGGGGCAGAATAAAAAAGGCTAAAACTTGACTGGAAGCTCCTGTAGGCCCGCACTGTGTGTCCCTGGAGTCTGTGCAAGCGTGAGGCTCCTGGGTTTCTAGGATGGGCATTAACTGTGGGGAATCAGACAAAGGATGGAAGGGTAACAAGGAGAAACAATAATGTGGTTTTAGAAGCTGGAGGCAGAGTTTTTAGGAATTCTTCAGTTTCACAATACTCTCAGTGGGAAAAACAAAAACAGAAAACCCCAAATCCCCAAGATACATATGCCTGGAAAGGTGGAGGAGTGAGAACAGCAGACATCTGCAGCGAATAATTAAACACTTTTGAGTTGCTCAAGATAGTCAGCAGGGAGAGTAATAATGAGGAGGAGACCCTGCAAAATGAAGAAAGTCTGGGTTTCAAGTGAAGAGAGAGAATTTCAAGTTTAAGGTCAGGATGGGTCTCATTTGCAGTTTGTTCATTGAAACGCCCCTCCTCACTGCCAGTTGCCCCACCACGTGTACCCTTGGTGTGGTCCAGCTGATATTTTAGCAGAGAACAAACTGAAATACTGTCTAATGTGTGCCAGTAAAGGGTGGGAAACGGGGAGCACATGCTGGAGGTAAAATGAAGTAGAGTGCAGAAAAAAAAAACCAACAGTGTGGGTGGTGGACAACAAGATGGGTAACCCTAGGCTGGGCGCAGTGGCTCACGCCTGTAATCCCAGCACTTTCAGAGGACAAGGCAGGCAGATCACTTGATGTCAGAAGTTTGAGACCAGCCTGGCCAACATGGTGAAATCCTGTCTCTACTAAAAATACAAAAATTAACCGGACGTGGTAGCACAAGCCTGTAATCCCAGCTATTCGGGAGGCTGAGACAGAAGAATCACTTGAACCTGGGAGGCAGAGGTTGCAGTGAGCCGAGATTGACCACTGCACTCCAGCTTGGGCAACTGGGGGAGAGTCTGTCTCAAAGAAAAAAAGAAGGGTAACCCCAGCTGGCTGGAGAATCTGGGGCAGTTGACAACTGACAGAAGTAATCAGAAAGCCTGTCTTTGCCATGACAATTCATGGGCGAAACTGAATTTATATTTTATGCTGCCCAACGAAGTAACGATCAGACAAGAACCGCTTGGATGAACAAATAGTTCGTGATCTGTTCCTTCATGGTATTATCTAGTTCTAGATAAGAGCATGATTAAAATCTGATCAACATGATCAATTTAACATGTAGGCTATTTTTGGACCCTTAACTTGATTTTGTAATTTCTGGGTAGTGACTGACCCCGTGAAAGCCCCTGTAATTGAATCATAGGCCCTGGATTTCCCCAGGCAGTTCACCCAGTCCTCTTTTAATAGCATCGTAGGCCTTCCTAAGTTCCACAGACGAGAGGAGTCACATTACTGCCCGTAAACCCAGTTCAAATAATTAAATGACGAAGATGCAACCAGGATTCACTCAGCTGGACTGCTCACACTGGTGACTTAAGCAGAGGCTGGGGAGCGTCACAAACCCATCTGTAAATGTTTAGGTGCTTCAGGTTACAGGTGGAGGTCGCCCACCAGCCGAAGAAATAGCAGGAAAAACAGAAAACAAAATCTGACTCGGTGTCTCCAAAAGTCTACCCACCCATATAATCTTTGGCATCTGCCCCAGGATCATTATTCTCCAATAGTAATGAAGGCTTCATGAAAGGCCTCGAACCCTGAATTGTCATTTTGGAATCGTGCTTAATCAAGACAAATATTCCCAGCCTAAGAGTACAACTAGAAGGAGAAGGGAGTACGGGTTTAATTTTCCTATATATTGCTGTAACTATAAACAATGCCTTATCTTCTCAGCAACTCTCATGAAATAATAAGCACTTGTGTTTTTAAAAGTATTTACACCAGCCCTTGGAGATTTTATTAGAATCATGATTCACAGATGAGAAATTTTCCTCTTCTACAGGATTTAGTAACTGGAGTAAGAATTACTCAGCAGACTGTCTATACAGACAAATGAATTTGAATATTTCCTTTGGCTATTAGCCATTCATTGGCAAATTTCTTTTAATTTTTCTGAACCAACGGAATGAGCAAGTCAAGATGATTCCCCTGATCTATATATTGTAGACAGATAATTAAACAGTTTCTGAAAATTATTATTGTTCTGTCATACAGATATGGGACTTCAACACAGCAGTGAGTTTACATGACACTTCAGGATCCCGAGAGTGAAAATTCCTGGCATCACAGAATGTCACATTTGGAAGGAACTTTGCAGATTATTTATTCCAACCTCCAGATGTTATTCATGGGAAAACAAAAGAAACTTCATGATTCGAACTGTGATATGAGCAAGACACTCTGAATCATCTTCAGGGAAGAACAGTTATTATTCATTCAGTAAGGCTGTATTGAGCATCTCCTATGAGTCAACCACTGTGCTACGTACTGGAAATGTAATGGTGACTAAGACAAACATACACTTGCTCAGAACCTTCTGGAAGGACTAACACCGAACACTTTTCCTTTTACTTGACAAGCACTTTGTAAAGTACTTGGATTGGATTTGGTGCTTAGAACCACCCTTAGATACGGATATTGAGATGAGCCAAGTTTCAGATATGGTAATTTGCTCCAGGTAATAAAAGACTTATAAGCATATAAGAGGCACAGCCTGAACTCAAGTATTTGTCTTCTAACTCTCACTCCAGTGTCCTTTCTAGTATACCAGAGCTCCCTGTGATTAGAACTCAATGAGTATTCATTCGTCCAACTGGCTATTGAAAATGACCAGTTCAATGATCATATTCTCTAAGCAAAAAAGAGGATACATGGATGGCCAAAATATTTCCATGATTTTTATTTAATTTATATGAAATTTAGATAGCAAATCATATGTAGGTACATACTGAACATAACTCTAACGGAAAGTAACTTTGAATTATACACAACAGGCACTTTTCCTTAAAATAAAATAAGCCAGGCACAGTGGCTCACGCCTGTAATCCCAGCACTTTGGGAGGCCAAGGTGGGCAGATCACCTGAGGTCAGGAGTTCAAGACCAGCCTGGGCAACATGGTGAAACACTGTCTCTACTAAAAATACAAAAATTAGCTGGGCATGGTAGCAGGTGCCTGCAATCCCAGCTACTCGAGAGGCTGAGGCAAGAGAATCGCTTGAAACCGGGAGGCAGAAGTTGCAGTGAGCCAAGATGGCACCATTCTACTCTAGCCTAGGCGACAAGAGTGAAACTCAGTCTTAAAAAATAAAATAAAATAGTTTTTAGATTCTTGCAGAAAATCTGAGATTTCTGGTCATGAGAAACCTGCTTTCTCTGTCATGTAGAGAGTCAGTCCCTAGTTGATGATGGTTCTAAAATACTATGTATCAACTTAGACATGGTATGAATCATAATTTAAGAGTTTTCTCCAAGCCTCTGCCTAATGCTTGATTAATCAGATTGAATTAACATGTCAATAATTTAAAAAATATTTTTCATAGTAATCTTGCCCTCTCATTGAAGAAGGAAGAATTTTCTTAGCAACAATGTCTAAGAAATATTTTTCAGACTTGCTTTCAAATGTAACGATGTATTTTAAAATATTTTAAAGGCAAAAACTACATGTAAATATGATATTGGCATCTATTAACGATAAGATTTTTGCTTCCTGTAACATGAAGTATGGGTGTTCTTTCTCTTCATAAAGGAAACTGGGAAGATTTGTACAATACTAGATTATTGGATAATGCTTCTAGAAACAAAAGGTAATCTCTCCCCTTCTGATATGATTTGGCTGTGTCCTCAGCCAAATCTCATCTTGAATTGTAGCTCCCATAATTCCCATGTGTTGTGGGAGGTACCCTGTGGAAGATAATTGAATCATGGGGGGCGGTTTCCCCCATACTGTTCTCATGGTAGTGAATAAGTCTCATGAGATCTGATGGTTTTATAAGGGGTTTCCCTTTTCACTTGGTTCTCATTCTCTTTTGCCTGCCATCATGTAAGACTTGCCTTTTGCCTTCCACCATGCTTATGAGGCCTCCCCAGCCTTGTGGAACTGTAAGTCCATTAAACCTCTTTTTCTTTTGAATTACCCAATCTCGGGTATGTCTTTATCAGCAGAGTGAAAACAGACTAATACACCTTCTAATCTAGAAACAGTCCAGCAGGGATGAACATAGGTTCCTAGCACTGACCTCCAATTGATATCCAGTTGACTGGTCACTTAGTCCAAACTTGTGATTGGGGTTGTTTCTGATGGTGGCCAAATTAATAAAAGGGAAACCTGTTCAGAAAGTAGGGGAACCAAGGACAAGTCCTCACATGAATATCTGAGGAGTGAAGGCAAGTGAGGGAATCTTTGTATAAATGAAATCTTAAACAAGGGGTCAAAGGAGAGGATGGAGAATTTTTATTATAATTATTCTAAAAGTATATGGAATAGATTTACACTCATGTTTATTCATGATGGGGAAAAAAACTGTCCCCAGTTATGCATTTTAATCTGTGAGAAAGCTGTTAAGGAATGTGAGATCATGAAGAAGGCGGTATGTTAAATAAGTAAATAAAATCTAGGGAGTTTAATCCTTCCTAGAATTTGATTCTTTTTTTTAAATCAACTTTTATTGTATTCAAATGATTCATTCTTTTGGAGCAATAAATAGAGTGAGACGATGGCCAAAGGAAATTTTTCTATTCCTTGGACATGTAAGCCTTTTTCCTAATAGCAACTATAGCAGAATCAGACCCCTAGGTAGAATATATTAACACCCATGACAGGGAACAACTCATCTCCAAGTATCATTTTCCTTTCATTGTCCTTGAACAGTGCCTAAAATCCCCATCCTTACTGCTGCTGCCTGGAGTTAAGAATCTATCTTCTGAAAATTTCTTCTAAAATATGTGGATGTTATCCAGCTTTATTCCTTAATTCAACAATTATTTATTCAACAAATATCTGGTACAATTTACAATCTGCCAAACATTTTTCCCTAGTGTTTGGGAAACACCATAGCATAAGATAAATGAAATAAATGAGACATAAATATTTCTGGTAATATGGCATACCAAATATTTCTCAAAAAAGCCCCTGGCTACAAATGCCTAGAAATTTTGCATAAAGTAAAATAAACATCTTTTGAAATGTATAAGTGTACTCTCCCAACCTTCAGTCTCTAATATAGGAAAGCTCCAAAGACCAAAATGAAGAGAAAGCTGAAAATCCAAGTTTCGGTACCCCAATAGAAGTTGACTAATGTTTCTGTTTAGATGTTTGGGTTTTGAAGACCACGTTGGTGTAGGAAATAAAGCTAAAGTCAAACTCTTCAAAGAGCTATGTATTTAATAAAGGAAAAACCTGACCACAACCTCAGGGAATCAGCAAAGAACTAGTCTGTTGTAAAATAGAATTGTAATAGAGAAAATGTGTCCTCTGACCATTTACAGCTGACATGCTCTTCTCACCTTATTCTGATGTTAGAATTTACATAATTTGTATATGCCAGGAATTGTTTAATTAAGAAATCAACCTTTAAATACTTTCTGGATTGAGCAGATGCAAAGGCAAAACCTCCTTGAAGCTCACATTTTTAACCAGGCTGAAGGGGATTCCCACAGATAAAAATTTCACCAAACCTGAGTTCATAATTCAAAATTACAAAACATACCACAAAATAAGCCACCATGATGAAGAGTCATAGAACAAACAAATCATAGACTTAGACTCCCAAGAATATTAGATAATAAAATTATTACAGACTGATTATATAAATAAATCTGTTTAGAACAATAAAATTAAAAATGAACAATACATAAATAAGGTACATAATATTTAAAGAAAAAAGATGGGCCAGGCGTGGTGGCTCACACCTGTAATCCCAGCACTTTGGGAGGCTGAGGTGTGCAAATCACCTGAGGTCAGGAGTTCAAGACCAGCCTGGCCAACATGGCAAAATGGCGTCTCTACTAAAAATACAAAAATTAGCTGGGCATGGTAGCAGGTGCCTGCTATCCCAGCTACTCAAGAGACTGAGGGAAGAGAATTGCTTGAACCCAGGAGGCAGAGGTTGCAGTGATCCAAGGTGGCACCATTCCACTCCAGCCTGGGTGACAACAGTGAAACTCCTTCTCAAAAAATAAAATACAATAGTTTTTAGATTCTTGCAGAAAATCTGAGACTTCTGGTCACGAAAAATCTGTTTTCTCTGTCATGTAGAGAGTCCATCCACAGTTGATGATGGTTGTAAAATATTATGTATCAACTTAGACATGGTATGAATCATAATTTAAGAGTTTTCTCCAAGCCCCTGCCTAATGCTTGATTACGCAGGTCGAATTAACAAGAATACAAAAATTAGCCAGGCTGAGGCAGGAGAATTGCTTGAACTCAGAAGGCAGAGGTTGTAGTGAGCCGAGATCCCACCACTGCACTCCAGCCTGGGCAACAGAGCAAGACTTAGTCTCAAAAAAAAAAAAAAAAAAGAAAGAAAAAAAAAAAGAAAAGAAAAGAAAAAGAAAAAAGATTAAGCTAAAAGATGTTTGAAAGAGAACACCCAGGGCCAGGTGTGGTGGCTCACGCCTATAATCCCAGAACTTTGGGAAGTTGAGACAGGCAAATTGCTTGAGCTCAAGAGTTCAAGACCAACCTGGGCAACACAGCGAAACCCCATTTCTATTAAAAAAAGTACACAAATCAGCCAGGTGTTTTGGCATGCACCTGTAGTACCAGTTCCTTGAGGGGGCTGAGGCAGAAGGATTGCTTGAGCCCCGGAGGTCAAGGCCGCAGTGAGCTATGTTTGCACTACTACACTCCAGCCTGGATGACAGAGCAAGACCTTGAAAAAAAAAAAGGGAGGGAGGCAGGAGAGAGGGAGGAGGGAGGGAGGGAAGGAAGGAGGGAGGGAAGGAAGGAAGGGAGGGAGGGAGGGAAGGAAGGGAGGGAGGGAGGGAAGGAAGGGAGGGAGGGAGGGAAGGAAGGGAGGGAGGGAGGGAGGGAGGGAAGGAAGGAATTACCCAGAAATTAAAAATATAACCACTGATATGAAAAACTCTGTGATTTTCTGCCTGTGGCCACAACAGAGGAAACACAGTTAAAGTCTCCTCCTGTTGCAGTCATGTCTTAGTCAGTGTCCCAAAGAGCCCAAAGAACTGCAGAAGCTCTTCATTAAAATAATCATAAGAGATGGAAGAGCCATTTTCAGTAATGGGAAATGCACACAGATTGTGTGGTAATGAAAGACGCACACACTAAGCACTCCAGAATCTTTAGGTTTGTCATATATGCCACCATGGTGCAAGCAGATTCAGTCATGAATGGAAGTCCACACAAGGTGGTGGAAGAGTTGTGAAATCAAAGAGGGATATTTTTTAAAAATTTTACCAAAGACCAGGTGCCCAGTTACCTATGAAAAAGATCTTTGTGGCATTAAGGAAGACATTGAAGAACAACATGTAAGAGATTATTTTGAGCAGTATAGGAAGATTATACAATCTTACAATCCATTCCTAATAAACTAGGAGTTATACTGGCCCTTCTATTCGCTCTTCTCATTCTAGCAGTTATTCCTGTACTACATAAGTCCAAACAACAAAGCATAATATTCTGCCCATTAAGTCAATGCTAAGGGTGAGGGTGAGCTGTATTATACCATGACCACCTAATTTTAGGAGCACTGCTGCAAGTACTATTGAGCCAGCAATGGGGGTTTCTTCTACATAAGCCTCAGGGAGTCATAGGTGAAGTCCATATAGGGGTATTTTTACTATAAAAGCTATGATACATGCTAATCATATGAGATTGTTGGATCAGGAGACTAGTAGTTCCTGGGTACTGAATGTCATTATTATATTTAGTGAACCTAAGGTATTTTGGGTATAAATAAGTATAATAAGGGGAGAGACCCTACTAGTGTATAAAATAGGAAATACGAGCTTGCATTGAGGTGTTCTGGTTGGTTACTTCAGCAGATAATAAAGATTAGTGTAGGGATAAGTGTAGCTTCAAAGAGAATATAAAATATGATTAGTTCTGTGTCTGTGAATGCTATAATTTAAGAAATCTGTGGGATAATTAACATAGAAACATAAAACTTTTTTCATGGGGGAGGGGATTCATTGGACGGGTGATGTTCAATGGCTTTGAAGGCCATTGGTCTTGTTTAACCTAAATTTCTAGATCATAGATAGTGTTAATGGGGAAATGGGTAAAAGGAAGGTAGAAGAGATAAGTGGGAGGAGGAATAATGTGGGCTTTGTGTTTTCAAACTGTCATTTTATTTTTATGTTATTGGATGTGGGGAATATTGTCACTGAGCCAGAGTAAATTAAGCATATGTAAAAGTATAGGTTGAGTAGGGTTATAATAGCTATAATGGTTGGGGAAATAAGACTGTTGTTTTTTGTAAGTTCTTGAATGATGACTCATTTAGGCAGAAATCCTGTTAATGGAGGTAAACCTCCTAGGGACAATAAAATTAATGTAATTATAGGCTAAGCCTAAATTCCATCCCCTTATCCCAATCTTCATTAAAAAAAAAACAAAAAAAAAACCCCGCTCTACAGAAGCAGCCACTAAATATTTCCTTACACAGGCAACTGCATCTATCGTTCTCATAACAGATAATACATAGCAGTATAGGAAGATTGACTGAAGTGAAATCATTACAGACTGGGGCAGTGATGAGGAGAGTCTTTGCTTCTGTAAACTTTGGTGACCATAAGTTCATGGATAAGATTGTCATTCGGAAACAACATACTATGAATGGCCATAACTGTGAAGTAGGGAAATCCCTGGCTAAGCAAGAGATTGTAAGTGCCTTATCTAGGTCAAAGTGGTTCTGAAAACTTCAGCAGTCGTTGTGGAGGTTATTTTAGAGGGAATGGCAACTTTAATTATGGAGGAAATTACAATGGTTGTGATAGCTTTGGTGGCAGCCATGATGGTGGTGGATATGATGCCAGTGGGGATAGTTATAATGGTGTTGGTAATGATAGAAGCAATTTTGGAGGTGGTGGAAGCGACAGTGGACAATGGCAATTACAATAATCTTCAAATTCTGGACCCATAAAGGAAGGAGATCATGGAGCAGAAGCTCCGGTTCTTATACTGGGAGAGCCAATACTTTGCCAAACCACAAAACCAAGGTGGTTATGGTTGTATTAGCATCAGGAGAAGCTATAGCAGTGGCAGAAGATTTTAATTACTGCCAAAAAAAAGTGCTTAGCAAAAGAGGAAAGCCTGAAAAATAACAGGAAAGCTACAGGTTACAACAAGTTTATTAACTCAGCCAACTGCGGTGGCAGGATCTACATCCTACAAAAAGAGATGCTTTAGAACATACTCCTATGAGCAAAAATCCATAAAGATAGTTCTTGTGACTAACTATATAACAGAAATTTTAGTTTTTTTCCTGTGGAAAGTATGAAGCATTACAACAAAAGTTTTATAATATACTTATTTTTGTATGCATATTGTTGATCACTATAAGAGTCTGATCTTGATGTTGATTAAATAGGTCTTTTTAAAAAAACTCAGTGGATGTTTTTCTGCTGATCAGAAAAAAATAGATTCAGCTAAAGAAAAAGTTAATGAAGTAGGTAAGAGATAGATTTAAAGAAATTACCCAGAATGTTGTCCAAGATATAAAGAAAAAATACAAAAGGGATTAAGAGACATGAAAGATTGAATGAAAAGGTTCCTCATATACTTATACTAGAAGTTCCAGAAAGAGAGAGAAAATGGGGAAAATGACTGTTTTCCAGAATGGATGAAATATATAAAACCTGTTTCAAGAAGCATAACTACCAGGTAGAATTAACAAAATAAATCTATAACAAAACATATTGCTGAGACACTGTAGAGAGTAGAAGAAAAAGAGAAGACACAAAAAGCTACCAGAGAGAAAAGTTGTCTAAAAAAGAACAATAATCAAACTAATAGCAGACTTTTTCAAAGCACTGATAGAAAGCAGAAGACAATGGAATCATATTTTCAAATTTCTTGAAAGAAAATAAATGTCAACGTGTAACTTTATATCCAGCTGAATTATCATTAAAGAGCAAGGACAACATAAAGACATTTTGAGACAAAATCTACGAAGAGCATACTCTGTCTAGGAACTTCAGGAAAAAGGAAATATATTCTAAAAGGAAGAACTGAGATGCAAGAAGATATGATGAATAAAGAAATTTGTACTTGTGCAGTCAAATGTAGACAATAGTGAATATTTAGAAATAACTAGTAATTACTAATGTCTGGTAATAAAACAAAGTGAAACAAAGTGAGACAAAGTATTGGCAACAATATCAAGATGGAAATGGAGTGATCAATTTTAAGCAGTTTAACTTAAATTGTTTAGAAGGGTAGAAGTATTGATAAACTTCAGGCATTGTTAAGTAAGCATGTTAAAATTTAAAGATAAACATTATAACAAAAAATGAATAATTTATCTCACAGAAAGATGAAAATAATTTTTACACCTCTTCAGTCAACCTAAAAGAAGGAGAGTGAATTTGTATGTGTGGATGTGGGAAGGACTTACTGAAAGCTGGGCAACTGTTTAGGGTAGTAGAAACTCATAGCAGAAACAAAAAATACTTAGGAATAAACAGTAACTGCTATGCAGAACTATTAAGACAGAAACCTACAAAACTTTAGTAATGAAAAGGAGATACTTTGAATGAATGGAGATAATACAACAATAGACCTAATATTATAAAACGTCAACTTTTCACTAAAATTAATCTAATCTATAAAGCTACAATTCCAATACACATTAGCCAAGGATGATTGGGAGTATTTCCTTTAGGCAGGCTCCCTCCCTTCTTCCCTTTCCCTACACCAATTTCTCTTCTCACTTCTCAATCTGGATTCCACGATAAAGCACTCAGGCATACAGCAAGTATTCAATAAGTTCATACGCTTTTTCAAATAAAGGAATGAGTAAACATAAGACTCAACTGTTCTTCAAGCAATTCTGATGTACACGTTCAAAAAAAATTCTCATCATGCCTGGTACAAATTCATACCATAAAGGTAGTACCCAGCTTTGAATCTCTCATAAGTATGCAAACCAAATTCTTGCCAAGATTGTTTTGTAAATTGGTTAAACTGAAATTATTGTACGTTTTCTGAGAGCCACAAATAGATTACAATATTGACTTCTTAGTGTTAATCTAATGAAAAATAACCTGCAACAATTAAAATACAAGAATAGGAGAGCATTAACTATGCTTACTACTTCCAAAACTCTTCTTAAAGTCAAGAAAACTCCAATTTTATGTAGTAATTGCAATAGCCTGCTATTTATCACGTGGCTCAGAAAGTGTCTTCAAGTAAGTCTGGCGTATATATAATGACCTGTCCATGAAAGCATCAGAAACTCACACTCTGATTTCCTGTGGTTGAGTAAAAGGATCTCAAAAGCCTAATGATCCCTAAGAGCTGGTTGTCTTAAAACACTAATATTATCATGCTACTAGAATTTTCTTCCCTTATACTCTGTCCCTACTCCCATTACAAATGAATAACTAGAGCTTGAAAGCTGGTATAGCTGGTATAACCCTCTTTACCAGATTTACACATTTTCCTCCAATCCTAATTAGTAGAAATCCAAGATCTCTCTCTTGAGGCTCCCACTGCAAACTATCCAAGAATCCCCAAGGCTCATTGAATCTAAATGGGTTAGTATTCCCAAGCAGCCTAACTGGAAAGTCTCTTTAGCCTACCAGCATTACTGCTTCTGTTACTTACATAGAACCCCATTATTGAACACTGGCCCTGCAGAGTTGCAAGGACTCTAGCTCAAAGATCAGGTATACTCTTACCAGTGCAGATCCCTGAACAGCCCAAAGCTCACACTTGGGTCCCAAGGGCATAGCTCTTTTATTTTTCACTCACATATTCAGCTATTGTTCTCAAAGAATGACAATATGTCTTGGTGGGTAGATCCATGGGTTCTTCAGCCTCACTTACATGTTTTGCTAGAACCTCTCCTTCCCAAAGAACCTCCATGCTTTTATGTTGAACGGGAATCATGAGCAGACACTCTCATAATGAATTCCCCTTAGGGGACCTTGAGATCCTTTCATGCCAGCAGATATTTTTTAGGGCCACACTCTTAAAAACAGATTTCTCTAATTCAATTCTTAGGAAGATGAGGGTGGAGTCTCACAGTCATTCCATACTATAAGCCTCCAGGGATCTTTTTGCAAACTGATAAACCACAGGAATTTTTCAAAGATTCTGCTATGTCCTCACCCCATGGTAAGGAGAGTCTAGCAGTGTTCTTATATTAGCATAACTAAGTCTGGGTATGCAAATGACTCCTTTCATAATGAGATCCTGCTCTAAATTGATTTGTGTCTTCATTTTATACCTAGTATTTACAGTACACAGACCCACTAGCTTAAAAACCTCACCCATGCCTTCAGGTAAGAGGTAGTAGCCTGGAGGAGGCCAATCCTCCCACTGTGACAATTAGAAAAAACAGTTTTCAAAAACTTACTTTTTAAAGACATTGAAGAGTTGTAGAAGCAACTCAAGGACAAAAAAAAACTAAATTCCCCTGGAAATTTAGTCTAGTCTTCTTGGGTAGACTCTCTGCTGGCCATTTTCTCCTCCGGTTGCTAATTCTAGGCACAAGTTGAGGTTTGGACCAAGCAGAGAGTGAAACCAGGCCAATCTTACTTTAAGTTTCTATTCTTCCCTCTGTACAACCTACCACAAGGATCACAAAATGTGAGTTTGTTGCTTAATTACATCATGCTAAGAATGAGGGACGATTAGAAGCCATTGACAGGAGAAGTGGTGTATACACACAGACACATGCACACACACACACACACACACACACACACACACACACACACACACACACAGAGTTTACCCTAAGGACACAATGATATAGATTGATGATGCTAATTTAAGGGTGGGTGGGAGTGTGGGAAAAGTGGGAGGAGTCAGGGATGTAAATACAATCTTCACACTCCAAAATGCTGGCACCAGGCTCCCTGATGTCAAAGCCAATGCTTCAGTAAGAGGATTCTAGCTCATCTGGATCAGCCTGGGGTTGCGGGTACAGTAGTCCTCACTTATGCTTAAGAGATACGTTCCAAGTGGATGCCTGAAACCTCGGGTAGTACTGAATCCTATATACGCTACATTTTTTCCTATACATACACACCTATAATAAAGTTTAATTTATAAATTAGGCAGAGTAAGAGATTAAGAATAACTAATAATGAAATAGAGAAACTGTAACAATATATTGTAATAACAGTTATGTAAATATGGTCTATCTTTCTCTCTCCAAACATCTTATTGTACTGCCCTCACCTATTTTTGGACCACAGTTGACTGCAAGTAACTGAAACTATGGGAAGAGAGAAATCACAGATAGGGTACGTAAACCAAAAATAAAATTCCAAGTCCCCCAACCATCTGAATAGAACCCATGGCTCAGCAAAGGGCATTCCAGAGTTAACCTGGAAAACTAGTTCAGGACATGATGGCAAGAGGGAGTCAGACATGCCTCATTATACCGTCCTTCCTTTTGAAATTACTGAGAACAGACTCTTTAAGTCTGATTAAAAAAAAAATTTACCATCTATTCCCTTTGAAGCCTGCTACCTGGAGAATTTGCCTGCATGATAAAACTCTGGCCTCTACAAACCCTTATCTTAACCCAGACATTCCTTTCTATTGATTCTAAGTCTTTAGTTAATAACTTAACTCTTTCAACCAATCGCCAATCATAAAATCTTTGAATCTACCTATGACCTGAGAGCCCCCACGTCCAGTTGTCTCTCCTTTCCAGACTGAACCAATGTACATTTTACATCTATTGATTGACGTCTTGTGTCTCCTTAAAATGTATAAAGCTAAGTTATGGCCCAAACTCCTTGGGCACATGTTCTCGGTATCTCCTGAGGGCTGTCACCGGCCATTGGTCACTAATATTTGCCTCAGAATAAATTTATTCAAATATTTTACAGGGTTTTACTCTTGTCATTGACAGGGGACTACTGTATGCCAAACATGAAGATGTCCTTAGGTGTGTGGCATGTGTACTGGGGAAATTAGCCCCTTCTCTATATCAGTGACTTTTAATCTACCATCTACTATGAGTGCTGTCCAACAAGAAGGTCTTGATGACCTCTATCAGAAACACACTTGTGGCATTTAAGAGAGAAATGGCTGGGGGAGATATGGGTAAAAATGTGAGCTAGTGGGGCCATTACCTCAATAAGCAGGCATCCCTGAGTGAGAATGGACTGGAGACTTGAATCTGCACTTCCCTCAGTTACTGTCCATGCCTCTGGGCACAGCCTGTCTCTCACTCGAGCTCCCGAGCCTTCTAGGTGTGAATTTTGTATTTAGAGATATTGTTGTTAGGTATAAATGGCTCTTTTAAAACACAAACCAACCATCCCTTAAGGGCTTGGGGAAGAATAAGCAATGTGTTTTAACAGTAGAAGAAAATCTATGTTGAACTGTGAGAGCAGAACTACACTATCTTCAGATCTTCACAAGGGAATTTCAAGGGTCGTTTGGATTATACTTTAGTACATGCTCTCTGGGTAAACTGGGTCTCAACTTGGCTTGGACCACCCAAATATAATGTGCTACCTCTCTAAGAACTGCAGCCACATGCATAACCTATCCCCCTCAGAATGCCCTATGACACTCACATAACATTAGGAAGGTAGAGTAACAAATTCTTGCTCTTATATAAGTCTAGTTGAATTTTTAAATGTGTTTTCATTGGTTGAGGCTATGAAAATCCAAAATGCCCTACTAGGCTGTGGCTGTACTGGCAAGCAGAGATCTTTTCTCCCCTGGCCCCCTTATCTTGCAAGATGCCCACACCTTCCTGAATGTGGTAAACAAGTTCTGGGTGAGTTCTCTTATGCTGACAACCCTTAGACGTTAGTGAAACCCTCTGGAGTCCTTGAGAATGTATGTGAGGGAACATTCAAGTAGATAACCAGAGATGTTGGTTAAAAAACAAAACAAACAAACAAACTGGGTCCCAGCCACCCGCTCCATCCTGCCCCTTTGGACCCACCCTGGGTTGGTGTGGGGGAGACTGGGCCCTATCCCAGATTAACTGAGAATTTCTGGAGATGGGCCAAGGTGTTGGTATTACTTAAAAGCTCCCCAGGGGATTACAATAAAACCGAAGGTTGAGAACCATTGACATATATTATCCCAATACATCCTCTTAGCCATACTGTCAAATAACTTGGATCAAGTCAAAGCTAGTGAATAACAGCAAGTTGGTGATAGTGAAAAACAGCAGTTTCCAGTCTCCAAGTGAATGTTTTCCCTGACTACACAGTAAACAGTTATCTCTGAATTAGTTCAACTTATCAACTCTGCCGATGGTAATCAAGGGTGAAGCTCAGATCGTTGGGTATCCTATACCATCATGGTACATTAGGGGCAGGGGACAGTGCAGGGAGAGAGGCCACATTTGAAAAGGAAGAAAATTCCAGAATTCCCAAGTGTTCTATTTCTGAAGGGAGAATCACTATTCTACTAGTTATCCAGGCCCCCAAATCTCGGAATTATCCTTGAGTCCTACTTTTCATATAATCTCTATGTGCAACAATTTCTGTGTATTCTTTGTTTGAAATATTTTTCTCTTCCTCTTCTTTCTCATTGCCACCATCCAAACCAAGGCCTGTATCACTTCATTTCTAAATTATTAAATTGAATGCTCAATGAGGCTCACTGGCACCAGACTTTCTTCTCATCAATCCACCTTGCTCACTCTTTCTAAACAAATCACTCTAAAAGTGTTTCCATCGTTTCTCTGCAGTCTTCCAAAATCTTCATTGGTTCCTAATGCCTAAAATGTCCAAACCCCATACTCTTCCACAATCTAGCCCATACTCCCCCTCCAAATCTGTTCCGCATGAATCCTTCTAGTCTAACTACTCACTGCTGCTTAGACACACCAAGCACATCTTCAGCACACACGGTGCCTCCTGTGTTGGAAAGAGCTTTAAAGTGGGATGATTCTGCATTCTGATCCCCATTCTGGGTAAGACTGCAGAGTTATCTAATCCATCTGAGCTACAGTTCTTCCTTTGCCACAGTTGAATAACAATAGTGATTCCATACAATGGTTGTGGGGATTAAAGAGTGAAGGGGTACAATGATACAAGAGGATATGGTGGATATTGGACATGGTGAATATTGTTACTACTTTGCTTGCTTACACAAGTTCCCTAACTAGTAGTGACCCCTGTTCCCCTTTCTTCCTGGGCTGGGTATGAATATACTGTCTTTCATCTCCAAACCACTACTCAGTGCTCAGCTCTGGCCATTTGGCTGAAGCTGCAAACCATATTTCTGCTTTGCCAGCCACTTCTTGGTCGGCTCCTCAAGAAGATGTCAGAGGGGACTACAAGGCTGGAGGAGGAGAAAGAGAGGGGATGTGCTCTGTCTGCTGGATGTTCCTGTCTGTTATTTCAGCAACAGTTCCTCCTGCAGCAGAAGCAGGTTCTAGTTTACAGTTTTCTCTCACCCTCCAGACCAGCCTCATTGTGGCTTTAAGAGACACCAACACCATCAGGCCAGGACTGCCACCTTAGCTCCAATTTCTAATTTCAAAAAATCCCAACCTCTTCCCTCTGTTCTACATCTAAAAGTGCTAGCTGCTTCCTGCACCTCCTATTTCTGCAATAGCCCAGGGTTCCCTTGATGTTCTCCAGTTCTCTATATTGAATTGTCCGTTTCTGTAACTGGTGTGTTTCCTGACCAGGTCCTGGCCGGTCCACTTCCTGTTTCCCCTCCTCTGTGGGGGAATACACTCTGCAACTGGATACACACCTCCCTGCAAGAAGGTCTCCATGGCCACCCCATCCTCTGAACTCTACAGACCCTCAGACTCACCACAGAGCTGGCATGAACCTCAGAAATGCATTTCTTTTCTTTTCTTTCTTTCTTTCTTTCTTTTTTTTTTTGAGACGGAGTCTTGCTCTGTCGCCCAGCCTGGAGTGCAGTGGCATGATCTCAGCTCACTCCACCTCCCAGGTTCAAGCAATTCTCTGTCTTAGCCTCTTGAGTAGCTGGGATTACAGGCACCCACCACCACGCCTGGCCTGCTACCACGCCCAGCTAATTTTTGTATTTTTAGTAGAGGTGGGGGTTTCATCATCTTGGCCAGGCTGGTCTTGAACCCCTGACCTCGTGATCCACTCACCTCGGCCTCCCAAAGTGCTGGGATTATAGAAGTGAGCCACCGCACCCAGCCGAATTTCTAATATGACTCTCTTGTCTTGCACTTGAAGAGGCTGAGTTTCAGAAGTTACCGTCAAAGGCACAGCCTCCACCTGTGCCTGCCTTCGAAGACAAGCTGCCCACGTGGACAATTCACTAAGAACTCAATCTTCTGAGGCTCTGAAGCACCTCTTTAAGTACCATCTAAAGTATCATCCAACTGATGCTGTTCAGCTAGGCACCTTTCTAAAGGAACACAACTGTGAGTCACTGGGCTCCACAGAGGACTTGGTCCTATATGAACACCGTGTATGTGGGCGTGCAGAGAAGACTCCAAATAAAGTCTGGTGAATGAACTATTTAATCCAGAACTTCGAGCATGCAGAAAGGATGTCCATGCTCTCATATGTTCTAGATTATTGCTAGCAAGGACCAACACCTGTATCCAATAACATCTGGGAAGTGTAGTTTTATGACCTTCATAGATGCTGAAAGGTCTTCTGAGTTGTTTTCTCTTTAGATGTAACAAAACAGAAGCTTTACTAGAATTTTATAGGAATACATATCCTATTCACTAGACAAGAAGTGCATGTAAATTCACAGCACAGTTATATCAGGTGATGTTTCCTCACTGACAGAATTTAATATTAAAAGTTATAAATAAAGTCTCAATGGGACAAAACATTTTAAAGAGGTTGCCCAGTTTTCAAATTTCCTTCCATAAATTTGGCTGCAATGTGATAACCTCACATTATGCAAAGGGAGTAACTAACCCAATGAGATGTTTTTTCTGTCAGTTACCAGGGCTGTGCAGGGCTGTGTCAGTCTGACACAGGGACCACGTCTAGGACTCAGGGAGTGTGACCTGATCCTTGTCGCCTCCTCTGCAGAGCCTGCCTTCAAAAGAAGGTAGTCTCCGCCTTGGGATCAATTTGTGAAACAAGTCCTGTCAATGTGCAGCTGCTGGAGGGATGGAAAGAGTGGGGACTGAAGGCTGCCACACAAGCAGGCTGCTCTCGCCAAAGGAAGGCAATGGAGGATCAAGTGAAATGTGTTAAAATGTAACTTTGGCCTATGCTTCCTAATTTCTTTATATTGATTTGGAAATTTTCATGGAAAATGAATTTGGGGGGCTCATATTAGCCAGATAATTAATTTCTTTCTCTGCTTTATTTTTTCTTTTGAATTGTTGCCAGCCTTAGAATTGAAGAGTAAGTGTCCAGGTGACCAGAAAAGCATATGGAGAAAAGATTGAATGCAAACATGTACTAAACACACTATGTGCCAGACACTGGGGGAAGCACTGAGTAGCCTATGGCAGAGGTAGGCTGCACATTAGAGTCACCTGAGGAGTATTTTTAACAACCCAAAGCCCAGGTTACACTCCATACCAATTAAATCAGAATGCCTGGGTGGAGCAATAGTTTCCGCAGATTCCCCAGGTGATTTCAATGTACCATGGAGACTGGGAACAATTGATCTAGGCCCTAGGGGGAAAGAGAGTGAACTTTGGAATAAAGCCGACCTGGGTTCATATTCCAGTTCTATAGCTTCAGGCTGTATCATCTTAAGGAATTTAAACCTGGCAGGGTGTGGTGGCTCACGCCAAGGCCGAGGCAGGTGGATCACGAGGTCAAGAGATCAACACCATCCTGGCCAACAGGGTGAAACCCCATCTCTACTAAAATACAAAAAATTAGCTGGATGTGGTGGCGGGTGCCTGTAGTCCCAGCTACTCGGGAGGCTGAGGCAGGGGAATTGCTTGAACCTGGGAGGTGGAGGTTGCAATGAGCCAAGATTGCACCATTGCACTCCAGCCCCATGACAGAGTGAGACTCCATCTCAAAAAAAAAAAAAAAAAAAGAAATTTAGACCTTTTGAGTCTCAGTATCTTCCTTAGCCAATGTGGATATCAATATCACTCTGAAAAAATAACAATACAGTCATGCGTCGCTTAACAATGGAGATACAGTTGGAGAAACATGTCCTTAGACAATTTTCTCTTATGCAAACATCATAGAGTGTACTTACACACACCTAGAGGGCATAGCCTACTACATACCTAGGCTGTGTGGTACAGCCAATTGCTCCTAGGCTATAAGCCTGTACAGCATGTGACTGTACTGACTACTGCGGGCAATTGTAACACAAGGATAACTATTTATGTATCTAAATATAGAAAAGATACGGTAAAAACAGTCTTATAATCTTATGGGGCCACCATTGTATATACGGTCCACGGTTGACCAAGACATTATGTGGTGCATGACTGCAACCATTTACAATTCAAGGCAGGATGAATGAGGAACTAATGGTAGTGCAGTATGGGAGAGACAAGAGGAGCAAGCTAGTTCTGTCCAGGAGCATCAAAGAATGCTTCTCAGAAGAGTGGCGATCCATCTGAGCTTTGACTTATGAGAGCTTTCGGATGGGCAGAAAATGAAGAGAAAAATCTTCCTAACTGAAGGAACAGTAAGTGGAGGCATGGGAAGAAAAACAGCAGGTTCAGGGATCAGTGGGGAGACTCCTGTGGCAGGAGCCAAGGGGCTTGGAGGTATGGGGGGGGAGATGTGTCAGGGACACCATGGAGCCCTTGGGTCCCCTCCCAGGAGCCAGGGCCTTTCCCTTTACATGGTGAGAAATCAGTGCAAAGTCGGCGATGGAAATGTTAGGACTAAACCCGTGTTTTAAGGTTGAAAAGAGGGGAGTTTGGAGGCAGACAAGCCAGGCAGAGGGTCATGGGAATG
Organism: Homo sapiens; assembly: GCF_000001405.40. Lineage (NCBI taxonomy): Eukaryota > Metazoa > Chordata > Mammalia > Primates > Hominidae > Homo > Homo sapiens. Next base: position 117,252,037 of record NC_000007.14, on the reverse strand, counting down.
AATCAGGCATGGATCAGGGAGGGGAGTTAGGCCCTGAATTGCAGAATGGGTGCAGAACTTTCCGGCCATCTGGCACTAGGAGCTACTGATTCACTTTGGGAATTCAACCGCCAACATTTCTGTGTGCATGGCTGGTTGGTGATGTCATTTACACAGACAGGGGCTTTTTAGGGGAAAGACATTGAGTTCAGTTTGAAACTGGAGCAAGATGTCAGATAGGCAGTTGAAAATGTAGCTCAGCAGCTCAGCAGCTCAGCAGCTCAGCAGGGATGGGGGTAGCGTCAGGAGGCGGTGGGTGGGAGAGAGTGAAACAGTGAAGGGACCCTCCAGAACCACATAAGAACTTTGAGAGAGGCCTCCATTTATGGTGGCAAAGGAAGACACGGACCAGAGAGCTTGGAGAAAACCCTCTCCAGACACTCAAGAAAGAGTGTCGCAGAGGATGAAGGAGGAGAGTTCCCAGGGCTTGGTGGTCAAATTCGAACTGGAACACGGGCAGTCATCCTTTTCCCTTAAAAAACAAATCCATAAAAGCAAGCTTGGTGGTATTAAAAAAATAATAACAACAACAAGAATTAGGGCCTGTCAGAACAGAGTTTGGAGGATTAAAGAAGGAATGTGTGAAGAGATACCAGAGGCAGAATGATGCTCAAAAGCCCTAAAGAAGGGAGTGAGTAGGAAGACGCTGAATGGCAGGCTAAGGGAGAAGCAAGATTGAAGAGGGCTGGTTTCTAGGAAAACATTGGACTATTTAATTAGGTCAAGGAAAAGGGTGCCTGGACATGGAGATGGTAGAGAAAGAGACGAAAAATGGGATGTGTTAAGATCTTGGAGCAGATTGGAGCCAAGACAGTAAGAGTGCAGATAGAAGGAGAACTTAGGCTTGGAAGAAGAAAATGGAGATCAGGATTTCTTGAAGGATTAGTAAGATATTTTCAAGTGGCATTAAAGGCCCAGCTTCCTAAAAATAACATCTAGGCTTTGGAAATGAAGCAGTGATAAGAGGATGAGTCTATAGTTTGGCTTTGGGAATGGAGTTCAAAAATCAAAACAAAATGAGCTCATGACTGGGAAAGTATTTCCTAAGCTCTAAAATACGAATCATTTTGTAATGTATTGTTTTCATTCTTTTTGAAATGGATGGGTGGAGGGACTGTGGGGCTGATGGGGGACGTGAACCATCCACGTGGACCCTGACATTGCCCGGGATGATGGCAAGGGATACAAAGGGAGAGTTTCTGTGTTTATCAGGGAACCTGGAAAAGGGTCCAGATATCAATGGATGACAGGAAAGAGGAAGATATATCCCCTTGCTTCACATGGGCCTGCAAAGAAGGATGGTTGTTTAACAAAAGTGTTGCAGGGACATCTGGGTCACAGCACTGTGCAGTGAGAGGGAATGCTCACCCTTCTTTCAGGACTTGGGAGAACAGTCTCTACCTGATAGGTCTGGAAGGCAATGTAGTCAACAAGAATGTTCAAGAAGCCTGGGCAGGGTGGCTCATGTCTATAATCCCAACACTTTGTGAGGGCATTTGCAATCCAATCACTTTGGGAAGCTGAGGAGGTTCATTTGAAGCCAAGAGTTCAAGACCAGCCTGGGCAACATAGCAAGACCCCATCTCTAAAAAAAAAAAAAAATACAGTTGTGTGTGCCTGTAGTCCTAGCTACTTGGGAAGCTCAGGTAAGGGGATTTCTTGAACCCAGAAGTTTGAGGCTTACAGAGAGTGAGCTGTGATCACACCACTGTACTCTAGCCTGGGCAACAGAGTGAGACCCTGTCTCTTAAAAAAAAAATTCAAGAAAGCCTCTTTTGATGGCAAGAAAGAGAAATCCACTCAAAATGGCACAAGAAAGGCAGCTGATTGTAAGGATATAAAGATCCGACAGAATCCTTGGTCAGGAAGCAAGAGCAGTTGGGCTTTAAATGAACTGGCATTTGTTTCTAGAAAGATGTTGGAAACCAAGGGAGCTACTTTTCCCTCTTCACCCTCTGGTGGCCCCTCTGCTCTTCTTCAAGGATCTGCTTCCTCTTCCTCTCTTTCAGCCTTTTCCTTCACTTGTTTAAATTTCACACAGCCCAACACAACTTCTGCCTCCTTACTCTCCATCACGACTCACGCTTCACTCACTCTGTGTCTCCTTCTCACTTCCCCAGTTCAGTGAGCAGGAAACTGAGCACTCCTCACCGGCCATGCCAAGGGCCTCTCGCTGGCCTCTGGATTGTTTGCCCAGAGCTCAGGTGTCTCTTCTGGCCCCGTCCAGGGCAGCTTCCTAGGGTTTCAAGACCACTCAGGAGAGGCTGGAGTAGAGGACAGAAATGTTGGGCACATGTAACTTCAAGGAAAGAAAAGATGTTATTAAATTCCAGACGGAGTGGGTATAGGAAGTCATGCTTAGGAAATCCACAGTGGTAAAGACCAGTAGGAAGATGGGCAGAGGACAGAAAGCCCACAGAGGAAAATAAAAGAATCTGGATGGCAGGAGCTACCTCATGAGTTGTCATAAGTCATCAAAGAGGAAGGGGGTGGGATACAGCCTGGAAGGACAGGATAAAATGTGTGCAAGCCCTGGGCACCTGCCAGTCCACGTTAACCCCCAGGCTCCACTCACAACCTCCAGGGAACCAACTGGCCCTACCCTGGGGCGCAGTCTGGCTGAAAGCCCCAGACCTGAACAGAAGCTGGCACGATAGAATTAGTGAAGCCTTTCACATTTTCCTTCTTAGAGGAGGAAAGATGCCAAGTAGAGAAGACCTGGTAAAAAAATTCTCAAGATTCAAAAAATCAGGGAAAGCAGTCTGGGGAAAAGCTGAACTAAGGCCAAACAAGAACTCGGTTGTCCTCCCAGTGTAAAATGGTAAGTCAGCCATGGGTCCTGATCCTCACTTGTGCTTGGGAATGACCCACACAAATTCAGAGGTTTAACTCATTGCAGCTGCATTGCCAGAAGTCCTGGAGCCAGCGTTCCCCAGGCATGGCCAGTGGGTTGCCCAGCATGTCTGCCTGTAGCAGCCAGCTTTCTCAGAGCCGGGATGTTGTCACGTGACTGCTTGTTTCACAGAGTTAGTGCTTCCAAACATGCACACATAAACAGGATGGGATGTGTGGAGGCAGGAGTAGGGGAGAGAGAGGCACACTGGTGATGTAAACACAGTGTGTGGAAGGAATGAGGGGTGAAGCAGGACAGAGAAGATATCGGTCTGGAAAATGCACAAAAGGGAACACAATGGTGCTTGAAACACTGTCCATTTCCCAGTAAAAGGGACCAGAGCTTCCTTTAGGGGCAAAGAAAGTACTAAATAAGCTCAGAGCATCTTGCTGTACCAGAAAGCAAGAAAGTGATCAAAGAATGATGGGACATGTCAGAAGGACACAGAGCCAGACACAAGGGCTCCTCTGGCCAAATATGACACAGCGTGAGCCTCAAAACAAATAACGATAGTAGCAGATTTTGAATAAAATAGGAATTCATTAGTCCATTCAGATACAAATAAACACACTAAGAAATGGAAAGTTAGGTGAGGAATGGGATATTTAGATAGTTTCCAAGTTCCTCCTTACAAAATACTTATTAATTACAAGGGCGGAGGGGGAAGAGACACCTGGCAGAGACACCTTAATCAAGTGGTCAGTCTTCATTGCCAGGAATTCTGCAAATTGAAAATGTATGTTACCTGATAGCACGCATGGAGAAGAACACAGATTACTTTTGGGATTGTCCTGAGAAAGACACAAAACTTGAATCTAATCATGAGGAAATATCAGACAGGCCCAAACTGAGAAACATGCTACCAAATAACTGATCCTGAATCTTCAAAAAATGTTAAGAATTTGAAGATCAAGAAAGACTGGGGGTTGGTTTCAAAGTGAAGAAAAGTGAAGGCACATGACTACTGAATGCTCTGTGTGATTCTGAAGTAGATCCTTTTGCCCTGAAAGACAGTATTAGGACAATTGGAGAAACTTGCATGAGTTGTGGGGGGCGGTGAGGTCGTGCTTGCTGTCAGTGTCCTGGTTTTCATGGTTGCACTGTGGTTAGGTAGGGGAATGTCTTTGTTTGTTGGAAATGCACACTGACGTATTTGAGGGTAATGGGGCATCACGTCAGCAACTAAACTCAAAAAAAGGTTTTAGGGTTTTTAAACTACACTAACAACTTTTGTTTGTTTCAAAATGTCTTTGAAAACCATAAAGTATAAAAAAGTCAGTCTCTCTGTTTTCCCTTAAACGGAGTTTTGTTTTAGAACGTTAATGGGTTGAATGGGAGGCCCCAGCAAAGTCTGTCCACATCCCCAAACCTGTGAGTGTGAGCTGCTTTGGAAGAAGCGTCTTTGCATATGTGATCAAGTGAAGGATCTCTAGATGAGATCACCCTGGATTATCCAGATGGACCCTAAATCCAGTGACAAATGTCCTTGTGAGAGACACACAGAGGGGAAGATGTGAAGATGGAGGCAGAGATTGGAGGGATGCAGACTTAAGCTAAGGAATGCCTGGAGCCACCAGAAACTGGAAGAGGTGAGGCAGGATTCTTCCCTACAGCCTTTGGAGGGAATGTGGCCCTATTGACACGTTGATTTTGGACTTCATGCCTCCAGAACTGTGAAAGAGTAAATTTCTGTTGTTTTAAGCCACGCAGTTGGTGGTCATTTGTTACAGCAGCCCAAGGAAGCTAATATAACATACTCATCTCCTTTCACTTCACTGGAAATATGGAAAGCTAGGTGAAAACCAAAAAAAAGATGGCTTTGGATGTCCTCATGATTTTAGGCTATCAGAGCCAGAAGGAGAACATTCATTCACCTTCTCAACAGAGCATGCTGCTCTGTGGGAAAACAATTTCATCTGGTCACAGTGCCACCAAATACTCATCTGACCTCACCATTGACACTCAGAGTGCCTAAGCTCTAGGCTTGTTGGGACTCTTGAAGGGAGCTGTTCTCAACGAGGAGTGATTTTGATCCCTAGGGGACATTTGACAATTTCTGGGGCATTTGTGGTTGTCATAACTGTGTGGGATGGGGTTTGCCACTGAAACTGAGTGGATAGAGTTCAGGAATGGTGTTAAATATCCTATAATGTACAGGACAGCCCCTCACCACAAAGAAGTATCTGCCCTAAAATATCATTAGTGATGAGTCTGAGAAACCCTGTCCTAAGGGAACAACTTCTTTTTTTTTTTTTTTTTTTTTTTTTTTTTTTTTGAGACGAGGTCTTGCTCTGTTGCCCAGGCTGGAGTGCAGTGGCATGATCTTGGCTCACTGCAACCTCTGCCTCCGGGGTTCAAGCGATTCTCCTGCCTCAGCCTCCTGAGTAGCTGGGATTACAGGCATGTGCCACCATTCCCGGCCAATTTTTGTATTTTTAGTAGAGACAGGGTTTCACCATATTGGCCAGGCTGGTCTCAAGCTCCCGACCTCAGGTGATCCACTCGCCTCAGCCTCCCAAAGTGCTGGGAATACAGGCATGAGCCACTGCACCCAACCTGGGAACAACTTCTTTCTAAAAGAATCTTGACACTTCTCTGTCAGGGTAGGAAAACAAGAAGAAAGAAGGAGGCACTCCACAAACCCTTCTGGACTATTTTCTATAATTATTATTGTGGTAAGAACAGATAACATGAGATCTATCCTCTTCAGCACAATGTCCTATAGCCGAACTTACTTATCTTGCATAACTGAAATTTTGTACCCATTGAAGAGCAACACTCACTTCCCCCTCCCCAGCCTCTGGCAACTACCATTCTACTCTCTGCTTCTGTTGGCTACTTTAGCTACCTCACATAAATGGTGGAATCATGCAATATTTGTCCTTCTGTGACTGGCTTATTTCACTTAGCATAATGTCCTCAATGCCCATCCATGGCAGGATTTCCTTCTCTTTATGGCTGAATAATATTCCATTGTATGAATATAGGATATTTTCTTTATCTGTTTGATATGGTTTGGCTGTGTCCCCACCCAAATCTCATCTTGAATTCCCACATGCTGTGGGAGGGACCCGGTGGGAGGTAATTGAATCATGGGGGCAGGTCTTTCCTGTGCTGCTCTCATGATAGTCAGTAAGTCTCATGAGATCTGATGTTTATTATAAGGGGGAGTTTCCCTGCACAAGCTCTCTCTTTGCCTGCTGCTATCCATGTAAGACGTGACTTGCTCCTCCTTGCCTTTCACCATGATTGTGAGGCTCCCCCAGGCATGTGAAACTGTAAGTCCAATTAAACCTCTTTCTTTTGTAAATTGCCCAGTCTTGGGTATGTCTTTATCAGCACCATGAAAACAGACTAATAAACACCATTCATCTGTTGATGGACACAGGTTATTTCCACATTTTGAATATTGTGAATAATGCTGCAATAAACATGGGTGTGCAGATATCTCTTTGAGGTCCTAGTTTCAATTCTTTTGGATAAACACTAAGAAGTGGGATTGCTGGGTCATATAGTGACTCTATTTTTAATTTTTAAAGCAAGCTCAAAACTGTTTTCCATAGTGGATGCAGCAATATACATCTCCACCAACAGCATACAAGTTTTCCAATTTCTTCACATCCCCACCAACACTTACTTAAATTGTCTTTGATTAAATTATCTTTTGATTTTTTCTTTGATAAGGCCCATCCTAACAGGTGTGAGGTGAGATGTCATTGTGGTTTTGAATAATATTTCCCTGATGATTAGTGATGTTGATGTCCTTTTATATACCAGTTAATCATTTGCACATCTTTTTTGGAGAGGTTTTTATCCAAGTCATTTACCCATGTCTTAATCAGGTTATTTGGTTTTTTGCTATTAAGTTGTAGGGATTCCTTATATATTTTAGATATTAACCTCTTATTAGATGTATGGTTTGCAAATATTGTCTCCCATTCTGCAGGGTGACTTTCATTCTAGTTTCCATTGCAGAGATAGAAGCTTTTTAGTTTGATATAGTTCTTCTCATCTATTTTTGCTTGTGTTGCTTGTGCTTCTGTCATAATACCCAAGGAATCATTGCCAAGACTAATGTCATAAAGTTTCCCCCTATGTTTTGTTCTAGGAGTTTTATAATTTCAGGTCTTATGTTTAAGTCTTTAATCCATTTTAAGTTAATTTTTATATGTAATATAAGAAAGGGGTCAAATTTCATGCTTTTGCCTGTGGATAACCAGTTTTCCCAACACCATTTGTTGAAGAGACTACCTTTTCCCCATTGTGTATTCTTGGCAATCCTGTGGAAGATTAGTTGACCATATATTTATTATTGGGCTTATTTATGGGCTCTATATTCTGTTCCATTGGTCTATTATGTCTGTCTTTATACCAATACCATGCTGTTTTAATTACTGTTGCTTTTTAATATATTTTTAAATCAGGAAGTATGATGCCTTCAGCTTTGCTCTTCTTTCCCAAGATTGTTTTGGCTATTCGGAGTACTTTGTGCTTCCATATGCATTTTAGAATTGTTTTTCTATTTATGTAAAAAATAGCATTGGGATTTTGATTGGGGATTATACTAAATTTGTAGATTGCTTTCAGTAGTATGCACATTTTAACAATATTAAGTTTTCTAATCCATGAACACAGGATGTCTTTTATATTATTTGTGTCTTTTTAAATTTCTTTCATCAATGTTTTCAGCATACAAGTCTTTCACTTCCTTGGTTGTTTAGATAGTTTATTCTTTTTTTTTTGTTTTGTTTGTTTGTTTGACAGAGTCTCACTCTGTCACCCAGGCTTGAGTACAATGGTGCAACCTCGGCTCACTGCAACCTCCGCCTCCCGGGTTCAAGCGATTCTCCTGCCTCAGCCTCCCAAGTAGCTGGAGTTACAGGCACATGCCATCACGCACAGCTAATTGTTTGTATTTTTTTTTAGTAGAGACAGGGTTTCACCATGTTAGCCAGGCTGATCTCAAACTCCTGACCTCAGGTGATCCGCCTGCCTCGGCCTCCCAAAGTGCTGGGATTACAGGCTTGAGCTACCATGCCCAGCCTATTCTTTTTGATGCTACTATAAATGGGATTGTTTTCTTAATTTGGATAGCTTCTTTTTGACCTCCTGGACTATTTATGTCTTCCAGTTCCAGAAGTCTGTGGTTTGCAGTAGGATATGGACTATGGATGAGGTGTGGAAAAACAAGCAAAGAGCTGGGATTTCTAGCCTCAGACCTCCTCTTCTAGCTGGTCTCTTTCCCACTCACACATGGAGAGAATTTTCAAAAAGTGGCTATGGTAAATTGGCTCTGAACACACTTGATGAAACATTTCGTTTCTAACTACTGAACTACAGTGTGCAAAGAGTGTCAGGGCCCCAGCCATGCACCCTGAGGGTTTTAGTTCTTCCACCATTCAACCCAGGGAAGAAAACACATCTAGAGCTCTAACCACCCGTCTCTCCCGCCCTCCTTCCTCCTTCCATTTTCCTTCTGCTCAGCATCTACTGACCACACCAATGCAAACATTGTGCTAAACACTGGGAATGAAAAGATGAATAAGTACATAACTAATAGAAGGAACAGAGAGAGACATTAAAATAGGAAGTGTTGAGTGCTGTAACAATGGTATCAACAGAGGGAGAACTTTTTTAAAAATTTCCTATACTTGACAGGGCAAATCAAATCAAATTTCAGGATTCATATGTTCCAGAGGGGAGAGGGAGAAAACAGCCGGAAAGATAAAGTTGAAACAAATATCTCAAAGCTTAGTTCAGTTTTCTCTCCTGTGGCAGAAAACTGATGTAGGATGAGTACGCCTCCTCGTTTTCAAAAACTCAGTGTGTTTCTTAGTATCTGGTTAGACCTCTTAGAATTAAGAGGCATCTAGAGATATTTTTGAAGGCAAATATACAAGTCTTGAAAATCTACATGTATAAAAATGTTTCCCACCGAGACCCAAAAGGAACTTACTGGTCTCACTGTGGATGCCATAGGGCCCCTTTGGTTTGGGGTTTTCAGTGGATATAATCACATTTGTCCCAGGCAAAGACATTAAGGACTGGGACAGCTGTCATGACTCAAATTCTCTGTTATTGGGATCATGTAGAAAAGGGAGGCAGATTTCCCAAAGGATCTTTTGAACTTGTCTTTGGCTGTGGTGGCCATTGATTAGGGGGCAGTCTCATTTGACATTGTGATTAAAACACCTACTTGCCAATACCTTGGCAATTTTTAAATGCTAGTATTTTCTGAAGTTCCAAGATCCTAGGCAAATATGGGCAAAGATGTTCAAAGGAGTTGATGAAGGGAAGGGGGGCACTTTGTAGCCCTTGCATATGAAAGCGCAATAACAGTGCCATTTGAATAGTTGATACCCCTTCCTGGTGACAGCTGCAGGCACATCAGAGCTGGGGACTGCTCAGCTAATTGAAGTGCCCTGTAGGTTCTCTTTGCCCTCAAGAACTTTTCTGATAAATAGCTCTTGACCAGCTCCTTATATGGCTACAGACAGCCCCAAGAGGCTGAGATGTATTTTGGACACAATCTGATTCTCATTTGTCAAGGGTCTCAGGCCTTCAGCTTTGCAGCCAAGGGAGACAGCAGTGGGCTCCAGAGACCCTTGTGCCCTGGCCCTGTTGCAGTCACTTTTCCTCTGAAGATTCCCCCTTATCTTAAAAAAGAGAGGTGCCTGGGGCTCGTCACATCGTGTTGGGCAATGGCTAAGATAATCTGAGAGAAAGTATGAGGGGGAAATCAGAACTGGCAAAGTTGCACAGGAGGAAAGTGGCTCTTGACTCATTCACCTTTTGAGAGCCTTTGGGGCCCACTGAGAATCATTTCACAAGCCCCCTTGGGTATGACATACAGGCTGTCTATTTCTGCTTGTTTACTACTTAGAAGAGCCGCACCAGAGGAAAGTGTTATTGGCGCTGCCTGGCATCTGCCATGTGAAGACTGTATCTGGAGACGGCACATGAGGACTTTGTCCCAAGGACTGTGGACCTTGCCACAGGCCACAAGCATGATGAGAACATTGGGTTTTTTTCTTGATCACTGAGGAACTGGATGAAACCCAATGCATAATATATGTTAATTGAATGAATGAATGAAACAAAGAAGCTGGTGGCTCATGAGAGCCTTATGCTTGGATCCTGCAGCAAATGGAAATAAAACTAGGTTGTCATGGTTGATTCTGTTGAAGTAACTAAAAGGATGACCTCCCACGGAATCCCTGAAACTGTCTGTTAATGACCCTACAACACAGATGGTCAAGAGCATGATAGCCACAGAAGACAAAAACTCATTTTGATGTTCATGTTGCAGAAGGAAGGATATTTTGGCTTTTTTCCAAGGATCTTGATGGTTTCTGGCATCCCACATCCCCTAGTCAGGGTGTCCACTCATGTGCCAAACCAGTGCCAGCCCCTGGAAGGCTGCATGCACTCTGTCAAACAGCTGCCCCTTCTCACCTCCCCTCAAGAAACTCTAGAGCAAGAACACATTCTACCTTCCCCAGGTAGACTTTTCTTACTGGAGGGCACATCTTCCCTGAGGAGTATAAAATAGGAGGGGAAAATACTTCCAGGGAAAACAAGAAGCGGGAATGGAACAGACAACCCTTTCGGGCTCCACTCATGGCAGCCCATATTTAATGTGGAACTGGAACTGTGGAGTGAGAGCTATTTGGAAACATATACCCAGGAGTGGTGCGAGCTGTAATATATGAACTGACATGTAATATACTTAACATCACATTGCAACCAGGGGAGCTATTTTTTAAGAATAAAACAATGAGAGAGAATAAATATCATTAATGCAGAATGAGTGACATGGGAATTCCCAAGGAACGGGGGATTTTCTGAATCTGACATCAGACTCTAATTCTGGAGAGACTATCTTAGTTGTCACTAACCTGTTTTTTAAAAAATAATGTAACATGTAATTTGTTAGATATAAGATCCAAAGGCCTTGGGTGGTGAGAGGGTTCCTGAAAAGCCCACTTGGCGGGGTTTCCACTTGGTGTTGCTCTCGGAAGAGTGGTCGTGACTGACTGGTCACCACAGCCAAAAAGCCAGCTCTTAACAGGCGCCCTCAGGAACAGTCACTGGCTTTTTCTTGGATGTCTGGAGAGAGAACAGAACACATGAATTATGACAGCTGCCCCAGTCCTTAATTTCTCCACTTTGTTCTTCTGCGTAGGTGTCCATGGGCGGTTAGAAGGCCCCAGGGCCTTCCTGGGGGTCCATGGCCCACATTCAAACCCAGCACCAAGGGGCCTTCTAAGCAGGTAGGGAGTGGGCGCAGAGCACACGATGCCCAATCAGGAAGCACAGCCACGCTTCGCTGTTGGATGCAGCCAGGGATTCCTCTCGGAATTCTGTCTGGCAGGTCCCCACCTGGTCAGGATGGATGAGACACTCAGAATGACCACACTACACATCTTGTATGTGGAACCCTTCTTTTGGTCAGCATTGGTCTAGTCCTGTTTTCCAAAATGAATGCTGTGAGATGTTAAAAGTCTTCTTTATAAAAGGAGAGAATGCCCCATGATCTAATTGGGAGGAGAAGTGCTAGGTTAAACAGGATTCTTTATTATGAGATTTTTCAGGGTCTTTGAGATGGGGATTTTCCAAGAGAATGGTAAAGTTTGCAGTGCATCACTCAAAAGGCATTTCTCTGGACTAACGTTTCTCAAAACCCATTGTGGGAACCCTGGTCTATATTCATTAGGGGAGCCTCTTCCTGTTTTGAGTCCACAGCATTACACTTGTTTTTATGCTTAAACCATCTAATCTAGGAAAATTAGTTCCTGATCTCCTGGAACAATACACATGGCTGGAACATGAAGAAAAATGTCCATCTTGTCTTTTGAGATCTGTTCAGCTCTGCACCTTTCTGGGGCATTTGAGGGGCAGTGTTCCCTGGCGCACTTTCCCAGAGGTTGAAGATCCGCCAAGGAGTAATCTGCTTCCAGCTAAAGAGACTGGGTAGGTAGGGAGTGGAGACAGGTGTGTGACATCCCTCAGCAATCCTGCAAAGTGGCCAGGGCCCAGGACCTCACGGGCTCATGCCCACCTCCTGGACTCACTGCTTGTTCAGGGGGGATGATAGCATTAGTAGCAACTTTACAGAGTGGTTTGAAGGATTAAAACAGTTACACACATGTGATGGTTAATTTTATGTGTCAATTTGAATGGGCCACTGGTTGCCCAGATTAAGCACTGTTTTTGAGCATGTCTGTGGGGGCTGTTTCCAGGTGAGATTGGCATCTGGATAGGTGGACTCAGTAGGCTGCCTTCCCTCATGGGGGTGGCCATCATCCTGTTCACTGAGGGCCTGAATGGAGCAAAAGGCAGAGCACAGAGGAATTCGTCCCTTCTTTCCTGCCCGTGAACTCAGACATCCCATCTCATGTTCTCCTGCCCTTGAACTGGGGTGAACATCATTGGCTCCCCATGTTCTCAGTCCTTCAGCTTTCCTGGGTCTCTAGCTTGTGAGCCAAAGGGTGTGTGTGTGTGTGTGTGTGTGTGTGTGTGTGTGTGTGTGTGTATTAATATCTGCTATTGTTGCTGTTTCTCTGGAGAACCCTAACAAAGCAGATTGAGTACCTTGTACAGTATTGATATATGGATAGACACAATAAACATTAACAATTGTCATTTGGGTAGTGTGGAATAAGAAGAAAAAATATCTCCCAGATAAAACCTTATTGGCAAAGTTTGCACAAAGGTTCCTCACTCATTAAGCTGATGTTCCAGGAATAGAATACATTTCATTTCATTTTAACATTATTTCTCCCTGGACTTCTGTAGAACGATGCTCCCTTCTGGTCGAGTGCTGCCATCTTTCCTTCTCTTAGGATCTAGTCTGTCCTGCCTTCCTGCCAATATTTATTGTATTATATTCTAGAATAGAGAATGTCTAGTTCTAGATCATGAGGGAGTGAAGATGAATGTCACAACGTGGAACTCAAATCCCCTGTGGTCCAGAGGAGTAGAGCGGGAGAGAGACAAGGACAGGTACAAGTGACGCCCGGTGGGAAAGTATTACACTGAGGGTTCAGCTGGGAGGACCTGGCCATCGACCTGACATGCAAGAGGCCCTCAATACATTTCAGTTGAATGAGGGAATGAGTGAAAAAAGGAATCTAATTTGCACTAGATATGAAGGAGGTTGTCTGGTTTGTAGGGCATAGTATTTGTGAGATATTAATTCATATTTTCTCCTTGCATCCTTCTTTTTGCCATTTCAAGTGGGATTTTGGAGTTTGGAGCTCTTTATCCCAGAGAGTTGTCGAGGAGAAAAACAGAAGCAGCCTGGAAAAGCTTGTGGCTGTCGGAGGTGGGGGGCTGGGGGGATGGCCCCCACTGCCGAGACGGCCCAGGGTGTCCAGGAGGCAGGCTGGAGAGGTGAGAGGCATAACGGGGTGGTCTGTGGGCCTGCAAGTGGCATCCAGACCTCAGAAGAGGCAGCAGGGGACACACATGGGGAGCCTGGCATGGGGGGCCCGGGGGTCCTGTGGCCTGAGCATGCTGCAGAAGCAGAAAGCTGAGGACTTCAGGGATGCTGTGGGCCTGGATGATGCTATGCTGTCAGAGACACCTAGGATACAGGTGTCTGAAGGCACATCCGCTCTGGAGGTGGAGAGCATCCTGTTCAGGACTCACGTGACATTCCCTGCTGGCTTGAGGGGATGGGGCTCATAACAGGAAGGAGGTGGTTTTAAAGAACATTAAAACTATATATATATATATTCCTTGCACACTTCCTAAAATTGTAGCCTATGCCCCCTTCCCTGAACAAACATACACCATCTTGAGGCTTGCTTGCCCTTTTACAATGGCCAGTTGAGGTTTTCAATTCCAAAGATTTTCTTCCTAAGGTTGGTCACGCACAAGCCGAGGATAAATGGGACTGTGAAATTGACTTAAGCTGAATAGAACCAGAGACAAGCTGGAGAAGGAGGGGAAGAAAACTTCCTTCCTGTCTTCTTTGCTCCTGCTAAAGAATTATAGATATTGCTGTAAGGAGATATAGAGATTACCTGAAGTTCTCCTATTCCTCCAGCCTCTGTGGCTCTCCAGAATTTTCTTGATAGAGGGCCAAGCTGCCTCTGCTTGAACATTTCCATTTTGGCCAGTTCCTGTCTGCTCAGTCTGTTATCCCAGATCCTCAACATCCAGAACTGCAAGATGAGTTCCTTCAAACGCTGGTTTACACCTCCACACCCCCTTCCCCTTTTAAAATTTCAGTTCCTACTACAGCCAACTAGAGCTGTCACTACTGCAGAACAGAAGCCAAATAGGTGATGTGAACATCTTAGAGGCACCGCATGTCCCTCATTTTCAGCGCTTACTTGGGGTACTACGTTCCTGTGTTTACTCAGCTCTCCGGTGACCCAGCACACAGATTTGTTTCAGCTTGATGAAGTGCATGGTCATAGGACAAGAAGGAGAGGAACCAGGAGAAGAACAGTGGAAGGAACACGAACATGTTTTAAATACTTTAACTTGCCCTTAAAGTTTCACATGGAAAAAAGGTGTAATTAAAAAAAATAATTATAGAAATACTGACAGAAATGTAGAAGTAATGCCTGGATGTGATGTATCAGGGTTTACTGCACTTAGGGGCAGGCAGCTGAATACCTTTGATGTTTTCATTAGATATTGCAGAATTACATCAAAAATAAACTCACTGAAGTCAATAATTGGAGAACCAATTACTATTAAATGTCCAAAAGTGGTCACTCCTAAACAAAAAGAAGCCAAAACAGAAATTTCTAAATTTCTATAAAAGAATGACAAGGAGAACACTTTAATAGCAAAATGTACAAGACAAGAAAGCTACACTCGGAGAAGAATTGATTGGTTTAAGAACCTGCCTTTGAGAAATAAAATAAAAATGAACCAATTATTCACTTAAGGAAATTAGAAAAATTATAATTCTTATTAAAAAAGAGCAACTAGGAAGAATAAATACATAGATGAAAGCTGAAAAATAAAATATATGGCAAAAAGAATGGTTGAAGTAATTAGTAAATAAAGAACTTGTTTCTTTGAAAGAACAAAATAGATAAATCTTGTGAGGCTGATTAAAAGGAGAAAAGAGCAAAATTATAGAAAATTAGAAATGAGAAAAGAAGAATAACTAGAAATACAGATGAAATTAAATATATAAATTATGAACCCCTGTCTCTGTGAATAATGCATTCAACACATTTGAATGCATTATTTCCTATATAAGTATACAATCAACTGAACACAAAAAGAAGTGAAAAATTTGCATACACTGATCACCACAGAAGACAGTAAAAAAAAAATGCTCGAAAACCAACCGTTAAACCCTCAAAAAACTGGATATAGAAGAGAAATACCTTAACATAATAGCCATATACAAAAGACCCATAGATAGTATCATACTGAATGGGGAAAAACTGAAAGCCCTTCCTCTAAGATCTGGAACATGATGAGGATGCCCACTTTCACCACTGTTATTCAACATAGTACTGGAAGGCCTAGCTAGAGCAATCAAACAAAGAAATGAAGGGCATCCAAAATTGGAAAGAAAGAAGTCAAATTATCTTTGTTTGCAAATGATACGATCTTATGTTTGGAAAAACCTAAAGACTCCACCAAAAAAGCAGAACTGATAAACAAATTCAGTAAAGTTGCAGGATACAATATAAGCATACAAAAATAAGTAGCATTTCTATATGCCAACAGTGAACAATGTAAAAAAGAATTCAGAAAAGTAATCCCACTTACAGTAGGCAGAAATAAAATTATAATAAATTCCTAGGAATTAACCAAAGAAGTCAAAGCTCTCTATAATGAAAACTATAAAATACCAATGAAAGAAATTGAAAAGCACATCAAAAATGGAAAGATATTCCATGTTCATGGATTAGAAGAATCAATATTGTTAAAATGTCCATACTACCCAAAGCAATCTATGGATTCAATGCAAACCCTATCAGAATATCAATGACATTCTTCACAGACATAGAAAAAACATCCTAAAATTTATATGGAACCACAAAAGACCCAGAATAGCCAAGGCTATCCTAAGCAAAAAGAACAAAACTAAAGGAATCACATTACCTGACTTCAAATGATACTGCAGAGCTATAGTAACCAAAACAGCATGGTACCGGCATAAAAACAGACACATAGACCAATGGAACAGAATAGAGAACCCAGAAACAAATTTATACACCTAGAGTGAACTCATTTTCAACAAAGGTGCCAAGAACATACACTGGGGAAAAGACAGTCTCTTCAATAAATGGCGCTGGGAACATTAGATATCCATATGCAGAAAAATGAAACTTGACCCCTATCTCTTGCCATATAGAAAAATCCAATCAAAATGGATTAAAGACTTAAATCTAAGACTTCAAACTATGAAACTACTACAAGAAAACGTTGGAGAAAGTCTCTAGGACATTGGTCTGGGCAAATATTTCTTCAGCAATACCCCACAAGCACAGGTAACCAAAGCAAAAATGGACAAATGGAATCACGTCAAGTTAAAAAGCTTCTGCACAGCAAAGAAAACAATCAACAAAAGGAAGAGACAACCCACAGAATAGGAAAAGTATTTGCAAACTACCCATCTGACAAGAGATTAATAACCAGAATATATAAAAAGCTCAAACAGCTCTATAGGAAAAAAATCTAATAATCTGATCAGAAAATGGGCAAAAGATTTGAATAGACATTTCTGAAAAGAAGACATACAAATTGCAAGCAGGCATATGAAAAGGTGCTCAACATCACTGATCATTAGAGAAATGCAAGTCCAAACTACAATGAGATATCATCTCACCCCAGTTAAAATGGCTTATATCCAAAAGACAGCCAACAACAAATGCTGGTGAGGATGTGGAGAAAAGGGGACCCTTGTACACTGTTGGTGGGAATGTAAATTAGAATGACCACTAAGGATAACCATTTGGAGGTTCCTCAAAAATCTTAAAATAGAGCTACGATATAAACTAACAATCCCATTGCTGGGTATATACCCAAAAGAAAGGAACTCAGTATATCAAAGAGATATCTGCACTCTCATGTTTATTGCAGCACTGTTCAAAATAGCTAAGATTTAGAAGCAACCTACGTGTCTATAAACAGATGAATGAATAAAGAAAATGTGTTACTTATACATGATAAAGTACTATTCAGCCATAAAATTGAATGAGATTCCGTCATTTGCAACAACATGGATGGAACTGGGGCCATTAATGTTAAGTGAAATAAGCCAGACACAGAAAGACAAACATCACGTGTTCTCACTTATTTGTGGGATGTAAAAATGAAAACAATTGAACTCACGGACATACAGAGTAAAAGGATGGTTACCAGAGGCTGGGAAGGGTAGTGGGGGTTTGAGGGAGAAGGTGGAGATGGTAAATGGATAAAAAAAAATAGAAAGAATGGATAAACCTACTTGATAGCACAACAGGGTGACTACTGTAGTCAATAATAACTTAATTGTACATTTAAAAATAACTAACAACTAAAAAAGTATAATTTGATTTTTTGTAACACAAAGGATAAATACCTGAGGGGATGGATACCCCATTTTCCATGATTACTATGCAGCACATGCCTGTATCAAACATCTCATGTACCCCATAAACATATACACCTATGTACCCACAAAAATTAAAAATTAAAAAAAGTTTAAAAATCCACCATTAGAGCCTGAAAATCAGATGTTTCATGTCTTTTCCCTAATCCTGTAACGGCAGATAATGTCAGTGTTTATTTCAGGCCATATGAAGATATGGAAAGCTTCTCAATTCTTTTTAAAAACATTTTTAGAGACTGAGTCTCCCTCTGTCACCCAGGCTGGAGTACAATGGTGCAATCACAGTACACTGCAGCCTCCAATGCCTGGGCTCAAGGAACTTGTCCCACCTCAGCCTCCCAAGTAGCTGGGACTATAGGTGCACATCACCACACCCAGCTAAAATTTTTGAATGTTTTATGTTTTATTTTGTAGCCTTACTATTCTTGCCCAGGCTGATCTCAAACTCCTGGGCTCAAGAAATTCTCCTGCTTCAGCCTCTCAAAGTGCTGGGATTACCAGTATAAGCCACAGAGGCTGGTCTTCTCAATTCTTTTATAAAGCCATAATAATTTTGATGCTGGTAAGTACTGATAAAAGAAGTGTATTTGTCCATTCTCCCATTGCCATAATGAAATACCTGGCACTAGGTAATTTATAAAGAAAAGAGGTTTAATTGGCTCACAGTTCTGCAGGCTGTACAGGAAGCATAGTGGCTTCTGCTTGGCTTCTGGGGAGGCCACAGGAAACTTACAATCATGGTGAAAGGTGAAGGGGGAGCCAGAAAGTACTTCTCATGGCTGGAGCAGGAGGAAGAGAGAGCGGGGAGGTGCCACACACTTTTAAACAACCAGATCTCATGAGAATTCACTATCACGAAAACACCACCAAAGGGAAAAATCTGCCCCCAAGATCCAATCACCAGCACCAGGCCCCACCTCCAATATTGAGGATTACAATTTGTCGTGAGATTTGGGTGGGGACACAAATCCAAACCATATCACAAAGTTTAAAAGAAAAACCAAACTGGCAGATCATTCCATTTGGTCATATTGTCTTTTTTCCTGTATCCATTGCTAGATTGCATTTGCTGATATTTAATTTAGAATGTTTACATTTGTATTCCAACACATACACATAAGTTGAGACTAAGGAACACTTACTGTCCTGCTGGAAGGAAGGGTCTTTATAAAGGAAGCCCATCGGAATGGATTTTGATGCACCCTCATATAGAAATCAAAGCAGAAGGCAGAAGACAACCTGGATTCCAGTTGCCATCTCTGTCAGAAGTCAGGAACCATGGACCTTGGTCAGGAAGTGTAAGAATGATATATAAATAATCATCTTTAAAACTTCTACTGTGTTATTTGAGTTGCTCTGGCTCTACCTCTCCACATATTTGCATTAAATGATTTACAAAGAAGAGAGCCTTAATGCTTGTCCTCAGGGGCAGCAAAACAAGGCAAGACCTGGGAAAACAGCAACCTCCCTGGCATCCAGGACTGGGGAGGTGAGAATTGCTAGTGTGAGTTGTGAGTGGGCTCAACAGTTGAGCAGAGTAGTTGAGGAGGGGGTCTTGACTCTGGGTCATAAGGTGCAAGGTCTAGGAAGTTCACATCATTTGCTTCTCTCAAGTTCAGGGAAGGTGTCTCTCTCTCCTCACCTGATTAGCCCTTGATAGAGTTTGGATATCTGTCCCTATCCAAATCTGATGTTGAGTTGTAATCCCAAATGCTGGAGGTGAGCCTGGTGAGAGGTGTTTGGATCATGGGAGCGGATACCTCATGGCTTGGTGCTGTCTGATAGTGATTCTGGTCATTTAAAAGCATGTGGGCAGGGCGCAGTGGCTCACGTCTGTAATACCAGCACTTCGCGAGGCCGAGGCGGGCGAATCACGACGTCAGGAGACGGAGACCATCCTGGCTAACGCGATGAAACCCCATCTCTACTAAAAATACAAAAAATTAGCCGGGCGAGGTGGCAGACGCCTGTACTCCCAGCTACTCGGGAGGCTGACGCAGGAGAATGGCGTGAACCCGGGAGGCGGAGCTTGCAGTGAGCTGAGATCACGCCACCGCACTCCAGCCTGGGCGACAGAGCGAGACTCCGTCTCAAAAAAAAAAAAAAAAGAAAAGAAAAAAGCACGTGGCGCCTCCCCCTCACTTTCTCTCTGTTGCTCTTGCTTTCACCATGTGATGTGCCTGTCCCCACTTCACCTTCTGCCATGATTGGAAGCCTCCTGAGGCTTCCCCAGAAGCAGATGCTGCTATGCTTCCTGTACAGCCTGCAGAATCGTGAGCCAATTAAACCTCTTTACTTATAAATTACCCAGTCCCAGATATTTCTATATAGCAATACACGAATAGACTAATACACTCCTATTAGCCAATGGACTCATTTCCTTCAACAATATTACCCACCCTGTCATTTCCTTCAACAGTATTACCCACATCTGTCATCTGATTGTGTCTACATCTGTCACCATCTTTTTTCCATCTGCACTTCCCATTAACTCCTCCTACCCCTCAAAGCCTCACCTTTCCATGAAATGGCTCTAAAATCCTAACTATTAAATTCATTAGGCACTTTAAAATCCTTATCTTCCGTATCTTTGCTGTATTTTCTGCAACTTGTTTTTTTTTTTTTTTCTTTTGAGACAGGGTCTCACTCTGTCACCCAGGCTGGAGTGTAATCAGGGCTCACTGCAGCCTCGACCTCCTGGGCCCAAGTGATCCTCCCACCTCAGCCTTCCAAGTAGCTGGGACTACAGGCACATGCCACCATGCCCACCTAATTAAAAATTTTTTTTTGTGGAGCTCAGGTCTTACTATGTTACTCAGGCTAGCCTTGAACTCCTGGGCTCAAATAATCCTCCTGACCTGGCCTCCCAAATTGCTGGGATTACAGAAAACTTGGATTTTCTAACAACGATGTCTTTGGGCATTTCCACTTCCCACTGCCTATAAGCTCTTAAACCTTCATTCAAGGATTATCGCAATCTGGAGTCCCAACTTCGGTAGGTCGACTTTGGACTTTTGTTTCCTCATCTACTAAATCAAAGAATCAGATTCTCATCATTTTTTCTTCTGGCTCAAAATTACATTTCCAAGCCTTCCCTGGTCCTTCTCAGCTGGAACCCATCTTCCTCCTCTGAATATGGGTCAAAGGTTATTTATACCTATCACGTATCGCATCAATTCATCCAAGAAATCATTTGCACATCCCCTTTATGTTGAGAGTTGTGTCAGAGGAAGAAGAGGGAAAGAGATAGACCTGGCCCCTGCCACCAAGAGCAGATATCCACGAGACAGACCTGGCTCCTGCCACCAAGAGCAGATATCCACAAGATAGACCTGGCCCCTGCCAAGAGCAGTGCTACCAGTGTGTGTACATGGAGTTCAAGCTCTTATGAGATACTTCAAGAGCCGGAGCTAGCTACATATCCCATTAGGGCTTTGTACAAAGTAGGTACAAAGAAGGGTTTGCCAAAAGCATAAAAAGCCCTTGTGCACCTAAATGTTACCTGCCCACCTGACTATGCTCTTGGGGCCAGCAGGAAGATCCCCTGAGAAGGAGATGTGGCCAGGTGCTTTCCCCGAATACTGCTTATTTTAACACTAGTGGGGAAAGACTTCAGATTCTCAATAAGGGGAAAAACAAGCTACATAAAGGACAGGCCCTTTGTTTTTAGGCACTGGAGTGAGATTTTAAATAGTGGTATTTTTCACTTTAGATAGAGGATTCAAGTTTATTTATTTTTCTTTTCTTTTCTTTTTTTTTTTTTTTGCTTAAGTAAAGCCAGATGCTAAGCAAGATATGAATCATATGGAAAGCTTTTAAAGGTGGTGAGGACAAATGATCACTTTGGTTCAGATCACTAAAATACTCAAAGAATGCTCACACTGAAGCATCAGGAATGCAAACATGATAAAAAATTTAAAAGTACCCTTACGAGAAAACATTTTAAAAATGGCAATGACAGTAAACTGGTCAGGTTCTACCACAGACTGTTGGGTCTGCGGCTTCTTATCAGGAGTTTTCTCACAAGAAGTTTTCAAACAGCAAAACCAAAAGGATTCCTGGAACTACAGTGTTGAACACTATTCAGTAAGTAGAGTCTCTGAACCAGAACAACCTGCCATGGCACACACATTTTGCTTCATTCATGCTTCCAGTGATTCCTCTTGCGAGCTTTTTCTGTGCATTTGGCCTAGAAGGACAGTTTGGGGTTGACAATGATGGTCCTGTTGAACCCAAGAGATTCCATTTTCCAAGCCTCTGCCTATAAGGGGTTCTCAGGGCCTGCTGAGATGTGTTCCATCAGCACAGAAACCATGATGTGGCATTCAGTAGATCCAGGTTCCCAGGAAACTCAAGGTAAATCCAAAGGTTTATTTGGGACATCAACAATTTTAGGGTTGGAAGACACAGGAGGATACAAATGATTGCTGTAATACACAAAAGTTTTATTTTTGACTTTCTTCTTTTCTGAAGGCAAAATAAAATAGAACTGAACATCAGTGAATTTTGTACAACAAAAACAGCTTTTAATATGGAATAGTCCATGAACATTTTAAAATCTCGGAATGGCTTCCCTTTTTCAAAGTCATGCTTTCTTGCGGTCCACAAGGAGTTGGCACAGAGGAGATGGTGGCAGCGGCGGGTGAGGTGAGTGGAGGACAGGGCTTCTCTCAGATCCGTGTTAGCTGGTGCCACAGACTGGATGGGAGGATGCTCTCCACTTTCTCCATGACAAAGTTTAAGGGGGCAAACAAAGTGCTGAGGAACTGCAAAGAAACCAGACAGACACAGAAGTCAGCAGAAACCTTGTTCAAGACTATAAAACAAACCTCTCCACCCACGCTTGCAGCTTAAGTCTCTGCATTACGAAAGTCTCAAAAGGCAACCATTTCATCTTTATGTTTACAGGAAACATCAGCTGATGGTCAAACCTGCATTCCAGTCCTTGGCCCCAGCACTGTTAGATAAGGGGGAGAAGTGTCAGCTGACAGCCCCCTCACTCCCCTGACAGGTGGCCCACAGTCCTGAGGTCTTCCTGCTAGTCTTTAGCATCTGCCAGCTGCCATGCAGATGACTGGTGTCGTCAAACAGGAATGACAGATTGGTGGCAAGTGGGCACAAGAGTTAAAAAATGGTGACAACTTAGACCAGCTGCTCATCTAGCTGGGTGTAGAGCTCACTTTAAATGGAAATGGCAATTTTACAGGTCAAGTGTGTTGTGTATGAATTTCTTTGCGGTCCTACTGCCTCCCAGACACCAGCGTGGGCTCCTTTCTGAGCCACATGTTTAGCAGCATGCCTGGGACCCTGGGAGAAG
Source organism: Homo sapiens (assembly GCF_000001405.40). NCBI lineage: Eukaryota > Metazoa > Chordata > Mammalia > Primates > Hominidae > Homo > Homo sapiens. Next base: position 117,229,210 of record NC_000007.14, on the reverse strand, counting down.
GCGGCAAACGGGCTATTCCATGGAGGACAGATCCTTGTTAAGGGGCTGTTCCGAGTGCACCTCTGGGAACTCTTTCATTTGGTTACTAAATTCCTTTCTGCTTTTCATGTAGAGAATAAAGCTCATTAGCTGTGTCTTTTAAGAAAGCCAAGTGCTTCACATGAGATACTTATTAAAATATTCTCAAATCCATTCTAATTCTGTTCTTGTGAAGAATCAGTTTCATTCCACACCCCATCCAGCATCTGGCAGAAGAGGTGCCCTATCCCAGTCAGGGAAGAGAGAGTTGTTGGGATGGTTTCATTGCCCTCTCTCTGCTCAGAACCCAGGTATTGTCTTACTGGGGTTCAACACCTGGTTCTTGTACCATGGAGCCCTTTGTCCTAAGCCCTTGTCCATTACACAGCACCATCTACACTACCAAGAATTTCTCATAGAAGTGTAGTGCAGTGTGTGTGTATATAATGCAGAGGGGATCATAGTTCTGAGGTCAAGCAAATTTAGTATATTTAATAAAGTTAAATCAGGCTCCTTTACTAGGTAAATGTTCTGTGGACTGTGGGTCTTCGAGAAGAGGTATGGTGGGCAAGTTTCCCAAATTTGCTGACCCAGAATCTGTCCTGTTGTTTCATTTTGTTTTTGGACCAGTAGAACACACACTGGGAAGGCAGGTAACACAAAATAGCCAGATCATCAAATGCGAGATCCATATAATGCAAAATCAAGACAGCGTAAAATTTGGGATCCTTCTCCAATCTGTGTTTTACACCAATTAAATGTATTTATTTAGTAAGGCACTTAAGTGCTGGGTGAAATATAAAGGGGTGTAGTTCAAAACTAAACTCCCACTGTCAGGAAGCTCAAAGCCCAGTGATGGAGGGGGCCACGAAGATCTGGACAGAGCAAACTAATAATGAGATAGGCTGTGATGGCAATCAGGATAGAGGCCCAAACAAAGCACTGGGATTGGAAAAGGGAGAGAATCCATTCTGTTGAAAGGAGCAGGAATACTTTTGAGAAAGAGGCAAGTGAAATGGACTCCAGTGGATGCTTGGAATATCAAAAGAGAGAGATGGAGTAAGGATGGTAAAGGAAGAAATAGGAGCAGGGTGGGCCCTCCAGGCTCAATAAACAGTCAAAGAGAAATGGAAAAGCAACACTATTACCAGAAGGTAGTAAATGGTTCAGTTTAGCTAGGACAGTTAGAAGAAGTAGAGTTCAAAAGTGGCTAGAAGGATACTGGGGAGGGCCCTGCGTGTCAGGTTGGATCTGCAGTTAAGAAACAGGCAGCCATGTCAGTGCTTGAGCAAAGAGGAGACGGTGCCATCCTCAAGCGGGTGCCAGGTACATGGCAGTTTCTGATAATCTTCTGAAATTATCCTTTGTTGAGTGCACAAAACCACCCTACGGAATAGATGGCCTATCTTTTTCAGTTTAGAGCTGGATTGGGAGCACCCATGAATGCAGTTGGAAGGCATCATGGGAGACAATGGGCCTGGGAATGAGCAATTACTGCCCAATTACTCTGAAAGCATTTGTAAAATCCTAGTTATAAGAGGATAATATGGAACAAGTCTACTGATTGCATTCACCCAACATGATAGGAAATACACACATAATATGTGTACATACATAATTATATATGTCTGCGTATATGTATATCTACATACACAGACACATATATAATCAGAGACTACCAAGGCTCCACAAACCACAGCATCTGTCTATAATGCTCAACTTCATAAAGAGGAGTTAAAGTGTTACAGTGGTCTCGATAAACCAGAGATTCTGACAGGTGGTGGAAGATAGGGCTTAATAAACAAGGTGATATTGCTGGCAAAGTTATATCCTGAAGACTTGGCCAAAAACAGATTTAGAACTGTTGAAGTTGTGGTTGAGTGGGGAAGGAACTGCTGATATTGAGCCATTGCAGCCATGGAGCTGTTGCAACTGCTGAACATGAGCCAGCGCAGCTAGATAACAGGCATCGCTCAAAGTCTGTACTCTGGGTGATGCACACACACTAAAATGTGGGGTCCTCGGGGAGCCTCACCTTGAGCTGTAGAATGAATGGAGATGTTACAAGGTTGGCTTAAAATAAAGGCCTTTATTTGTTTGCTTTGTTTTGGGCACTAACCTGACTTGGATAAAAAGCACAAAAGTGAAGCCTCTGAAAATCAGGAGGAAAGCTTCATCCTGGTTGATGTCCATAAATGCTCCCTTTTCCCCATGCTGCACAGCAAAGTACTGTGGTCCCTTCTTTCCTGGATGACACCTGCCCTTCTCAACAAGGTTCCACAAGAATACGAAGCCCCAATGCTTCCAACGTATAGAATGATTTGCTTCTATCCCTCCTATCTAGAATGTTCCATCCTTGGGAGAATTCACAAAGACTCCCTTGAACTTTTTCCTAGAGGGCCTAATTTACTCTCCCACGAGCCCCAGTTGAGATGGGCTCCCTTCATTACTAAGCCACCTTCCCCCACAGCAAGCCTTCCATCCCATACCTGCAAGGAAGGAGCAGGCAATGTAGTGAGGTGTCTGAAGCTGCTAAGCCCTTTCACTTCATAACCAAATAAAAGCTCCATCAGGAGATATTTTTTAAAAAATGTCTGGAGGTGCAGACTTGCTTGGGATGCTCAGTTGTATTTCTGCGCATGTTTGAAAATCAGTCAATATTTTTTAGTTGGAGACCCAACCAATATAGAAGGAGAAACAGCAGTTTTCACTTGACTTAGGGGGAAATTTACTGCTGAAAAGTTAAGTCTGAATGAGCAACACCAAGAAAACCTGGAACAGCCTATTTATCTCGATGTCTAAAACTGTCCAGAGGGCAGAGATACATGGTCATATCTTTAATCAAAATGCCCTAGGATTCAATGAGTGTCTCGTGGTGAGAAAAAGCAACTGAACTAGTAAAAAAAGAGAACGACATTTCAATTGCCTGATCTTCCTTTTCCTGAAACACCATCACTTAGAAGGTCACGGCTCCCAACAGGCTTCATTAACATTCAAAACGCCTCTGCTTATCTGAATAACTTCCAGGTGCCCTACTGCAATCAGACAATTGACATTTCACGGTAATCAATATCAGGCTTCAAAGAGGTCGAGGACTATAAGTGAACATGAGAGTCAGAAATCAAGAGGCTCAGTCTCGGAGAAGGAGAGAGACAAGAGAAGGAAAGACAGAGGGGTCAGAATCCTGACCTTCCCACATTCTGTGAGGAGGTGGGTTTGGAATGATAACGTATTTATATGTGCAAGCTTATCTTTGTAACTAAACATTCTAGGAAGAGTTAGTCCTAAATCACTGAGGTAGATTAGATTAGGGGGAAATGCCAGTGGAAGCTGCTCTTTCCACTATTTCCCAGTGGTTCACGCTTCCCTGTGGGCTTCCTTATGGACTGCACATCATGGTCACCAAGTAAACATGCTGGAGAGTTCCCAAGCCAGCAGCTGGGGGTGGCAGTGCAATCTCTCTGCATCTACTAAAGGTCATTGTCCCAGGGACATTATCTCAGCAAAGGGCTGAGAAAATCACTTTCACAAGCTGCAAATGGTCGCAGGCAGCCTCTAGGGCAGTTGCGATAACCTGCGGGGTGTGGGGTGTGGCGTGGGAGCTTCGGGAGGGGCCTGATGAAGTGACCAGGGTGAAGATGCAGAGAAGACTCTGGGGGCAGGTCGAGGAGGCGGCGGGAGAAGGGGCTTGTCTCATTCAGGCCATCCATCTTCCTTCCCCACACAGTCTCTACAGACATTTTGGAAACTGCTAGACCTTAATGAAGGGCAAGATAAATGTGATTCTCCAGATAGAGGTTGAAATGCAAACTTATCTAAAGTACATTTGAAAACTATGGGGAGCTGACCAAACTACCACACCTTGGTAGAGCAGAAAATATGAGGACCCTAAAGGCAGATTTCTATTTTATTCAATCATTTGATGCTATACTCAAAACCAAAGCTTTGAAAACATGAAATGAGGCGAGTTGAGTCCTGTCCCACATCCTTAATGAACACCCCTCTCCGATACTCTGGAAGCACAGCTGTACGGCCAGTCCTAGAGAACACCCAGGTGTATTCTAGTCACTATCCTTCCCTCTGCATTGCCAATCCCCTTGCTGGTTAAAGCAGGCTCAGGCAATTATTCATTCTATTCAATACACTGGTTGTACATCCGCATCACCAGGGGAGTGCTTGACAACTGAGTTGCCCATGCGGACCCCAGACCAAGAAAGTTCCGGTTGTGGGGACAGGCCTCAGTAACTTTTAAGTTTTTCGATGATTCCAAGGTAGAGCCAGGGAAACCACTGATTCCTGAAAAGCTTCCACCTGAACAGCTGTGATGGCACACCATGCAGCTGCAAGTGGCTGCTCGAAGGTTCAGCTTTCCAAGCAGTGTCCCTGGAAGGAGACGGGAGAATGCCATCAATCTCCATCCTCAGAATATGCTGGGGGCTTTGTGAAAAATACAGATACCTCCTGCTAATACTCAAGATTTTGGATTTCTGGTGGTGCGGCCAGGTGAATATATAGACTGGAGGCTGGGAATCTCTACTGATTCAAAACTCCCACCAAGTGCTATTACAGTTAGTTTAATGAAGAATACTGGACTAATGACATATTTTTACAAATATGCTCTAAAAATGTTTAACAGAAAAACAGAAAACATAAAAGAGCAATAATTGTTTAATGTAAATATATTCTTATTTTAAATTTTACTAAGTCACACTCTACTCAGAGTTTTGGCAACTACTTTTACTCAGAGATTGGCTAGGGAGTAGAAGAAAATAACAAGTAGTGTAGGCCCATAAACTAAGGAACATCCAAGGCAGCAATATGGGTGATAATGGGTGTAGAAATCATGTCATGCACAGAAGACTTAAGGAAATGTAAGATATTCTACCTGGAGGAAAAAGCAGGTAGTTGGTTAGAGGTGGCCATGAATGAGTGAGCTGTCCTAAGAATTTGCAAGAGGAAGGAGGGCTGCTTGGTGTACCCTCAATATAGAATAGGAATAAGTGGAAACCAAAGGGAGGCAGATTTTTACAGTACAAGGAAAAGTTCTGAGTCATCCAATAATCAAATGGGCTTTGATGTTTATAAATATGTGAGTGCCCCATCACTGAAAGTATTCAAGATGAGTCTAGGTGACCTCCACTCAGGGTTGCTATTAAAGGCAATTTGCTTCAGGTCCCTTTCAACTCTAAGAGGCTATGATTATAAGTATACAAGAAGAGAAAAAAAAATACTAAGCTGTATCTGATTTTTCCATTGATTCTTTCTGCAGAGACCACTACCATTTATTATTTATTTAATAATCATTTATTGAAAACCTACTATGAGCAAGGCACTGTGCAAAGCCTTGGGGATACAGAGATAATGAAGACACCGTTCTGCTCTCAAGGAGCTCACATTCTAAATGGGACAGACAAGTTTTCAACAATTATAATACAGTACAATAAATGTGAGAATATACGTATTCATGGAATACTGCGGGATCATAAAGGACAGACACCTAACTCAGCTTAGAAGAACTTTAAAGAAAGCTGAGTATAAAAGAATGAAGAGGCATTAGTAGAGTGGATGAGCAGGGTGGTGACAGTGAAGGGCATTCCACGCACAGCAAACAGCACGTGCAAAGGTGCAGAGGTGTGCGAGAGCCTGGTACATCTGGGAATGGTGAGTGATCCACTATGGCTGAAGAGCAGTGACTGTGCAAGAGTTGGGAGAGCTAAGGCTGAGAGGTAAGCAAGGGCCAGATCATAAAGAGTCTTGGATGCCATGCTGAACAACTAGGACTTGATCCTGAAGTCCCTGGGAATCCACTGGAGAAATTTAAGCAGGGAAGTGACATGCTCACATGTGCAATTCAGAAAGACCATTCTTGTGTCAGTATAAAAGAAAGACGGTGGAGGATAAGACAGGAAGCAAGGAGACCAGTTAAGACTATGGCAGGAGTTCAGGCAAGAAACAACAAGGACCTAGACTAAGAGGGATGCTTTGGGAAAAGGAGGGAAAGAAGAGGTGAATCACATTTACTGAAGGCCTAGTTGCTTAGGAGGTTAGAACTGACAGATTGTGAAGGCCGAGACGATGGGATGTGGGGAGTGAGAGAGGGAAGAGTTTGGAAGGGCTGCCGAGTTTCCGGCTTGAGCAACGGGGTGGATGGCGGAGGTCAGGAATACAGGAGGAGGAGCAGTTTTGGTGGTGGGGGAAGAGGGGTGATGAGTTCAGTTTTGGAAATGTTGAGATTGAGGTGCCGGAGGGATTTCCAGTTCATCTTCAACACGCATGAAAATACTCTTGCAATTCCAGTCCCTGAACTCTGCCGAGCAGAAAATGTCAATCATCTGGAAAGGGATTAAATCAACCCAGCCAAGTTAGAAATCATCCTTTCTGATTGCACTCGCCTTGAAATCTGAATGGAGTTCCAGGGAAACAATTGATACTGTTTTCCTTATTCCTTCTGTTTGAAACTCATCTGTGGCAAGATCAGTAAACTTATCCTCAACTGCATGTGCAGGTTGAAATGGTCAGTTTTCAACAAAGAAACAATGGTTCTTGGCTGTCAATGCAGATGGCTTTTCTTATTAAAGCTCCTCTCCCCAAGCTCCTTAAAGACTCTTAATGGATTTCCATATTTCTAAATGTCATTTCAGTTTACTTCTTAATAAGCCCTTTACACCCTCTGTTCATTCCTTAGACAAGCCAAGGGTTTGCAGCCATTAAAAAAAATTATTTAAATCATCTTTGAAAATGTAAATCTCATCCTTCACTAAGGAAAGACCCACAATATCCAACGATTGGAAATAATGTCATTCAATTTACAGAAAACCGAGTAACTTCCCACACATTTTCATTTGCTAGGATTTCCTAAATCATTCCATCCTTTTGGACCTCCTGCATTTTTTGGAAACTGCTAAGAATTTGTTGTGAAATGAGGCAAGGCATGCAGTAACAACCTGCACTTTCTCATTTGACCCTTAATGCTTTGATTCCATTGACGATCATGAAAATTAAATGGTGAGCAATGATCTTTGCAGGCTCGTACCCATTTCTGTAAGGCAACCCCATTTCTCTCACGCTGCTTTTATGCCCTTGGCTTTCCCCATCCATTCCCCAAGGCCTCCCTCTAGGCAAACACTCACAGCTTTTGCGAAGACCCCCATAAGTTCCGGGAACTGATGTGTCAGGAGGGCCAGCATGGCTGTGAAGGAACATAATCCAGCAGTAAAGAGAATAAAGAAGGGAAGCTCCTTCTTTGGGTAAACTGAGACTTCATGGAAAGCTGTGGAGAAGACCAAAAGGGAAATATCAGGGCTGGAGTAAACTGCACTCTCAGGGGAGGTCTTTATGGTGGCACTGACTCCAGAGCTTGGGAAAGAGTTGGAAGCCTATGGGAAATGAAAAAATAGCACACCTGACAAACCATAGCCAACATCTGACCCAGCCTTTGGAGGCCCATCTGCTGGTCGCAAGTCTCCATCCAGCCTTCAGCACTCTAAATTGAGGCAGGAGGGGGCTGATTTGAGGGTGTCACGCCTTCATGGGAGGGAAGAGGAGCACCGCCTATGCCTAATGTATAGTATTTTTTTCTCAAAAGCAAACACAGCTGAAACAATTTGTAATTTACTCAAATTACAAAACACGTGTTCATTGTACAAAACCTGGAAAATCCAAAACCGAGTATACAGGGAAAAAAGGTATCCCGTCTATATTTTTTCCTTCCTGTATTTAAAAAATCATTATAATGAGATGATACTAGTTTCTCCTGTATTTTTTCCTGGCACCCTCTAAGTATATCAGTGGAGGGTGCCACCCTCATAGAGAGATATCCAGCAAGGACCTCACATGTAGGTCTATTCAAACTGCAAGGAGGGAAGGTCAAGACTGCTAGGGTTATCTGGCACAATTGTAAGAGACTCTTGATGACAAATACACTTCCAACAATCATCAAAAAAACAAGAAAAGCTGGTGCTCTTTAGAGTGCCCTCTATAATTTTTATATTATATTTCAAACATTGGGTTTGGGAAAACCAAAAAGCTGTGGTACAGAGGTCAAGAGAATCGCCTCCTTCTCTGTGCTCATGATGAGGCTGCCTGAGAGACTGCCTGGGTCGATGGGGCGGGCCTGCAGGAGGAGAAAGAGCCACCTGCTGGGGGTGCTGGGGGAGAGGCTGTGAAACTGCACGTGAGAAACAGCCCACTCTAACCAAGAGGACCAGAGGGCTCCATGGTCCTCAGGGAATACAAGATCTAGAGGCCTTTCCTCTACCATTCAGCTCCTATTCCTCAGAGTCTTCAACAGTAATCCACAAGGCTAATACTGAGGGTGGAGGGAATCCAGGAGGAACTCCATGCAGACGAATATGCCTACTACATCCAGGTAGGTCAGCCTGCTGGGATTCAAACACACGGAACAAGTGTGCTCAGGGCCTCGTGTGGCTATAATTATACTTTTAATGTGCAAATTATGGGTAGCACTTAAAACAACCTACCTTCTTCATATCCTCACCCTTAACATCCAACCAAAAAAGATTTTGGAGGGAGACCAGACTTGGAGCACTGCATTCAATTAATGTGAGCCATAATTTCCTATTTCAGGCTTATAAAGATTATCCCTATAAGGTTTCTCTTAAGAACTGTAATCTTGTTCTAATAACTAATCTATCCCCATGGAAACTTAATTGGACTCGATTAAAACATTTAAAAATACTGTACTTTTCAGAAAACTGCCTTTCTTACCAGAAAACCGAAACTTAACAAGGATCTCCCTGAAGGGGGAGTTGAAAGGTAAACTATGGGCCCACGGTGAGGATTTCTGAAATCAAATCTAATGTGTGAGGTACCAGACTCTTTTCACAATCAAACTCGAACGGTGAGAAACACATCACGGGGATCTCCCAGTTCCCTGAGTAACAAATCTCGCACTGGGTCTGGCTGGCAGGAAGGCAAGTGAGCAACTCCTGCTACCTCAATCTGATGACAGCCATTGAGTTCTGCACCCAGATCCCACCATGCTGGAGATTCATGACTGGCTTGATGATGCTGGTGTTTGGAAATTTACTATGCACCCAGGGCTCTAAGGTTACACTGTTCCTCTGGGGAAAGTACTTATATGTTACAGCTATAAGATATTGATATAACTGGGGCTGGTGAAAGGGCAGAGATGGCAGGAGAGAGGACAGAGAAGGGAGAAGAGCTAAAATTTGGAGCTTATTATCTGAGGGAGAAAAATATATCCTAAGTCTGGGCCACATGAAGAGCCTGACATGATCCTTGTACATAGTATGATTTGATAATAACCATTTAGCCTGAATTGTCAAAACAATGTTGTATTACAGCAAAGCAAAATAATATTTTCCACATGTGGTATGGGTCATTAGACTGCTAGCAAGTGTAAGGTAGTCGAGGGCAGGGTTTTCTTTTGTGTGCTTTCATACAGTGCTGAGGCTACACGTGTGCTCTGCACATGGTACTCCGAGTCACTACATGCAACCCACGAGGTGCTCACGGGAAATCCCTCTTGCCAGAGCACAGCCTCACCACACAGCACACTGCCCTGCCCCACAACTCCACATCTGGCCATGGTGCCAGCTTCCTGGTGCTGGCCTCCCACCCATGACTCATGCGCAGCTCCCTCTCAGTCAGCAGCTCCTCTTCAAACTCCGGTCGGTGCAGACCACATCTGTCCAGCTGAAGAGCCCAGGCAGAACCCTCACAATGGACCAGCCCAGCAGACACCAGCCCAAACCAGGGGTCTCTGTGCTCAGGCCAATCAGTACATAGGGTTTCTTCAGCTACATTTCAATCCTTTGGCATCTTTCCCTTTGATAAATTTGGAGAGACTTGGAGGAAAAGGAAGCCAAACCCACTCACATAATTCACTTTAATACATATGCTATCAAACAAGGACAGGGGTTTGGAGAAAAGTAATAAAAGACAAGGAGCATTCTAAACTTTGATATTCCCACCTCTTCCAATCCCCACCTTTCACCACACACCCTCACTGGCTGAAGAGAGGTGAGACTTACATGGAAGCAGCTCTCGGTCTGCTGTTTCTGTACAGATTGGGTAAGGATAAAATAGGTGCCCCTTTTCCAAGGGATAAGGGATCATCCGAAAAGCTGAAAACGAGAAAAAATATGTCAGAGATGTCCAATGTTTGTGTCATAACTTCCCAACTGCAAAAAGGGGCGTTTGAGCATTTTTATAACAGGGAACACTTCTACAAAGGAGGCAAGGCTTACCCCACCAAGCTATGTGCCAGATGAAATGTCAGAGATAAATTGTGATGGATTACTCACACATTCATCTCACACTATATATTCTGAGCAAACCTCACAAAACTGGGTGGGGACAGAGGTGCAGAGGGGTTGGGAAGCCATCAGTATCAATGCCCAGGGTTTCATCATCTACTAAATATTATTAAAATGTTATGGGCACTAATTCAATATAGCTAAACAAATAGTAATCATGCAAACGTGGATTAAAATGCTTCCCCAAGAAGCAAATGTGGATCGACTTGTTGGAGTTTGTATAGATGTACAAATATGAAAGGTATTCTACCAAATTGATTTAAAAAATACTGTTTAAGTGGATTTGAATTCCAATCAAGATGAATAAAAACAAAAATCTAAAAATGTATAACTCGGGAGGTGTTTCTAAACTTTATTAAAAGTTTAAATCTTAACTTTTATCATGTGGGAAAATTGATCTGGAGAGATTAATTATCTGTATTTTGATGATGTTAGGCCACCTAAATTCTGCTTTTGTAGCATCAGATGACATTAGGGCTCACACTGAATTACGGCTTTCCAATCAATCCATCCTTTCCCATGATCAAGTGTGTTACTCTCCCTGTTACAATGTCATCAGCATGTTAGTCTCACTGTTCCTATGAACAGTACTCACGGAGGTAATTTTTCTTCAACAGATGTCCTCTTACTACAGCCTGCTGTAGATATAAAATATAAAAGCTCTACCCTACTCTGGGAATGTCAGATAACAATCCTTGCCTTCATGTATGGTAGTGAGGGATGGGGGCAACATGCAGCAATATTTTTAGTTTTAAATGATACATTTCAAGGAATCATAGCTACATCCTCAGCTGTGTAACTACCAGAGCCTTCTCAAAATGCTGTCAATGTACATATTTATCTTTTGCATACTTATTTCAAACAGGAATCAGAAACAAAGAATGTTCTCCCTCACAAGAAATGACAAGGTTCCATTGTAACCAGCATCAGTGCACATATGGTATTTATTCTGGTGTCTGAATATTATTTAAAAGTAAAAACATTATGTATGTGATTCCAGCATTTGGAATGCAGTCAATCTACACCGCAGTGGTATCACTCTGAGGTTACAGCACATTGCCACGGAGAATATAAATCACTATAAATGTGGGATTAGAGCAGAGCCAGTTTGCTGGCAGTTTGCTGAGGTAAAAATGTTATCAATTTTCCTCTCATAACAGAAACCTCTTAAACAGAGATTAAAACATTAAAAACACCCCAGACTTTAACTCTGCTTAAAATGAAAGGCTCACCCTAGTTCAATCAGACCTTTTCTTGCACGCAAACAAAGATGACTTTTGCCCGCTAGAACAAGCAAGAGAGGAGTTCTTTGCACAGGTTGTTAACACACAAAGATCATTCCAAGGAACCAACATCTCTCTCATTAGAACCAGACTTTCAAGAGAACAAAACACCCCCCACAAAAACAAACAAAAACAAAAATAAGCCTTTTAGTGCCTTTATAGGATACACTAAAATCTCTTCTGGGAAGCACTGAATTTAAACTTAAACTACATTACGGCAGGATTTTAATGCCATTTCCCATAAATGATGGCTGCTACAAAAGCATCTGAAAAATGTGGAAAAACCTACGTGGGAAGTTTTTTTTTTTGTTTTTTTTTTTCCCAAATCCAGATTCTCCATGTGCAAAGGGCTGCTGGGTTGCTGTAATTAAGTATCTGTTCAAGTTCATATGATATAAATAAACCCTCAGTTTTCAAAGTGGCTATAAATTTGAATGCTAAATTTTATTCAAAATTGAAGTCAGTTTGCACTTCAGGGAGTAATTTTTTAAATGAAATACAGGAGTGCAAGATCTTGAGAGTGTTCAACCATAGAAATCTAATGGTTGGTTGGTGTCTTTTCAGTCAAATGCTACATGTTTTTCACTCCAATATTTGGCATGCATATAGAATTTTGTGCGTCAAGTTGGCCTTTTCCTTTTTCTAATTGGTTCTGGTCTTTTTTGGAGAGGTTAGAGACACAATACAACTTTAAAAAGAGTGCATGTGTACACACAGCCACCCACCCACCCACACCCTCTTCCCGGATTGCCCTCCACCCCCATGATTATAAAGATGCTTATGGTGCTCTTAAAATCTCTCTCATGTCAGTTGCCATTTGCATTGAGCTCAAAAAATAATATTAAGGCTTTTGGCTTCACTAAACAAAAGCAAATACAATTTCTGCTTGCAATTCTATCCTTTACCCACCCTGCAGTGCAGGGCCCAGTCAAGTGTGAGATAAGCAGGGGAGGTCCAGAGAGAGGCCGGTAGAGGCACTGCACAAGCCTTGCCAGCGTCACCTCCCACCTCCTGGTCCCTTTCACTGCTAAGACATGCAACTGCTCCATGACAGCCTTGTGCCTTTTGCCAAATGTCCAGAAATTTTGCGAATCTAAGTATTAAAAACACACTGATTTGGTGGTGCTAATAAGAATAGAAAAAGGTCATTTGAACAGATCTATTTTATGAATGAATACAGACCTAAAAATCCTTAAGAAAACACAAATTTCAGAGGAATTAAAAATACACATGTATTGGGTTAAAAACAAAACAAAAAAGTTAGGCCACTCAGAGTGAATACATGGTATATAAATGATATTTCTGCACTTTCCTCTGTGTGCCATCCCTTCCCCTACCTTGATTTTGGTTGTGAATTTGCTGAAGGGTCAAAATGAAACTGAGAATTAGTGAAAGAACAGATCATGCCTTCACAATCAAGTCTGTGGCACAATGCTGTCTTCTTCTATCCCTGACCAGACACATTTTCTAGGTTCCAAGTCTATCAGTGCTGTTCCCGTCAGAGATTCTCAATTGATACTGGGGGGAAAAATAAACAGAACCAAAGAAATGACAAAAGGATGGATACATGAACAAGTTAATTCCTGATTTTCCCAATGACTTCTAATGACCTCTTCTTACTCTACCTACTAGATAGGCAAGGATAGAATGTAATCAATCTTAGAGTATCTTAGATAATTTTATACAGATTATTTGTAACAGAGGGAACCGAGTTTGAATCCCAGCTCTACTTCTTATAATCAGTTGCTTGACAAAAGGTGAGTGGCTTCTTATGTGACAAGCACACAAAGGTGAGCCCAGCACACACTGCCCCTGCCCTCATGGAGCTCACCACCAAGTGCCAGAAGCAGGATCCAATCATGAAAGTAAGAGCAAAGGTTCCCACGGTGATGAATACCTCCAAGGGAGTCATGGTGCTGTGTGTACATAATGGAGAAGCGGCCAAAGTGGCATCTAAAGGATGAGCAGGACCTGCCTAGGCTCACTAGCGTATGACTTTGCGTGGGTCGTTAATCTGTGTCCCTGTCTCTTCATCTGTAAAATGAGAATACCACAGGCCTCAAAAGGCTGGTAAAGGAACTAAGTGTAACAGCAGAGGTCAAGGCATCCACATATAGTGCCTGGCTGCTCAGTAAAGGTTGGGTTTCTCTTTCCCCCATATCCCTCTCTATTAAACCTAAAGTTCCTACTTTCTCTGTCAGGTCATACTCTAGTTTATAAGTAAAAATTCTGCTTGTTTGTTAATAATTAGAAATGCAAGTGATAGAACAGGAAATTATCACCAAATCGCAAATTTCATGTCCTTATTTTTAAGTTCAATGTAGCTAACCAGCCACGAAGGCCATCTGTTTTTAGTGAGGCATTTGGGTGCAGCAATAAAGAAAATTCAAAAGTCAAAAGGCTGGGTTGTGATCCACATGCTGTCACTACCTAATTGTGTGGCCTTGGGAAAAACACTTTCCCTTAGTTGGATTAAATGATGTTCTACTCTGAAATTCTAGGGTCTTACAGCAGACTCACTAACTTCTTAGTGACCCTCACCACTCTAATACTCAGTTCCTACTGTCATGACAGATAGTGTGGATACAAGCATTACTATCTATCTATCTGATGTGAGGTGTGTGTGTGTGTATTTTTTGCTTATATACACTGTACACACACACACACACACACACACACACACACACACACACACACAAATGTTCTTCCCAAAGCATTTCAGATTCTTATTCATCTTGATCTCCTCAACCCAATGCCTGGCACAAAGGATGGACTCAATAAATATTTGTTGAATAAAGTAATGAATGAATAAACGCACAATCAAGAAGAGACAGAATATTCCTTTTTAAAAACTCAGGTGGACCCATATGATAGCCATTCACCGAGACGGAATAAAGGAAAGGAGCAAGTTGGTTCTACTGGGCAGTAGGTGGGGAACCATCATATGATATCTGGAGTCTGGCTATTAGGGTAAGTTAGCTATGACCAGCGACTTTAGCCTATCATTGCTTTCTCCGAAATTACAGAATTTAGCCTTAGATCTATGGGGGAGGGTGGTGGAATTTCTCTTTGGTAGTTCAAAAGGTGCCAGCCTTATGGAGGAAAGGTTTGGTTAGAGGAAATGCCCTAAGAACCACATCTTACAGTGAGCAGCATTTGCCATTAGGTTCAAAGAGAATAAATTAGAATCAGAATCTCATCCTACGCTTCAACAATGGGCCATTTTCCCCTCTCAAAGGAAATACTCTGCCTTAGTTCCCCTAAAAAACACCATCCTCAAATCTTATACATTATTTAGTGGATTCTTTGGGGCGGGGGGATCTCTAAAAAGAAAATAAAGAGTCTTACTTGGTCAAGTAGAAAAAAACGGAAACAAAGAAAGGCTAAGTGATTTACCCCATGGCAGACTAGCCTCCTGATATATAGAACTAGAAAATTAAAGTTCACAGTTGTGGTCGGCAGGCGACCCTGCTTTCTAAAATAAATACAGCCAAAACACAGCCTTGAAAAGATCAAGATAGGAAGGAGATAAAGTCACATCAGTATTAATACAGGTAAAACAGAAAATGTGCCATTTAAAATAGGGCCCCAGCAAAAATAAAAAATAAATAAATAAAATAGGGCCCCATAGGTGTAATACCCTAGTGAAGAAGACTCAGTTCAAACGAGACCCTTCGTTTCTATGTTTTTTATGTTCAACTCATACTTCCAGTGGTGCATGTATGTGAGGATCGCCAGAACAGTGTTTCAAATAAATGTGATTCAGATAAGGTGGCAGCTATGTAATGAACTGGAAACATATTATAAAATCTTGTAAATTAAAACTCTTGCCCTTTCTTAATTATCTTGACTTTGAGGAACGTATTGTGTAATTTCAGGGGCTGGGACAGTGATGAATCAAACATTTTGGAAACCTTTGAAATGCTGATGTATTTGTGGTTGAGGATTCAGTTTTGTTTTTTTTTTTAAAACCACCATATGTTTCAAACCCAAACAATCTCTGCCATGCATCAGCTGGACTTCGGGGGTTTTATCAAAAATGGGAGGTTTTTTTTCAGCTTGATTGGTGGAAAACTCACTTAAGTCCACTAATTAAGGATGGCTAATGTTCCAACATAACAAATTCATTAAAAAGCAAAACAAAATACACCTCCACCCCTACTCCCAGAGAACACTTTTGACAGAAACTAAGAATTTGTTTTAAATCTCCCAAAATAAATTTACTAATAATCATTTTAAACATGGAACCCAGTAAAATTAGGTACTGTTACCTTCTTCCCTGAATTTTCTTTCTAATGAAAAAGGGAAGTTGGAAGGGAGTTGGGGAATGGTCCTAAATTTCAGAATGAAGATAAAAATGATTCAAAGGAGAAAAACCTAAACTATGAGGCTGGAGATGTCAAAAGGCACCACCAAGTGGTACAATGGTGGAAGTGCAGCCTCCTTTGCTCCTGCACAGGCTTCCTATGCATGGCCAGCGGACCTGAGAGGGAGCTGCGGCAACTTTCCTGAAGTCACCAATCTGGGGTGGGTGGGGTATGGCATTCAGTATCATCAGTGCTTCACAGTTTCTAAAAATTACTAAAGTTAAGTAAATGCTACTATAAGTAGCTGAGTCAGAATTCTAATCCAGGTCATCTGATGGAAAATCCAGAGCTCTGAACCTCCATTTAATTTATAATGAACATAGATCCAGAAGCGATGTCAAAAGACTGGATAAGATTGTCTGGGTTTGGAGGGGTAATTCTTTCTTCTAAATTGCATGATATTTACAGCTTTGTTTTTTTAAAAGACCAAAAACATCTGTAATGAGATATTATTTTTTAAATATATGTGTATACATATGTGTATATATACATATGCATATTTATGCTTGTTGAAAATTTAAAAACAGAAATATGAAGAAAAAAGAAATTACTTAAAATCCACAATTGAGTGGTAATCACTTAAAACAGGCTTATTTACTTCCAGTCTCTTTCATTTATTTATACATACCTGTTATTTATTTTATAAAATTGGTCTCATTCGATATTTAAAATGTTTAAGTCAATATTAAACAACAAAATATAATTTTATATAGGATGATTAACTTTCTAAACACTATAGAGAGATCAGGTGTAATAAATACACCCTATGCTGTAAGTAGTGATGTAAATTTCAATTGTGGGCTTCCAAACAAATGTTTCAGAGATGATTAATCTTCGTATTCTTAATCTGTTGTTCAGTACAGTGAAGGAAAAGTGACCTTGGGTTTACATCCTGGCTCCCCAACAGTGGCCACAGGACCTTCAACAAGACACCGATCTCAATGAACCTGTTTCCTCTCTTGAAAAATTGAGATGGCCACCTCTGTCCGGCCTAACTCAGAATATTATCAGGAAGAGTGAATGATGTAAATGCAAAACCTCTGTAAATTACCTAGTTAAACAAACACTCTTCAAGGTTCGTGGCATTCTCAAGCATTTAGCATATAGTAAGCACTTCCACAGTCCTCTTTTCTAAAATTGAATGTTATGGCTCTCTGTGAAAACTGAATGGCAGTGTAAGTGACTTTGGCTGGGATCACAGTTACCTGATTTTCACAAACACTTCTCCAGAGTGGTTCCTGCCTATCTGTAAGGATCAACTGCAGAATTTTCCTTTCCTATAGGTACCTGGCCATACTGTGTTATGCCTGAAAACCCACCCCCTCTTTTTATCCTAATAAAGCATTCTGCCAATTTAATTTGAGAAAATTAAATCCCCATACAACTATTCTGCTTGACTTTGTAGCTCCCTGTTTCACTTCATGTTTCTTTTAATCTCATTATCCTTCCAGTTGATCAGATCATCTCCCCACTGTTATCTGACCACATGGATAACTAATTTCCAAAGAGAGTTTCCAGTTACTCTTCATAGGATTTTTATTTTTTCTATGGTGATGCCATTTTTCTATGGTGATACCATGTCTTTATCACCCTTTGCCCCACCCCTTTTTTGGGTCCTTTCTATGGGACAGGTAACTTTCTTTTCTATGAGACCCAATGGATGCTTCTATTATTATTTCTAAGATGCCAATCTACAAAAATTTGGTAAGCCAACTTGTCCATTTAATTTCTCCACAACTGACACTAGGTGAGGCCTCTCCCGTTCAACCCTGCTGGGCTTTTCTGTCTCTTTCTCATGCTTAAATAAACATGTATTGTGTTTCCTTTCTGATAGAACATCTTACATACAACAGGAAGCACAAGCCAGAAGGAATCATGACCATGCTCACACACACCCTGAGTGGAGAGTGGTGTGTCTTAACCCATTTAAATACAGTTGCTGGTGCCACGCAGGCACCTGGAGTGTGCTATTACACTTACTGAGGAGGGGCGGAGGCACTGATAAAATCCTCCTTCAAGTTATAAATAGTAATCTATAGAAGCAGAACTACTGCTAATTTGCTAAAGAAATATTTTCAAAATGAAACAAAAATTTTCAATCAACTTTGAGTCCCATCTGTAGCTTATTTTTACACTATCCCATTTTGCTCCCCCAACCTCCCTTCCTACACCAACTTGGACTCCTGCTGGGTTAGGGAAGGGCCGGAAAAGGGAGGAGCAGATTATCAAAATGAAAATGGAAGCAGTAAAGATAAACAGAGTGAAAGGATTAAAAAGACACTTGTTTGTGAGGTTGATCAGAGTAAGGGTGAGCTAGGAAACAACTGTCAGAAGACTCTCTTGTTTTAGTTTCCCATGGGTGGAAAAAGAAACCCATGCTTCATATTGTACTTGTTTTGCTAAAATTAATGCTAGCAGAATGTCAATGCACTTGTTGTCCAATAATTCATAGTCTTGACTTTTTTCCTTAATTTACATCCTCTCAAACAGCCCCACCACTTACCATTTCTTCACATGGTGTCCTTGCTTATAATAATGTCCTACTTCTTCAAGGCTTGGTTCAAATCTCATCTGACTCATAATGTTAACCAAGATCACTCCACCCCATGGACCTCTCCCTTCTGAAAATCAACAGGCAGCTGCCACGTGCTGCTGGTTCCTCTTCCCAATTAGACGACATGCAGGGAGCATGTCTCCCCCACCATTACAGCCTATTCTCCTTACATGGAATAATACTATCTATGGAGAACAAGCCCGCATTCATCTACCCAGCATTTATCCGTTAATACATGAATGCTACACCTCCTAGCAAACACCAGGGTTCAATGGCCACTGTCCTTGGTTTGAAGCATAACTGCCACACCTTTTTGGATGGCCGGTCTGGTTCCAGTGGAGGATAACTGTGGCTCTTAGCCAACCCTCCCACAAAGGCCATCAAGAAGTGGTCATCAGTGTCCAGCACGAAGCCTAACCCAATGCCAAAGATCACCATGATGCTGTGGGGCTGTCCAAGTTTCCAAACAGGGTTTTCAGGGTGACAAGGTGCCCCTTTGAAGAACATCTGGGTTCACCCCATCTATAATATAAACTTACCTTTCTGAGCTGTGGAAACAGCCTCACCACAGGAATACCCACCACCACCGGGGGATGGGAGAACCTAAGTCACTAACTGGCTTAGATGGGCCATCACAGAACACAAGAGCAGTACATATGTAAATCTTCATTATTCATCATAAACAGTGCAAAAACATTTTAGCACCTTTTCATGCTCTTAAAAATGTTTCAAAAAAAGAAAATTACTTACTGCCTTCCCACGTACAATGCAAAAGATTCAAAGCCCCTTCCACTCTCTTCCAGTGTGCAAGATGAAAGAATGCATATGCTATTGCTTCACTGTCTCCTCTCTTCAGGATATGTTCTGGGGGTAGGATTAAGCTTTTCATTTCTAGTAGGTACTGAAATAAAAAAGCAGGACACACTTGTGTTAATACCTAAGTAATTTAGAATTCAGTATTGAAAATAGAGCAGTTGATTTCCCTAAAGCCACCACTTATAAGCATTTCATTAAACCTGCAACCTCATTACTACATTTGAAGGCAATTACTAAAACATCCAGCAATACAAAGTTTGCTGACAGATGATTAGCCTTGTACTAGTTTCCTACAGTGAAGATCAGAGGCTTTCAGGCTAAGACACTCTAATCAAAGAAATACATAAGACTCAAACAGCATAAAGGAAAATGTAGAAGACACAATAATTTGGTATAATTTTGGAAGCAGAATGAAACCTTATAAAACAGACACATGAAGGTTAAGAAGTTATGTGGCTAAACCAAGTGCATTAGAAAGATTTGAGATTGAGTAGCACTGTCCATTATTTTTTTCTATACACATGTATCAAGGAGAAAAATCTTGTCCTATGAAAAGAGCCACCCACAGCTGCTCAGGTGCTACAGGGAGGAAGGGTGGCAGCCAGAGCATGGGAAGACCCAAGGGAGGGGAGCATTATAGACCCCAAACTGTGACACTCTTCGATCCTTTCCCGAAGACTAGGGAGTTGGGGTAGGGGATGGGGGTCTCAGCGTACACCTCTTCATTGCTATCTTCTACAAAGTGGGTAGGAGTACAGGGCAAGAATGGATATACTTCCCGGGGGCTGAGAAAAGACTACGTTTCCATTTTTATTCTTTTGTTTTACTATAGGATAGATAGGGAGCAATTTTTGAAGGTTATTTTATAATTGCAAATGTTAACCTTTCTTTTCTGGCTGGCATTCTCCCCTCCTGGATCCATCCCTGACACACACACACACACACACACACACACACACACACACACACCCACACATACACCCACCCCACCACCACCACCAAAGACAAACATAACAACAGCCCATGCAATCTCCTGTAAAATGGAGACTAGTAGACTACAGAGGGATATGGACAGCAAGATCAAGCGCTTAAAAAGGTGTTCAAAAATTTTAGCATCAGAAATAATTGCCTATGTATTTTTCTGTCCGTGGAAGTTTATGAAAGACAGTGAAAGGTAGAAGAGTCCTGGTATACAGAATGGAGACTATGGCACAACTATCAATGTTTCCCTGTCATCTAGTTGAGGATTTGTACCCTTTGGGCATCCCTCAGTTGCCCTTAAGCTTCCTCTCCCATTGGCACGGTTGGTGTCGAGGTGTATGGCCCAGCAGGAGCCAGGAGAACACATGCAGGCATCTTGGCTCAGCAACTGAAACCTTCCTCCCTCTGGGTCTGATATTTGAAGAAACCTCCAAGCTTCTGGCCTCAAAGCAGGAAGAGTAGGGAAGTGAGACACCCAGAGAGCAGCAGGAGGACACTGATAACGGTCGTCACACTTGGGAGGAGGTAGGATAGAAAGCCATACTCCACAGAAAGACCTGGGACCCATTTCCAGGCTGGTCCATGAGAGGTGTTTGTTATTTTGGTGGAACTCCTCAAACATGAGTTCTAGAAGAGCTTTCTGGCCATCTGCCTTTTTGGATTCTATGAACTACTGCTTTCCTCCTAATGTCTTGTTTTAAAACAGTGCAAGACAAAAATCTTTTCGGAAAAATAAGAATAGAGAATTACACAGCAATCCAATTTGCACTATGTTTATAATGAATATCAGCCATAATATAAATAATTATATTTATATTATGGTGGATTTTATGTTCGGAGTTACCTGGCTATCCTCTTGTGATTTTGTTACCTTAATAGGAACCATTAAAATGTACATTGCTACTGCCAGTGATAGTCTTAAAGGACCCCGAGGCTACGAGTCATGAAAAAAAATAAATAACTTGTAAAGTGTTATGAACTGTATTAATTGTTCCAGAGTAAGTTGGATAAGGAAGAGCATTTGGTTATCCATAACAATCATCATCAAAAAAACAAAGGAGAAGGGAAATTTCTGGCCTAATGAGAGCCCTGGAATAAGATTTTGATCTGACTTTCTAATTATTCATAGCCACCACATTTATCAAATAGTCAATTTTTAAAGAAGGATCATGTTTATAAAATTTGAAACATAAAATATGAAAACAACTAACTCATGTGTCCCAGGTATACAGAAATCTTCTTAAAGCCCCTGACAATCAGATGGTGGATAAAAGAAAAGTGTAAACTACCATTCTTTTCATTTCTATGATTAGAAAAGGCTTTCACATTTCATTAAGCATCTATGAAAGAACTCTTCTCTTAGCCTAAAGAACCTTCAGGAATAGGGGCACCTGAGAAGAAGTGGGCCTGGTAGTCACCCACATTTGTGGGTAGAAAATAAACTAGCAGGGCTGGGCGCGGTGGCTCACGGCTGTAATCTCAGCACTTTGGGAGGTCGTGGCGGGTGGATCACGAGGTCAGGAGTTCAAGACCAGCCTGGCCAAGGTGGTAAAACTCTGTCTCTACTAAAAATACAAAAATTAGCTGGGCGTGGTGGTGGGTGCCTACAATCCCAGCTGTTCAGGAGGCTAAGGCAGAGAATTGTTTGAACTTGGGAGGCAGAGGTTGCAGTGAGCCAAGATAGCGCCACTGCACTCCAGCCTGGGCAACACAGCAAGACTCCGCCTAAAAAAAAAAAAAATGAAAAGAAACTAGCAGGAGGCAGGGCAAGTCAACCTGGCAGGGGAGGGGAAGAGTTCAGAAAATTCCTGACAAAGGGACATTATAGATATGTGCCATCCGTTTTCAATACGACAGTTTCTACTGCATGTGGTTATTTATATTTTAATTAGTTAAAACCAAACAAAATTAAAAATTCATTTCCTCCATCTCACTAGCCATATTTCAAGTGCTCAGGTGCTGCATGTGGCTAATAACTACTGTATTGGACAATGCAGGGAATATTTCCATGATCACGGAAAAGTCTTTTGGACAGCATTGACTGTTGTGGACAATGGTTTTTCATCTTTGGATAACTGGACCAATTTTTAACATGAAAAAATTTCAAAGGTGTTCATGACAGGAATCATCAGGGTAGTAGCTACTGACTGAAAATATACAATATGACAAAAAGCTACCATAAATGTAATACAACAAAAATTAATCTAAAAGCATTGTTGGCCACCAGAGCATCTACATATAATACATTTGGAAAACAGTAGTACATATGTGTGTGAGACGGATGGCTTACTCAGCCTGCAGGATCAATGGGATACATATGGCCTCAAGGACATCATCCGCAGCCCCAAACATAGGCCATGAGGTAATGCTGTTTCTCCTCTAAGTTCTCTCCAATCTTTGTGTATGTGTACTAATCACACGCCACCTTATATTAGTTATTGTGTATCTTGTTCCTCTGCTAAATCATAAGACCCCCAAGAGCATGAACTTTGCCATCTGCACCTTAATTTCCCCTCCCCACACCTCCTACAGAGCCTTGCACATCAAGGTAATATTTTTTTAAGTTGAATTACATTGAAATCTTACTTCCCAAGAAGTCTCTCAAAGTGAACATCCCTGGCCTAATCAGCCTTATGAGGCTAACCAAAGCAATACATCAAGGAAACAACTCTGCCTTCTCATCTTATCTATCTTATGGCAGAAATCGGCTATGACTATAAAAGAGATTTACACTCCTTTATAATTCCAAACAAAATGTTGGCCCTAACCAAATGATGAAGGCTAATAACAACAATGTGTTATGTTTTTGGCCAGGCTTAAAATGGCTGGCAAGATCAGTTCTCAACATGTGCAACATTTAAATTAGAAAAGCATGGAACAACATTTCACATCTTACTTGTCAAGAGAAAAATAAATGGAACAGGGCAGATCCCTATCCACAAGTATGCAGAAATCAATTAGAATAACTGTAGCTCACAAATCAAAGAACACGCTTTGTCCATCTATAATAATGGCTTGGTTCTGTGCTATTTTGCCCGCCATCCTGCCTCTAACTTCCTTCCCAGATAAAATCACACTGATCTTGAAATGCAGTGCTTCTAAAAATTTTGGAAGCAACTTTTCAAAATCTATTTGTGTCAGCCTCCACTGCAGGAGCATCCAAAGTCAGGGCATATGAAGAGAAGCAGAGAGCTGTGGTCTTTAGGTGTGAGCAGCGCCTACTCATGGAGGTCTCTGAGTGGAGACTGGCTCACCTGTCAGGGAAACTGCTGAAGAGATGTGGCCTATTAGAGGCTACCTTGGGTGGCTGCTAAAGTGCTTTTTGCTAAGATCTTAAAATTCTATCATAATTTGAATGAAAATGATCCCATAGTTATCATTCACATAAATGTTAATACCAAAGAATTAACTCATACAACTATTTTTTCGGGATTTTCAATATCAACAATAGCATAAGTCATATGAAAATCATTAGCAAAAGTATAAATAAACAAAATGTGAAAAAAAACAGGTACATTAATTTATATCACAGTCAATGATGACTATTAAGTTGCTCCCAAAACCAGGTAGTGAAATAATATGTATTAGCACAGGGAAATGTTCATCATACATTGCTAAATGGAAAAAAATCAATGTACCCTAACAATTTACATAGCAGATTATTAATTATTTTGACAAAAAAAGGTATAGGTAGGCATTAAAAACCATTGGACAATCACAGGTTGAATGTTCATGGTGGTTAAATATTTGATTTTAATGGGAGATTAACTTCTTTTGTACTCCTTCTGTGCTTTCCAAGTTTTCTATAATAAGCATTTTTTAAGGGATGGGGTCTCACTCTGTTGTCCAGGCTGGAGTGCAGTGGTGCAACCATAGCTCACTGCAGCCTTGAACTCCTGGGCTCAAGCGATCCTCCTGCCTCAGCCTCCCAAGTTACTGGGACTATAAGGCATATGCCACCATGCCTGGCTTGTAATAAGCATTTTTATTTTTCTCTCTCTCTATATGTATGTAAGTATATATGTAATACAAATCTATTTTCTAGACTTGCATCAAAAACAGACACAACCACACACACACACAAACATACAAACAAAAGATAACTGGAGATAGCAAATTTTTTTCATGCCTACAATGCTTTGGTGCAACTGGCTCTGATAAAATGGCCTAAGACCAGAAAAGATGTTTTTAAAACATCAATAAGGAGTTCTGAGAATAAAGCTAGTGCTATTTGGGAGAGACACCACATAGTCTGAGTTTCAATGTTGCTTACTCCCTGGAATCAGTAAGACACAAAGCAGGCACAGGACAAAAAAAACACTGCAAGTAGCCATGGCTCACTCAGATCATGCGGTGATGGAGAATGAGGTAGACATCACCAGGATTCCTTGCCTTACCTCCTCTCATCTACCATCTGCCACTTTGAATCACTTACTGGAATCCTGGCTCTACTGTTTAGCTACGAGACCCTGGACATGTTATTTAATTTCTTTGAACCTCAGTTTGCTCCTCTGTAAAACTGGAATAGTAAAAACACACCTTGCTGGTTTTAATTTTTGAAGATTATGTAATATATGTAAAGCATTCATTCACATAGTACCTGGCATATAAGCGTGCATTGAATAGTAGATATTTTTGCTACCAAAAAAATTAAATGTTCATATTACTGTAGAGGTAATTTGTGTTTTCCACATATACATGTCCCACAGATAACTGAGTTTGTTTTTAGGTAAAATACTTCAGCACTTTTATTGTAGTAGCAGATCAGTTGAAGAGACCTGGGCTAACGAGGGTCATTAACCGACCGATATGGAGGCAAGCATAAAGCAAAGCTGAATTGTCAAATTAAACCTGGTGATTTCAGTACCACTCAGGGGTCCTCATCACAAGGCACCTGCTTCTTCCTGGTTCACTTCTCTGTTCATCGGTTACTTTGCTTCATTCAAAAAATATGCGAAGGCCCACAGTGTATCTCAAGTGTACAGATATGGGAGCACCCACAGCCTATCCAAGGACATGGATATGGAAGGATCCTTTGTGTATTCCAAGGACACAGATATGGAAGCACCATAATTTACCTCAGGGGCATGGATATGAATCAGGCCAGGTCCCCACCTTGATGATCCATAGTCTTTGTAGGAGTAGAGGAGGGAGAGAGAGAGGAGAGAAAAAGAGAATGTATGGAGAAAGAATAAAATTCAACATGGTAAGTACCTTAGTAAGATGTATAAACTTAGCACTAAGGAAGCAAATGGAGAGCATTGTGTCTGAGAAGCTTCACAGAAAAATGAAAACATCAATTTTACTAATTAAATAAGAGTTTATACTGAAAAAATGAGGAGGGGGGATTCCAAACCAGCATTAACGGGCAAAGTATACCAAAAGCATCAAAGCCTACCAAAAGCAAACCAAGGCATTCAAGGGCATGATGTGTTTCTAAACTGGTGGGGCCTGAGTACTAACATGATGGTAACTGCCAACACTGATTACACACTAACACACATGCCAAGCATTATCTCAGTAACTCCTTAACACTAACTCTGTGATAGAGCTAATATTTCTATTCCTGTTTCACAGATGGGAAAATGAAGGCTTTAGGAACTAACTTGTTCAGGGTTACACAGTTGGAAGTGGCAAAACCTGCATTTGAACTCAGGCTACTCTCCAAAGGAGTGAAGTAGAAAAAGTAGGCTGTAAAAGGCCTTCATGACCTGCTCCAGAGGGTGCCCTGACCTTCAGTAACTGGTTTTCAGACTTTTAGACACAGACTACAGTTGGCTCTTGAGCAACCTGGGTTTGAACTGCACAGGCTTACTTTTATACAAAATTTTTTTCAACTAAACACGGATTGAAAATATAATATTCATGGGATGGGAAACCTGCATATACAGAGAGCTGATTTTTTGCATAACACAGGTTCTGTTCGGTTCTGCAGGGCCCACTGGGGGACTTGAGTATGTGCAGATTTTGGTATATGTGAGGGGTCCTGGAACCAATCCCCTGCAGATACTGAGGGGGGGAAAAAAACACTTAGAATCTGTGAAGCTGATGAAAAACAAAGCTGTGGGGAAATCTGAGGGAGGGACCCAAGAGAGGTCCGGGGAACCCTCCTGGCTCTCCTAGGAGGACAGTTTGGAAATCACTGCCATAGGCAATTGGGAAGTGAGTTGTGCAGTTTGCAATTTTGAGAGAAATGGGTGAGTCATGTGTAGGATCAACAGACAGGGAACAGATGGAAATTAGCAAAGTCTTAAAAAGCTCCTGTTAGAGTCCAGGTGATGGGGACAAAATTGCGGGGTGGAGGAGGAGCTTCTCCAGGACTTGGCACCTGACTAAATGTGAGAGTGAGGGAAAGAACCGAAGGTGACAAATTTTTGGCATAAGAAACTAGAATAATGTGAGCTCCTTAGCTAGGGTAAAGACACCAAAGGAGGAAGAGGCTTAGCAGGGGAAGGTAACAAAAACAGCTTAAAGAACCTGCAGAACATCCCTGGAGAAATGGCCTGAAGGCAGCTGGGTCTTCAGGTCTGGAGCTTAGGAGAGAATCTGGAGACACAAATGTGGGTGTTCTGGGCCAGAGATGGAAGCTGCGCAGTAGGAGCACCCGAGATCTCTCAAGATAGCTTCGAGGCCGGGCGCGGTGGCTCACGCCTGTAATCCCAGCACTTTGGGAGGCCGAGGCGGGCGGATCACGAGGTCAGGAGATCGAGACCATCCCGGCTAAAACGGTGAAACCCCGTCTCTACTAAAAATACAAAAAAAATTAGCCGGGCTTAGTGGCGGGCGCCTGTAGTCCCAGCTACTTGGGAGGCTGAGGCAGGAGAATGGCGTGAACCCGGGAGGCGGAGCTTGCAGTGAGCCAAGATCCCGCCACTGCACTCCAGCCTGGGCGTCAGAGCGAGACTCCGTCTCAAAAAAAAAAAAAAAAAGATAGCTTCGAGCAAGGAGGGAGAGGGCAGTGAATAGAGCTCCCTGGAAAACATGAACGCGTGGCAGCGCAGGAAAGGAGTAGGAGGAGAGTGCTGACATACAGGAGTGGCACAGAGAGAAGGTGTCATGGAGTCGAGATGGCCTCAAGACATAAGAAGCAGGCTGGCTGGGGGCAGTGGCTCACACCTGTAATCCCAGCACTTTGGGAGGCCAAGGCAGGCAAATCTCTTCAGCCCAGGAGTTCAAGACCAGCCTGGGCAACATGGCAAAACTAAGGTGGAGGCTGAGGTGGGAGGATTGCTTGAGCTTGGGAGGTCGAGGCTGCAGTGAGCCATGATAGCACCACTGCATTCCAGCCTGGGTGACAGAGCAAGACCCTGTCTCATGGAAAAAAAAAAAACCACACACAAAAAAAACATAAAAAGCAGTTGGTCAGTGGGACCAAATGCTGAGGAGAGATGAAATAGGATGAGGTTTGAGAAGAGGCCAACAGATCTGGTGGCCTAGGTGGCAGCGGCCTTAATAAGAGTGACCTCAGTAGAGGTAATGAGCCTGGTGGGGGTGGCCTGTATGGGAGTAGTCTTGGGGAAAGCAGCTGCAGTGCTTTTTGTTAAAGAAAGAGACTTAAACTTCCTATTCCTGAGAAATGTGGCTAAAAACTGGTTTCTGTTCATTTTCCTCTGGGTCATATTTCCACAATACATTCTCCTTACTCTAATCCAAAAAAGCTTTGGAACAAAATATGACTCAATTCAAAGAAACTTATATCGAAATAATATTTCTAAAATGTCCTGTTGATATATAATATCATAGACAGTCTGCCAGGGTATTTTGAATTTCTGCTTCCACGCTTCAAGCATTTTAAAATGCTAAAACCCACTACACATTTTGTTTCCTAAATTGGATTAAAAAGCAATTTTATACTCTGTCAATCAGCTTTACCAAGATATAAAGGGAGGACTGCTTTAGTGTTTGCATGAAATAGAATTTCCATCACTATAACAATGTCCTGTAGGTACTCCATTAGCATATACAATTACCACGATGTTTTCTTCCACAAGCCTCTTGAAATCCCCATGAAATTAGAGTTTCTAGATTAACATTAGATGAGCTTTCTTTTTTTTTTAAAAAAAAAAAAAAAAGAGTACATTTTTAATGGGAATGCATTTCTGTCATAACACTCTTCATTCTTTCCTCTCTATTTTCTCTTGACTTCCCGCACTCCCAGACTTATAATTTGAAAGCTAAATACGTACTGGGCTAGGTCCTCACCTCCATATTGTGTCAAGCCCAGTCTGCCCCGCTGCTGAAATGAGTGCTGGGAGTGTGGCACCCTCCTCCCCTCGGTACCCTCTGGGACTGCCTGTTGTGCCCTCCACTACCTCTTGGGCGGGCACAGTGAGGACAGCAGATGGTTTACTGGTTCTGGGATTTGGGGCAAGATTAAGATGAAAGCTATCCCCCATTGGTGCTGGCAATTTTTCTTTATTTTTTTCCCCCTCAGCAGCTCTGTCTACAGCACGTGGACATGCTAAGGAACGGGTACTGGCTCTGCAGCCCCCTCCCTGCTGCTCAGAGCAGGGTGGAGGCCTCCTCCTCTATGGGTGGGACCTCAAAAACTTGGGATTTTCTGGTGGTGATGGGTCACACCCATCTGTTATTTTCTGAACTGTATGCAGAGGGGGCCTTGGGGTTGCTGGGCTACCAGACTTCTCATTCCAGTTTCAACCAGAGCAGGCCTACATCTACTTTAAGGTTTCATGTAAGACTGAATTAGGAGAGGAAAAATGTTTATTGCTTTAAAAAAGTTAAAAATTATTTGTTTTTGTACAAGTAAATACTAGATGGTTTAAGCACAAGCTGGCCAGTGGAGGCCTGTGTGTGGTAGTGAAGACCCCGTGACTTGGGAAGCCCTCCTTGGTGATAATGACCAGGTCAGGATTTCCTATCAGCCAAGGCTCAATTCTGGGGACCACAATGTTCAAGGTTTTCAGAGTTGAGTGGAAGGTTTGGGCATTCTGTATACAGCCAGGCCACTCCCCTACCACTGCACACTTGGAGAATGTTTGTAACAGCAAAGCACGGGATCTGGCTTCCAGGAGTTAACAGAGCACCTGGGCTATCTGCCCCAACTCTGACTGTGAGCTGGTTGCCTCGTTCCAGTGGGCCCAGCAGAACTCTGCCTGCCTCATAGGGGCACGGCCCGGTCTGTCTTCTCAATGACTGGGCACTTCTTGAGAGCACGCATCATGTTCTGACCAGCGTCCCAGTGGCTGGCACATAATTAGTGCTCAATAAGTGCTAGCTGAATGCGCTGCTGGGAGGGAAAAGAGGACTCTGCTTCAGAATTGTACACCTTTGGAGACTAGAGAAGCTGATGGACAGCAGCAGGAAGGTTAGCCCCTCCAGAATGAAGTAAAGTTGCAGGGATGCCTCCTGGTTATTCTATTAGGGCAGAGTGATCCTGCTTAAGTAAAAGTAGTTCAAATATGTTGTGGTTGACAGGAGACCTAGCAAGGTGTGTGGCTTCCAGCTGAGGGAGAAAATGGACGAATTCCTCTTCTGAGGGCATGAGAGCCTTACCAACTCTGATAATGAGAATAGGCACCAAGACAGAGGGTGCAGGGGCAGGGAGGAAGGAGATATAAGCAACCCAGGCTGGGAGACAAAAAACCACTCAGGCCTGGTCTGAAAAAAGCATCTGGTGATTTTCAAGTGGGCCCCTACCTCCTCTATGACTGTGGGCACCTGGGACCCCTGACCACACAGCTCACACAAAGGGAGATTTCCCTGCCACCTCTCTCTCTTCCACTCACACTTCTCTGCTTGTCCTGGTGGTAGGCAGTGGAGATGACTCCAACAGCCCAGCTCCAATTGGTAGAAGTACCCCTGGGAATGAAGCAAATAGCTGCTTGCTTTTTATAGGCTGAAGAGGAAAAGCTTTGGAAAGAGCGAAAACTTAATAGAATCTGGAAACATTTCGCTGGGGGAGTCAATGATGATGGGTTTGGAGTATGTATGTGTGTATTAGGGACTGTTAATGTAGCCCTACAATCTTGATTACTCAGACAGGGAAATATGAGTTATATAACAGAAAGACAGGGGTGGCCTCAGCCTCCATAATAGTGGGGACACCTGGCTCTATAATCAAAGTAGAAGACACAGTGATGTTTTATGAGGCAACCTCATGCATGCCTAGGACAGGCTTTCAGGCCTGTTCCACCTGAGGAGGCAGGTGCAACAGGGAGAGGAAGGGGCCTGCGTATGGGCAAGTTTCATACCAGACGTGAAGTGTTGTGTTGGGGTAGAAGACCTGATGGGAGTGGGTTGGCATGGAGCAAGGATGGTACCAGGCTCAGAACAAGAATATAAGACACAGGTCGGAAATGGGTAACAATCAGCCACAAGCAAAGAACTTACCAAGCAGCTACAAGCTGCAGAATCCCTGAAGACAATAGCTGCAGCCAGAACATGCTAGAGCCTCCCCTCAAATCTGGAGGCCTGAAGGGACACTGAGGGTCCTCAAGGCCAAGGCATTGAGGTGCCACTGTTATACTCTCTGGTTGTCCTTCTTCAGGCTAGGGTGGCCCAAGAAGCACCTGTTAATGCATGTTTCTAGGCAGCCTCTATTTCCACCTAGCCTGCAAGCACAGAAATAGAACGGGAGGTAAAAAGGAAGAGATAACGAAGGGGCCAACATGTACTGAGCAGGTACTGAATGAATTACACGATGTAATTTCATTTACCTGTCATCAGTCCTGTGAAGCCATTACTTTTATCCTCATTTTATCAAAACAAGAATGGGCAGGAAACTAATTAACTCCCTCCTCCCATACTTTATTCCAGTCCTGTGGACAGGAAGTAACGGGAGTCATTGTTCTGAACACTTTTGAGCTTTTCTCTTTTTTAGAGACAAAGTCTCTTTCTGTCACCCAGGCTGTGGTGCAGCAGCACAATCATGGCTCACTGCAGTCTTGACCTTCTGGCTCAGCCTCCCAAGTAGAGTATGCCACCACACCCAGCTAATTTTTTTGTTTGTTTGTGGAGATTAGGTCTCACTACGTTGCCAGGCTGGTCTCAAACTCCTAGACTCAAGCGATCTTCCTGCCTCAGCCTCCCAAAATGCTGGAATTACAGGCGTGATGAACCCTTTCAATGATACTTCATAGCTCTCCTTACCTTTAGGTCATTATTCCTTGCTCTGTTGTTATAATGTTTTGCCTCACAATTCAGAAAGGAATAAATACAAATGGCTAACAATGTTCTACCAAACTAGTAGTGGCAAAGAAATGCAGACTAAAAGAACAAAATTCCATTTGTACTTAATAGGTTCATAAATATTTATTGCTCCCCTTCTTTCTTTTTTAAACAAACTGCTCAATGACAGTGAGGATATGATAAAATAGTGAAGAAGGAGTTGTCTGCTGATTTAAACTGCTATAATCTTTTTTGGCAAGTAGTTCCGCAATATCAAGAGCCTTAAGTGCTTCTACACATGACTTAGTAATTCCCATTCTTTAAATCTACCCTAAGGAAATAATCCTGACTAAAAAATCTTCTTGCCCAAAGAGGTTCATTATAGAAGTTGACCCGTCATGTCAATTTGATATCTACCATGGAGGACTCAAGAAGTAGATTACGCTGTGTGCACAGTCCCTCACACCCATAATCCCAGCACTTTGGGAGGACAAGGTAGAAGGACTGCTTGAGGCACAACTTGGGCAACAGAGACTTCGTCTCTATTAAAAATTTTTAAAAGCTGGCTGAGTGTAGGGGCGCATACCTATAGTCCCAGCTACTCTAGAGGCTGAGGCTGGAGGATCCCTTGAGCCCTTGAGTTTGAGATTACAATGAGCTATGATTGTGTCATTGCACTCCAGCCTGGGTGACAGAGTACAACCCTGCCTTGGGTCAGCGGGTGGGAAAGAGGGAAGAAGTAGATAATTCTCTTCAACAAAATGTAACAGAATGAAATTGAACTCTTATCTTACACCATACACAAAAATCAACTCAAAATGCATTAAAAATTTAAATATAAACTACAAAACTCCTAGAAGAAAGTAAAGGAGCGAAAAACTTCATGACATTAGTTTTAGCAATGATTTCTTAGATATGACACCAAAAGCACAAGCAACAAAAGCAAAAATACACAAGTGGGACTACGTCAAACTGAAATGCTTCTGTGTAGCAAAGAAAACAATCAACAGAGCGAAAAGGTAACCTGTGGAATAGAGAAAATATCTGCAAATCATATATCTAATAAGGGGTTAATATTGAAAACATATAAGCAACTCCTACAACTCAATAGCAAAAAAAAAAAAAAAAAAAAAAAAAAAGCCCAACAATCTGATTATCTGATTTAAAACTTGGCAAAAGACTCAAATAGACATTTCTCCAAGAAGATATATGAATGACCAACTGGTATATGAAAAGATGCTCAACATCACTAACAAGCAGAGAAATGCAAATCAAAACCGCAAAAAAATTTTACCTGACGTGTTAGGATGGCCACTCTCAACAAAATAACAAGGGTTGGCAAGTTTGTGGAAAAACTGGAACCCTTGTGCACTGTTGGTGGGAATGTACAATGGTGCAGCCACTAAGGAAAACAGTTTGGAAGTTTCTCAAAAAATCAAAAATAGAATCACCACTATATGATCCAGTCATTCCCCCTTCTGGGTATTCATTCAAAAGAAGTGAAAGCAGGATCTTGAGGAGAATATTTGCACTGCTATTTTCATTGCAGCATTATTCACAATAGCCAAGAGATGGAAATAACCTAAATGTCCATGGACAGATGAGTGGATAAAGACAATGTGGCATATATATTCAGTGGAATAATTTTCGGTCTTTAAAAAGAAGAAAATTTTGTCATATGGTGGCTAGAACACAGATGAACCTTGAGGACATTATGCTAACTAAAATAAGCCAGTCACGGAAAGACAAACAATACATGATTCCACTGATATGAGGTATCTAAAGTAGTCAAATTCACAGAAGCAGAGAGTATAATGGTACTTGCCAGGGGCTGTGGGGAGGGGAAAATGAGGAGTTGCTGTTCAATAAGAATAGAGTTTCAGTCATGCAAGATGAAAAAGTTCTGGAGATTACTGTACAGTGATGTGCATATAGTTAATGATATGGTTTGGCTGTGTTCCCACCCAAATCTCTTCTTGAATTATACTTCCCATAATCCCCATGTATAGTGGGAGAGACCTGGTGGGAGGTAACTGAATCATGGGAGCGGTTATCTGCATGCTGTTCTCATGATAGTGAGTGAGTTTTCACAAGATCTGATGGTTTTATAAGGGGCTTTTTCTCCTTTTGCTCATTCTTCTGCTTCCTGCTGTCATGTGAAAAAGGACGTGTTTACTTCCCCTTCCGCTATGAATGTAAGTTTCCTGAGGCCTCCCTAGCCATGCTGAACTGTGAGTCAATTAAACCTCTTTCCTCTATAAATCACTTAGTCTTGAGTATGTCTTTATTTGCAGCATGAGAATGGACTAATACAGTTAACAAGATTGTACTGTACACCTAAAAATTTGTTAAGAGGGTAGATCTCATATTACATATTTTTTACCTTACACCCATAAAAAAGAAGTATCCAAAACAGAAGTATCCAGTTATAGAAACTGCCTTAAAAGAGTCTGAAGGCACACGGATAAAATACTTGAACTGTAAGTTGGAGGATAACCTTTTTAAGGTTAAAGAACTCTGAAAATCTGATAATCCCCCCTCAGAAACAAATATACCCCCAATACCCAACCATAAAGTCCATGTTAAGAGCCCTATGCTAATTTTTTTTTAAATAGTAAAAGTATTTAAAATATGTAGGAAAAAAGGCTAGAAATAGTCTTAAATATGAGTAGATTGTTTTTTATAATATCACTATAGAGCAAAAGACATATTTAATACTGCCTGTAACAAACAAATAATTTAGTCCACCTTTTGGAAACTTGTCAGAAAATGGAAGTTTATCTTTGGTACCCTGAAGGAGTTAATGTAACATCCTCCAAAACAAAAATGTGTCTCCTCGCAGTGAAAGGCTTGCAGTGTGGCTGCAGCATACTAAGAGCACATAAGCGCTGGTTAACCCAGGTCTGTGTAGTTGATGGGTCACTGATAGAAATGTCTCCCCCATGCCCACCCCAGTGTAAATCTCAAGACTGCTGAGGAAGAGCAGAGTGAGCATGCAGCATATCTGCAGAAAGAAGGCCCCAAATCCAATAAACTGTAACAATACAAAGATGAAGGTATAGAACCGTGGTGAGGGTAGTCCTTTGTTTGTCCAGCATTACATGAATGGAATTTTCTTTACATGCAAAGCTATTTTAATCCCATTAAATGGAAAACATCCTCTAATGGATTCAAGATTTCTTTGTCTTCTTTTGTTCTCAGTTGTTGAAAATCACCAGCATCATTAACATCCCCAATTTTCCTCAAGAAAAGGTAAATAGCAAGTACAAGCATTATAGTGAGACACCACGGAGGAGACAGACTACTTCTGATGAAGAAGAACAAGCTTCCTAATGACTCTTAATGGGGGTGGTGAAGGGGCAACAGGGTTTTCTTAGAGAAAGTGAAGAGGGAAAGGAAAGAGAATGTTTCTGGAATGATGAACAAATAGTTATGAAGTGGAAAAAATGAAAAACAAGTTGGGTCAGATTATGAAGGGTACTGAAGAATCTCACAAGGAGTTTATGCCTTTTCCTATGGGAGCTGGCGGCACAGCTACAGTTTCTCAGGAGGGAGTGACAATTCTGTTGGTAATGATGAGCCTATGTGTTTGCTTCCTCTTTACTAGTTTGCTGCAATCTAATACTTCAGAAATTCTAGTGTTTCGCATCCATCTGACCACTTAAGTGGCTCTGCTTCAGAACAGAGACAAGGGGTTTTTACTGTTCTTATTTATTTCCCAGTCCTGTGATGTAGTAAGGAGCAACACTTCCTCCCTACTCCTTATGTCTGCAAGTGAAGAGAGTTCCTAAGAGTAGCCCTCCGAAGGTAAATGACTAGTATTTATCATTGGATGGTGAAATACTACCTATCTATCTTTGCTTAATGGGATACCAGATGAAGCGAAGCTGGAAATGCAAGGAAGTCAGTTCTCAGTTATTATATTTGGTATTTTTTTCTCCCTCAGAGAAGATGACAATTATGCAATACAGCATGTAGATACTAAAAATTCCTGTGGTGGGCCACTGACAAATTCCTGTGATAGAGAAAAAGAAGCCATGGAAGTCACATCATTTAAGATATCCTGAAGAAACCTGAATTGTCCTTAAGGGATTGAATGTCTTAGGAAGCAGTGTGCCTGCCAGCATTTGAAGAGTCCAAGCCTAGGCTGGTCTGTTTCCTGGTGGGGTGTGGTAGGCAGTAGAGGGCAACATTTAAGAGTAGATAACCCAGAATTGGTTCTGGCTCTGTCATTTATTTGCTGTATGACCATGAGCAGATTATTTAACCTCTCCAAACCGTCAGTGCCCTCATCTATGTAATAGGGATAATAATATAATACACCTCACAGAGTTGTTATGAAAAATAAGTGAGAGGGCTTATATACTTCAGCTAGCACTGTGCTTGGCACATTAACATTCAAAAGAAACCAATAATAAAAATGGTTATCACAGTATCATTATAAGGAGAGAGTCAAGGTTAGGATGGGAAGGTGACCTAGATGATCTTTAAGGATCATCTTATGCTAAGAGTCCAAGAGTTTGTAACCTTCACCGATGTCTCATTAGAACTAAGACTATTATTCACTGCCTCCAAGGCACCGTGTGTGTGTGTGTGTGTGTGTGTGTGTGTGTATCTGCTAAAGTTAGATATTTAGAGCACACTGCATACTGTATATTAGAAATCTGTGGCTAATTCTTGACAGATAGGGCCAGTGAATCCCAGGACCCGTTCCCCACGGAAATTCTGATAGACGAAGAGGATCTGGAAACACATCTCCCCCTCAGCACAATCACCAATGAAGCAAAGTGCTGGAGAGTCAGTTTACCCAGGTAGTTTACCCTGCCTTCTCTCAGTTTCATGATTAGAAAGTAGAGTGCAATCAAATATTTGAAATGTTTCCACTTTTAGGATAATTCTATTTTGCAGGTGGAATCCTAGTTAACTGTGTCAAATTCTTCCATGGCAGCCTTAAAGTGTTTCTTAGGGCTTTTAATATTCTTCTAGAGGCTCAATTAACCATTTCAGACCAGTGTTTTAGCATTAAATGACTACTTCAATCAAAATATCTAACCAACAAGTACTGTACTGATTTTCTGTCTTGTGCCCCAGGATTGCAAGGCTCTAGTTAGGATCACGGTAAAAGATCTGGTTCCTAGATATGAGGAGCCCCCAACCATTATCAAAATTCTTAATAATTATCAAAAAATGTTGATATTAAAATCATCAAAAATCTTAATAATTTACAAATAAATGGTGCTCAAATGTTTTCAAAGAACTTCAAATATATAATCTCACTTGATCTTTACCACAGAAGATAGGCAGGGCTTATATCCTAACTTCATTTAAAAATGAGGGACAACTTTGAGCTTAGAGATGCTAAGCCCAATGTCCAATGGCTGATAAATGACAGAATCACAAGTGGAACACAAGTTTTCGCCTCAGAATCCAGAACTTATTGCTCAATACTACTTCTAAAAGAGCCTTATTTATGCTTACTGAATAGCTCTGTAGAGAATGGCATTCAATAAGTATTCATAGATGACCTCAGTTTACTGTAATTCAGGATAATTTTTTCATGATTAGTTTTAAATTTTAGTCAAAGTGGAATAAACATTTTTATCTTAGGTGAAAAATATTATATAAGGAGATATAGTTATAGCACCATATGGACAATACATAAATCTGCAAATACTATGTTGGTCATTACCCATTAGGCCTAAGGAATATATACATCCTTATGCAAATGTGGCATAGTGAACCACTCTTCAATTTCCTGCTAAGTGAAAAAAATGACCTAGACTTGAGTAAAATCCCAGGAATATTAGATCACTTATCTCTGTCACTCTGAATATCAACAAAATAAAGTAGTTAACTCCATAAACCATCTCTCTCTCTCTCACTCATACCCCCCCACCCTTTTGCTATAGTGCTACAACACAAGTCAAACAGCCTTCCTTTGTCATTTTTCACCACTAAGTCTTCATCAGACATTTTGCCAAGGAAGTTATGGCTTGTCATACCTGAGGTGAACCACACGAAGTTTCTTAGAGGCCAAAATGTACTTAATAGCGGGACTGAAAGTGGCTCTCAGCTACTTTTTTTCCTCCCTCAGAGAAGATGATAATTACGTAATACAGCATGTAGATACTAAAAGAGCAGGGAGTTAAATATAGGTAAATAATAAATACACATTCATCTCCTGAATAAAAGATTACAGAAATATTCCCTGCTCTGATTTGATTCCCTTAAAATCAATTTCAGGAAAAAAAATTGGAAATATTGGGTATTTATAAATTGGTCAACCATGTGGTTAATAACTAAGACAAATATTTTCTACTATATACACTTATTAAAATGGTACAAAGCAAAATACTTCTTCATATTTTGAAGTTTTCTCTATTATTTTCTTGCCAATACTGATTACTATCATTCATTTATAGAGACACGGAATGCCACATTAGTATTTTTTTTTTACCAGTTTTATTCACAACAACATTTATTTCCTGAGTTTGGTCTATGTGAGACCATAACTGGTGTGAAATTCCTGTCAAATGTGTCAACACTCCCGGGATATCTACTTTTTGCCAATTTCAGGCTTCCTGGCCTGCCTAAGCGAGGTCTATCGATTTACCCTTATTAAGTGAAGTCTGGAAATCTGCCCCAAAGCCTCTTGAGTATAGCTTTTGCTTAAAATGAGGCTAATGCCCATACATTATACAGGGTCTCAACATTTGTTGGTTGCAATTCATTTTTTTATAAGCGGTGTACTTGAGATACAACACTGTGGTCAATGAATGCTTTCTCTGCTATCATAACGAGTTCCTGTGGGGATTCCACAGACTCACTTTTGGCACATGAGGATTGAATTCCACAGCTCTATGAATGGCCTCTACTGCATTCATCTCTGCTGTGCTCAGCCCCCGCCGAGATGCAGCCTCAGGAGAGAATCTGAAAAGCAGAAAGACAAAAACCATCCAGGTGGGACCACTGCTTGGGCATCAACCCGGAAGCATCTACACATCTAGGGCCCATAAAACCACAGTGAGCCAATAGCATGAGCTCTCCAAACTTCTACTGCATGGAACCTCTGAGTGACCCCACGGACCGAGGCCAGCAAAAACCCCAGCAGAAGCAGAAAGCGTGCTTGCATCTAGTCATGGCAGGAGTTAAATTCGGCTGTCAAGTCTCTGTCTAAATGGCTAATCTAAATCTTCTACGAGGTACCTGCTCAGGTCAGGGGAAGAGGTAGGACTGACAAGGGCAGACAGTGTAGGAAAAAGAGAAAACTAGGTTACAGAAGAGCGCACTTGGTTAAAAACAGAACTGGGAAGGATTTGAAAGGAGGCCTCCCACCCAATGTCAGTGCTGCGATGGAGGTTAAATCGTTGCAGCTTCAGCAGCAGGCGAGCCTGCTTGGGGCCATTCCGGCAGAGGGTGTGTGCATGCCCAAACTGCGGGCAAGACACCTGCCCAAGTGAATGAAAAAAACCAGACCATGCAATCTCTTTCTCACCTCACACCCAGGGCTAACTCCAGAGCTGTGCTTGGCAGGCAGACACCACAGGGGAAGCTGTGACAACCCTGGCCCTGCCCTCCCAAGCTGGAGTCGCTGTGTAGGGAGAAAAGATGTTGCAGTAGGTACTGGCGATCTACAGGATAAAAAAGAATGAAAGAAAATTACTTTGGTCTTGAAGTGTACACACACTTAACAGCAAACCTGTCTGATACAGCAGAGGCTGGTTTCCTGTTCTCTGCTTTCGATGCTACAGAGGGATTATATTGGGGAAGCGTAAGAGTTTATGAACTCAAAAGCAGTTAAGCCATCTATGCTCTTTCATCTGACAGGCATCCTTGGATGCTTATGAAAAGTCTATATGTCATAGTCACCTGCCTGAACAAAATAGGCAAACGTACCATTGAGATGGCAACTCAAAGTTAATAGACCAGTGGGGGGCTAATTTGAAGTTGATGAGGCAAAGAATGAGAGATGACCATCCTGTCTGCCACATTCCACGTGTGTATGACACTACCCAGTTATGGACCGCTGAAGGGAGAGGAATGTGCAAAAAACAAATAGAAGGATGGTATTCTGTGTTAAGTCCCAAGCAGGTGTTTTGGTATCTACTGTCTCACACCAAAAAACTCATCTCAGAAGCATGGAATTTCAAATAAATCCTGCTTTAGGATACCTTTACACACCCTTACATTACCTGAGGATATACATTCCCTCCTTCCAATAGTGAAAGAAAAGAACAGCAGGTTTTGGAAAATGCATGCTTATAAGCAGGGGTCTCATAGCCTAAGAGAAACTTCCAGAGAAAGCCCTCAGAGGCAACACATCTCAATTCCGGTCAGGCATTAGTACCGCGCAAACTATTATTCACTTACTTGTCAGAGACAGCTCTTGCTTTGAGCAAAGCAGCTGTGTAGCATATTGTTGCTGACTTTGGTAAGCTTATATCTGTTGGAGAAAAAGAAAGTAGGAACACATAAGTTTGCAGGTAACAAAGAGCAATCATTTTCAATACACTAGCATTTTAATCACGTTTAAGTGCAATAAAGCATAAATGAAGAATATTTTAATACAGACATTACACAAGAATTTCAGCTATTCCTTACTGTATCAACGTGGTATGTGAAACTAAGGGTAGTTTGTATTTTTGTGAATAATTCATGTCCAACAGGCTGACTCTTAAGCAATCACCTTCTATTTTAAAATATGAATTTTCATATGTTGAGTTTAAGCAGAGTATAGCTATAAATATATACATTTAGATATCACATGAATATCCTTGATGTGAAAGACATGAAAGTGTCTTTGTCACTTACAAAAATTTCTCAACAGGTATATGAAATGCTAATTGAAGAAAAAAATCTAGATTAAAAGAAGACTTAGCCAAATGAATGATTCTTTAGTGGACAGATTTAAACTAAATTTCCTTTGCATTAAATTTCAAGTTTACATTCAATTTTTAATAGTGCTTGTTAAAAATGTAAAAGTCCAAGTTATATATATGTCTAATATATAAATAAACATATATAACTTTTAAAGGGTATATGTATGAAATCTTTAGAAAACTACACAATTTTTGCTCATGAAAACCTATCATAAATCTCCTTTCATATGAAGCCTCACTTGTCATCAGGAAAAACAGTTCCTTTCAATTTTACAAAAATTTCAGAAGGGCCAGGGTGGGTGTGGGGTTCAGATAATGAGTTTACAGGAAAGTGAAAGCACAGGGTACAAGTGAGAGTAGATAAACTCAAAGAGGGCACCCCTTTGGGTGAAAAATGTGTTCTTAAATTATGATTGCATTCTTTCCAGAATAGGAGTTAGTATTTAATACTTGCAACCAAATTTACACTATGACACAGAAATACCTTAATTCAGAACAGGTAAAAATATGCCATTCCCAGATGCTGCAAAATTCATTCTAGGTTAGAGGAACTCTTTGCCCCTGGAATGCCCTGCGAGTTTCTTTGCAAGGCTGTTTTCAACTTAGAAAGGATTACAGTAAAGTAGAAATGAAAAATAGAAGTCCCATAATTAGCCAATAGACAGAGGCAGAAGAAAACAATTTCATAAAGAAAACCAATCTCTCTTTCAATAAAGAGTATTTAATGCCAATTCCAAGGAGATTCCTAAGGAATTTCTCTTTGAGGGAAATTTCAATGACATTGATAAAACACAATCATAGAAAATATCAGCACAGAATTGAAAGGAAAACAGGTCTTTGTACCCGTAATCTCTTAAACTATATTCAAGCAAAATGTCACCACCACATACATACTATATAAAATGGTGCACTTACAATTAAGAAGAAAAAAATGCCAGACACTCATGGATTAGTCTTGTTGCTTTTCCAGCATCTAAACATTTAACAGCTTTCCAGTGTGGGGAATCAATACAGGAACGAAATATGTTGTTTTCTAGGGTATACTCATTGATTGTTATTTGAAGCTAATAAAAAAAACTAGATGACACATGGCCTACTTAAAAGTTCAGACTTTTTATTTTAAAATTACCCAAGCCTTGTTTCCGAAAACAATGATCATAACTATTTGAAGGTGGCAGCACAAGAAGGAGCCTCTTTTTAATGACTTAGCTGCCCAACAAGAAAGATCAAGTTGTGTTTGATGGTTATCTAATCAATCAAATGGACACTTTCACCCAGATAGAAATACAGAAAAAGATACATTCGAGGTGTTCCAGCAAATGACTAGAGATGCCTAATCAAAGGTAATCTTTAATCTAGAATCCTGACCTCCGTTCCCACTAGCATA
The DNA here is from genome assembly GCF_000001405.40 of Homo sapiens. Lineage (NCBI taxonomy): Eukaryota > Metazoa > Chordata > Mammalia > Primates > Hominidae > Homo > Homo sapiens. The sequence continues at coordinate 117,187,497 of NC_000007.14, read as the reverse complement.
GACAGGACATTCACAGCTAGAAAAATGCAACAGCATTCAGCAACATTATGACGACTACAGTACCTTTTCTCCATTTTTAAAATGTTTGCTCCTTCTCCTTTATTAAGTAGTATATGTGCACAAGAAAAATGCTTAAAAAAAATAACCAAAATATATTTTAATCAATATCAAAGAGGGAAATGTAGCTCTATGAAAATACCCCATTCCCCATTAGTGGCATGTCATTCTACTTATCTTTTTATGCTAGTAAGTTATTTTGTTCTCACTGATTAACAGAAATAGAAAATAGCAAAATATTCTTGCATGGCTGGTTTATTTAGATATTTTCAATGTTATTCTTTTATCTGTAAAAACATTACATCTACTTGGTAATAGCAATTTGCCTCTAAGGAGGGATGAATCACTCTAAAGAAACGGATCCTAAATTTCCCTTCACATAGAGCATCTTGTTGTTCAAATAGGTTTTGGTTTACAATTTTCATTTTTGAAAATGATGCATATTTTTCTGCAGAGCACTTAGGCAATATAAATGGAAAGCTTTTACATTTTGACTACCCAGCAATTCCACTTCTAAGACTTTATCCTAGGAAATAATCATCAATGTGCACAAAGATTGTTCATCACAACATTGTTTCTAATGGAAAATTGGAAATGGCCCAATGTCCAATCATAGACTGGCTAACATGCTGTAAGTTCATTCACAGGGTACAATTCCATGCAGTCATTAAATTATGCGGTGGAAAGGTACTGAATGATCTGGGGGAAATGTATTGTGCACATATCAATAAGTTTATAAAAAGTATGCTTTAATATTCATTTTTAAAAGCATTTCTATGCACAAAGATTGGAATAATATGCACCAAATATTGTAGACTCCCCTTATCAGTAGTTTCACTTTCTGTGGTTTCAGTTGTCCACAGTCAACTGCAGTCTGAAGATATTAAAAGGAAAATTCCAGAAATGAATAATTTATAAGTTTTAAACAGCATGCCATTCTGAGTAGTGTGATGAGATCTTGTTACTGCCCTGCTCCATCCAACCCGGGATGTGAATCATCCCTTCGTCCAGCATATCCGCACTGTAGATTCTACCCGCCCATCAGTTACTTTGTGGCCATATGCGTTATCATAGTTATCACGGTGCTGTCATAGTTATCACTGTGCTTGTGTTCAAGTAACCCTTATTTTATTGCATAATGGCCACAAAGTGCAAGAGTAGTGATGCTGGCAATTTGGATATGCCAAAGAGAAGATGTAAGGTGCTTCCATTAAATGAAAAGGTGAAACTTCTCAACTTAATAAAAAAAGAAAAAAATCATACACCGAGGCTGCTAAGATCTACAGCAAGAATGAATCATGTGATATTGTGAAGAAGGAAAAGCAATTTGTTAGTTTCACTGTTGCACCTCAAAACTGCAAAAGTTATGGCCACAGTGTGTAGTAAGTAGAATGACAAGAAGGAGTGGCCACATTCACATAACTTTATGACATATTGTTATAACTGTTCTATTAGTTATTGTTAATCTCTTACTGTGCCTAATTTATTTATTTATTATTTTTATTTTATTTATTTTTTGAGACAGAGTCTCGCTCTGTCGCCCAGGCTAGAGTGCAATGGCACGATCTCAGCTAACTGCAACCTCCGCCTCTTGGGTTCAAGCGATTCTCCTGCCTCAGCCTCCTAAGTAGCTGGGATTACAGGCATGCGCCACCATGCCCAGCTAATTTTTGTATTTTTAGTAGAGACAGGGTTTCACCATGTTGGTCAGGCTGGTCTTGAACTCCAACCTCGTGATCCACCCACTTTGGCCTCCCAAAGAGCTGGGATTACAGGCGCGAGCCACTGCACCCGGCCTACTGTGCCTAATTTATAAATTAAACTTTATCATAAATACATATGTATATGAAAAAATATTGTGTATACAGGGTTCAGTATTCTCCATGGTTTCAGGCATCCACTGGAGGTTTTGGAACATATGCCCTAAGGATAAGAGGGGACTACTCCATCAGCAGTGTTTATTTCTGCATGGCGAGATTATAGGCAATTTTTCCTACTGTTTATCTGTATTTCCAAAGTTTCCTGTCATGTACATGCAGTAACTGTTTTTTTAGCAGATAATGATGCTAGAGGGAAGAATTCTGTTCTACAAATTGCCTGAAGCAAGTTCATGGGCAAATACATTGGTGGAGCCAGATACCGACAGCACAGACAAAAGTAGAATTTATCATATGAGGTGCTGTCAGTCTGGAGATCTATCAGATGTAACTTTCACATACTCTTGTGAAAATTAGTGTGTTCTATTTACAGTATGCCTGCTATAGTATAGTTATCTTATTAGCCATATTTTAATCTAATAACTGCGTAACATCTAAACCACAGGCAGGAACTGATGTTTTGGCTCACCATTAAGAAGAACCATAAATACTATCCTCTAGGAGAAAGTATTTAGGCTGCCTGCTCCATGAGCACCTCCTCTTTCATTCCCACCTCACCCCACAAAAAAGGGTGAGGCTTGGTTATTTTTGCCTATTATAATTTTTAAACTTAATATTTCGACATAATTAGAGGTTTCCAGAAATTTATAAAAATAGCACACAGTCTTGTAAATGTTTCACTCAGCTTCTCCCAACGGTGATATTTTATATAACTGTAGTATAATATCAAAAAACAAGAAATTGACATTGCTAGAGTACTATTAGGTACACTACAGACCTTGTTCATTTTCACCATTTTTTACATAAAATCAAGTGTGCATGTCTATCCAATTTCATCCCATAACTAGATTCATGTAAACACACCAAGATATAGATCTGTTCCATTACCACAGAGGAACTCCCTGGTGCTACCCCTTTATATTTGTACCCTCCCTGTCCTTCCTCAAACATGTCCCCTGGTGATCACTAATCTGTTCTGTACAGTTCTGTCTGCCTGCTATGACTTCATGCTTTTATCACTACGGAAATGGATAAAATGATAAGATGAATAGAGTAGCTACCAGTAGTGATTGAAATGGTGGCAATAAGAACAAATCATCCGCTTTCCAATATTGCCTGTAATTTATTCAGAAATTTTATTTTGAGGAAGCAACTCAAAATCATTCTAAGTTAGTTTGATTTTGTATGAACACACTGACTCTGCAGTGCCCTTCTGACTTTTGTAAGTGGCATTTAGCTAGCTACATTATTACCTCTTACGAGTTAGAATCCAAAGAGCAAACAAAAGGAAAGGAAATAATGAGATATCACATAATTCCATTACTCACTGCAGAAACAAGGAACGCTAAGTAAATGTTTCTCACTTAGTCAAAGCTGAACTGCTGGCATTAATTTTTCTTCCACCTCTTTGCCATCTTATGTTTTATAGAAATGTTTTCCTGAAAGGAGAAGAAATTTCCCCAAACATCTTAGGCATGCAAAATCAAATTGTCATGAAAGCCTTTCATTAAAAGTTATAATCCTGAACTTCACACAAATGGAATCAGACTCATTTTTGTACTCATTTTTGTCTGGTTCCTTTCACTCAGCACATTGTTTTTGAGATTCATCCATGTTGTAGCACGTGTCAGTCATTCATTCTTTTTCATTGCTGAGTAGTATTTCATTGTGTGGATACACCACATGTTTATCTATCCTCTTGATAAAGGACATTTGAATTGTTTTCCCACTTTGGACTATTATGAAGAAAGCTGCTGTGATCATTTTTGTGTAAGCGTAAGAAAACTCATTTCTCAGGGATATGTAACTAAAAATGGGATTGCTGGATCTGAAGATAGATGTCTGTTTAACTTTATTGGAAACTGTTAGACAGTGTTCCAAAGTGGTTGCATGAAGTTTGCAAAACTAATATATTGTGTTCAAGGTAAGGAAAGTGGTTACTGCTGGGCTGGAGGGCAGTTATTGGCTAGAAGGGAGTATGAGGCAACCTTCTAAGATTTCAGGAAGTTCTGTTTCATTCTGGGTAGCAGTCACATGGGTATATACATAAGTGAAAAATCATCCCTCTGCACTTAAGAGTTGTACCTGTAACTATATGTAATTGATGCCTCAATTATATATATATAATTTTTTTTTTTTTAGACAGAGTTTTGCTCTATCACCCAGGCTGGAGTGCAGTAGCACAATCTCCCTCACTACAACCTCCACCTCCCGGGTTCAAGCAATTCTTGTGCCTCAGCCTCCCAAGTAGCTGGGACTATAGGTGCACACCACCACGCCTGGATAATTTTTGTATTTTTAGTAGAGACAGGGTTTCACCACGTTGGCCAAGGTAGTCTCGAACTCATGTCCTCAACTGTTCTGCCCACCTTGGCCTCCCAAAATGCTGGGATTACAGGCATGAGCCACCGCACCTAGCCAATAAAAAATTAAAACAAACAAACAAACAAACAAACAAACAAAAAAACCTAAAATCTTGTGGTCACCTGAAGATGTCTTATCTTACCAATCTGACCTCCATAACATTTTACTTGCCTTTTATCATTCTGCCCCACTCCATTCTCTCCACAAATCCTTATCTAAAAATCACTTACACCTTCCATAAGAAAACAGAATCTGATTATTGTTCGTCAATCTTTCAAGAATTAAGATGGTTAACATATCTCTTCTATAGCAATCTTCTGTAGGATAAATACCTCCAGTTCCTCAACTGACATATTCTTCAGAACTTCTCATCTATTTTTATTACCTGGCCACATGTGATTTCAAAATATGAGAATTAGAAATGAAAACAATCCTCTAAATCCCCCAAACTGACCAGTAGAGAGCTCAGGGAAAACGTGCAGTCTGAGGAGCTGTGCCACTCTACGTCTCTGAATACCAGCTAGAACGGCCCTGGTGTTGAGCAGCTGGGACTCTGTTTGTTCCTATGATTGTGTGGTCAACAATACCCCCCACCTCCAATTCTATTCAAATAGACTTCAGCTAAAGTCAGGTCTTTTCTCCCTTTTATGTAAGCCATGAACATTAAAAAATAAAAATAAAAACATACAGGCAGGATTTCACATCTGATTCCATTAAATTTCAAATCTTAAAATTAAATCTGAGCCATTAAATCTTAATAGTTTCAGTACGTCATTCCAGCTTATTAGTCATTTTTCTGATTCAAGCTACCATGCACAGCTTTGCTCCCTCCATATCTTCTTCCCTAAATGACCATTATCATCATCAAAATGACTGCCAACACTTACTAAAGGCTAACTTCCAGGCACTGGTGTTAATCAGTTATATACATTATCCTATTTAATCCTCAGAGCAGTCCTATGAGGTAGGACTGTTAGCCCTGTTTTATAGATGGGGAAAATGAAGCACAGAATGGTTAAGAAATATGCCAATATCACAAATCTAGAACAAATCTGAGCACATGATTTTAAACTGTGCTATGTGTTTCCAAGATCTGATTTTTAGAAATACTGACCATGGCAATACCAATGAGAGAATCTGGGAATAGGATTCTAGAGATCACCCTCAATTTGCAACAGTCTGCAATGATATGTCTGCAACCACTTATTAATTAGGTATTATATCCATATTCCTCCATGGTACCTGAAAGGACAGCATTTAAAATATTACCAAATGCTTTGTTTAAATAAAGATGTAAACACATTTATGGTATTCTCCTATTTCAGAAAGACAAAGGAAAAGGGCCATTTACACTAATAAGATAAACATTTAAATACTATTGTATAGACAAACAGTATTTTCATATCCACTATCTCATCTGTGTTTATTTGACACAATTTTTTCTTAATAAATCTATTGTTAGATCCCCAATCACCATCTTTTTTCCTGTGGTCAAAAACCACATAATTATTTCCAGGATTTGCTTGGGATTGACTTGATACATTCTTTTAAAAAGTAAAAAATACTAAAGGGAAATATAAAATAGGAATGAATAATTATACCTCAGCAACGTATTAATACAATATTTTCTGCTCAAAACAGTACTACCACAAGATACAGACGAAAAACTGAACAACAGTACAGGACTGCCAAGGTCAACCTCCCAAAATCTTTTTCTTTTATAGGTGAGAAATATGGGCCCAGCAAAGTTAAACGATTTTCTTAAGAGCCACCTAACAAATGAGTGGCAGAACTGAACCTGCAATACCATGTCCTTGTCACTATCCCATAATGTTAGTGTGATACCTGCTTTTACTTTCCCTATCATCATTCTTCACTGTTTTTTTGGACAATAGAGTCATACATTAAATCCTGTAATGTGGGAGACTTTAGCTTCCTCTGGTGTTTAGCCACCCTGAAAACCTGCTTCTAAGTTTATACCTGACTTGTACGTACTTATTTAGCTATCTGTCATTCTGATCTTTTTGTACACTTTAATCATTTATATTTCCTTACACTTTTATCTATTGGGACTAATTGCAATTTCAACTTTTAGTCTTTCATCCTTCACGAACCATTTTCCAGTTTTAAAAAAACTCTCTGTATCTCCTATGCCAAATAGTCTCAGCATAAAGTAAGTTATATTAATTGAAATTCCATTTGTGGTTTCATATTTATCTTTCCTCTGAATTAAAATAAACAAATAAAAGGCTGGGCATGGTGGCTCACACCTGTAATCCCAGCACTTTGGGAGGCCAAGGCAAGAGGATCACTTGAGCCCAGGAATTCAAGAAACAACCTAGGTGACAAAGTGAGACCTCATCTCTACAAAAAATAGAAAAAATTGGCCAGGCATAGTGGTTCACACCTGTAGTCCCAGCTACTTGGGAGGCTGAGGTGGGAGGATCACTTGAGCATGGGAAGTTGAGACTGCAGTGAGCTGTGATCATGTCACTGTACTCCAGTCTAGGCGACAGAGCTATACCCTGTCTCAAAACAAAAACAACAAAAAAGAGCATGGCTTTCACTTTTTGTTACTTTTGTTTGTTTCAGATTCAAGGTACACCTGTGCCTAATATTCCTTTTATTTATTTATTTATTTTTTTAACTATAGCTACAGGATAACATGGTCTCTTTCTCTTAAGCTTCTTCCTTTTCGGTAAGAATTAAATCCATGGTATTATTCTCATGCTTTGTCTACTTTAGTAGTAACTGAAGTATCAACAAGGCAGGAATTTTTCAGATGGTTTGATTTTAGCAAGTGAGATTTATACAGGCATTCGCATCATGTCCTCTACTATCTTCAAATTCACAGCCTTTATAGAAAGTACAGCTGTACACACCACCTGTTCCCCTCTTCCACATTTTTTCTCCTCATGTCATTGTTAACGACTCAGCAGAAGTAGGTAGGCACTGATGGGCTACATAGGTCCTGACAGGCTCTTCTCCCTTAGTTATGCTCCCTTGAAAGATTATCTGTGGGTTATGGTGGGTCTACATAGGGTTCAGTTTCTTGTAGTTAAGAGATTACCCGGAAGCAAATGAAATAAAGTGGTTATAGTTTAAAATAAGAAGTTTTCCCACCCAGGAGACAAAAGTTTCTGCACTAGGATTCCCATTTGTTGCTTAAGAAAGAAAAACCAAATTCTAACTCTTTTACACCAATGTTCAGAAAACCTCACAAATGTCTCCCTCCAGGACAGAATGTGCTCCACTATAGTGTCAGAGGTCACCTCGCCAGCCCACTGCAGTGGCACTCCACTCTTCCACATCTGAGTGCTTTCCCACTGTGATTTCTCAAGTACCTCCACTCAAAAGGGGGCATGGTGTGAATGTATTGTGCCACCCCCTTCACTCTGGGCTCGACTGAAGCCCTACCTGAAATTGCCCCAGGCCTCTCCAGGGCCCATAAAATAAAATCCAAGCTTGGATTTTAATCCAGTCCCCCTACCCCCCCACACCCCCAGCTAACTCACCCAAGGCATCTTCTGCCCTTCACTGCATCCCTCCTCATCCCTCTGCTCTAAGGGATACAGACAATTCTCCAAATAAGCCATGCCAATTGTGCCTCTGCACATTTCCATATGCTTTCCTTGCCTCAAGCACCTTTGCTGTCCAGTTCAGACACCACCTCCAAGGGGAAGACTCCCGTCACTCCTCCTTGCTGCATGCAGTGCCCCTTCCATCCTGGGCTAAAGTGTATCACAATCTTTATACTTAACAGCAATTGCCTGTTCTCTTACTTCCCTGTCCTGCGTACATGGTGTGATTTAGGAGTAAAAGCTGTGCTTCTTCATCACCTTGCACCCACAACAAAAAACAATGTCTGAAATATAGTTGGCGCTCAGTGTTTGCTGAATAAAATCCTAAATTAATGTACTAACATCTCAAATATCTTGATATTAGCTTCCTTCATTTTGCAAACATTTACATCCAATTTAGCTCCTAGAAGCCAAAATTGATCAGTGTTGTACGTTCTAATAGGGAATCAGAAACTTGTTATTTCTCAACATGTGTACTGCATTTATCTTTGCTTACAGTTCCAGCAGAGTTTGAAATTGTGTTGGTGCTCTAATCTCGATGTCTATTTGAAACAGCAGTGGAATGAAATTATGGGGCAGGATGAAGAAAAACAATAAAGTAAAAACTGAAACAAGGTTGAAGAAAAGTAGAAAAAACAAAGAAAACCACACCTCTTCTGGCTCCTTAAGGACCCGTTATTGGAATGCTGCTGCTGAAACAAAAGGTCATCTTAGGGAGAATGACTCTTGAATTTTCAAAAGTCATAAGTGGTTCATAATAGCCAAACTTTAATTCAATAATCTTGGAAGAAATGTCTGTAATTATGAGTAAAACTGTCAATTAGATGGGTCTTGGAAAACTTATGGTGCAAAACTTTAGACAGGATAGAACAGTTTTCCATGATAACCTTTTTGACCTAATATCCTTTTGTTCATCTCCCAGTAATAACAATCAAGACGTAGTTTTAAAAGGATCATTACTATTCTTATGCATGATAGGTCAACTGAGGGTCAATTCTCATATCTATGAATCTAAAATTTTTTCAAAGGTGGCAGCAAGTAGATATATAAATCCCAAACCATCTCACAAATGAGAACACTGTGTCGTAGTGGGATCTTATGTATCAATTCACTCACAGACCACAGATATTCCCAATGACTACCCTAGTACACAGAGGTTGAGATGAAAGTAGGGGGGCATGAGTTTGCTCTCAAGGGCTTTCTTTCTCTGCACTCCCCACAGCTTGTTTCAAACAGACTCACTGAGCACTGATTCATCTCGCTTCGCCTGTTTTTTTGTATTTTTGTTTTTTAACATCTTTCTCTACTAGACTGAAACCATCTTGGTGACAGAGAATAGGTTATATTTATCTCTGAATCTAAAGCACCTAAAAGTTCGTACTTCAACATAATAAGGACTCAACAGATCCTTGCTGAAATAATTTGAAAAAAATTAACCTATTTACTCTCTGTTATCCTTTAAAATTATGAAGTACCAAGAATCCCTTTTCTTGGTCAGGCAACAAATTATATCAGGCAACAAATGATATCATTTCTACCAGATACACTTGAAGCTCCTATAATCCAGCATATTTGGCCTTCACAGATGCTCTTGGAAGCATGACCCAAACAAACAAACAAAAATGGAAAAGAAATTTAAAAAGCAGTCCATTTCTCCTTCGTAACCTGTTTGTGGATTGTGATGTGTTCTTACTGTCCCATTATGTGATTAATTTCTCAATTTACTTGTTTATGATATGATGTAAAGAAAACAATAGACATACAGGATTCTCCTTAAATTTTTGTTACTGTTGATCCCAGGCAGTATGAGGTCTTTTTGCCCCACCTTCAAAAAGCCAATCCGAGGTCCCCTTCCAACCAAAGGGAAAAATTTCACTGAAGAAATAAAAGGGATTGATATACAAGAATCTCAAAAAGATGTGCCACTTGGGAGTTCAATGATTCAACTGGGAAGTTCTACATGACCTTAGTAATTTGGGGCAGGGGGAAAGACAAGCACTAAGCATTCAACTACACCCAGAAAAATTCGTCTTACGCTACAAAGCCAAACACCAGTTGTTATTTTCAACTTTTGGACTGGATTACCCCAGAAGGTCTGTGTCAGAGGGCCCTTCCGTGGCTGGTGCCCTGAAGCCAAACAAAGCAGTTTCCCTGATGGTAATGGCTGGCTGGGGAGGGATGTTACCTTGGTAAATTATGATAACTGGGCAATAAGGATTACCAAACCCAACATAAATTTGGAGGGTTTGTACATGTGCCAGCTATGTGAATTACAGATGTATGCATTCACCAAAGGTCTTCTATCATCAGAGACAGAAGTTTGTCATGCATATAGTCCTCACTGAAATGACATCTATTATCAGAACTTTTGCTCAATGCAATATATAGTTCATCCCTGACAGTCTATCATTTGTTCTAAAGTAACCTCAAAGGACTAGTCCTCTTGGCAGATCTACCTCTTGGTGTCCAAATCTGTAGAGCATCCAGTGCAAAGCTATGCAGGACCACCATTTCTCAGTGACTTGTGCTTACAGGCATGAAGCCACAGCCATAGTATCAGTGCTGATAATTATTTTCTTCTTTGAAGCACTGATGTGGTTCATTCGCCCATCTTTTACACAAGGACTCTCTTTGAGCACTTGCCTGGTAACCATGATCTTTTCCGTAACAGCGAGCCCAGGGAAATGAGCCGGACTAGGTTTATAGTCTGTCACTAGAAACTGACAGCATACCAAATCTTCTTTCTAATATGCAGCCAAATTTTGTGGTGAGTATTTTCAGAGGCTGCTTGTGCCTGTGGCATCAAAATTCACATTTATATACTTAACTGAAAAGTACTGTTTTGGAAGTATGGACATACTGACACTTGAAGTGTTTGACAAATACAGATTTTACTCATTGGACCTCCAGACATCTCACATCCTTCCTATTTTTACTTATTCCTCAAACATAAATGGAAAACAGCCTAACCAAAAGACAGGGTATCCAGTAACCATTTCAAAGGAACTATGATGATAGCTGAATAACTTGTGCTAGTTATAAGGCCTTGGGAAATAAGCAAGGTTTACGAAATTTTTAGTTATAACTACATGCTGACTCTGCAAAACAGTATCAGCAAAAGGCTTTTTCTCTGAATAGTCTCAACATAGCATGATTCCCTAATGACTTTCCTTAGAACTTCTGTTTTCAATCTACTGAGATGAAAGCATTTCCTCCAATGTTAGAAACATGTCCTTTTCTAAAAAGTATACCCTCTGCAAATTACCAGATGGCAGATAATAATGCTAATTTAGGATGGGCTTGATGGCATCAGTAAAAATGATCTTGATATAGTGGTTGCATTTATATAACTTTTGTGACTGTAAGAAAGACCAGCTGTCCCTAGTTCGTTTGAGAAGGAAGGGAAGAACAAGAGAAGATTCTGCCCCAAATTTAGGGCAATCACTAAATGACTTAACGGAGTAAATATCCAAAAGTGCTTAGATCTGTATTTCCATTAGGACAAATTGTTCAGAGGCTGAAGTTGCTATGAACCCAAAGAAGTAATTTTTCCTTTGATCAGGAGTAAAAATCCCTGGCATGTCTTTTTTCAGCTTTCCAAAAGTTTAGATAAAACTAAGAATTTTAGTTCTTATCAAATATCTATATGTCCTATTAGATCCATAATTAATTTTAATAACAAGTCGTAACATTGTCTTTTTGCAGAGCATAAGACTGGGCTCTTATTCTCTCATTGCGACATTTTATATATAGTTTTCCATTTGAACAAGACTAATGAAGAATAGTGGTGAAGTTTAGGAGTGACACTTTTGGCTCTTTATAATAGCGAATAATATCTGAACTCTTACTGTGTGTCCCACACTGTTCTTGACACTTAACATAGATTAAACTACTTTAATCCTCACAACAAATTACCCGCTGTGTGATCTTGGGCAAGTTACTTAGCCTTTCTAAGTCTCGATCTCATTTCCAGAGAAAGAAACCAAGGCTTGGAATGTTAAGTAATTTGCTCAAGCTCCCTCAGTTGGTGAAAGGCAGAGCTGGGACCTGATCCACCTCTTCCCCACCACCCATGACTGCCTTCTGGTATCCCCAAGGATCACTAACTAGAGACAGGCAGAACTAGATGCTCCCAAAGGTACCTTATAGTGCTCAGACCTGTGTTCGCTTGCTGTACGAGATTCTCCTAAAATTGAAATGCACAAATGACAATGAATAAGAAACATATGAATTCTTTTCCACACTCCCACCCTAATCTTTGGGACTTAAGTTTTCACGTAGGTGGCCTATAAACTTCTTTGAAAGGCAATCCAAAGCTTGTAAGAACTTTTGCAACGGCTTCTAAAAGAAGGTTCTCATGACTTAATGATCTTGAAAACATGGCTGTCTTTATAGCAAATGTATGACTGAAGAGAAAGATAAATAAATCTCAAATTAAATGAACATCTTACATCAAATCCCCTTTGTGATTAAAAAAATCAGATACAAGTTGATTGAAGATGGAAAGCCATGTTTGGAAGACAGTTTCAGAAAGACAAGCAAATATAGATACACTCAGTTCTTAAAGAATGATTAGAAAGGAATCTTGCAAGACAATGAGGCGTCACTGAAATTCTGCACCATGGCTTCAGCCCACCTAAGTCATGCCTTTGTAAGAGGAGTGAGAGAGGCCCAGCACATCACTTTTGGGAGGCTTACATTTATGCAAAACACATGGGATTTAGAGCCAGCTGGATCTGGATTTGAATCCCAGCTCTGCAGTTTTCTAAGAATGTGGTCTTGTAAGTTATTTAATCTCACAAAGCCTCAGTTTCTGCATCTGCTAAAATGGAATAACTGCCTCCTTGCAGGGTTATTGTGAGGGTAAAGCTAATGCCAAGCTAATAACATGCTTGGCACATGGTAGGTTCTCAATAGATTGTGGCTAATAACAACAACAAGAACAATGGTATTAATAAAAACAATTTAAATAAATACTACCAACAGCAGAAAGAGTGTAAGTGTGGTGGTTAAAAGCATGGGTCTGGAGTGAGACCACCTCCGTTTTTATCCTGGCTTTCCTTTACTTGTAGAATTCACATCATATTTAATGAAGTTGTTCTCAGTCGATCACTTTTCTCTCATAACATCACATCTACATGGCTTTACTTTGATATTATAGGCTCTTCCTGTGAGCAATTACCTTCTTTTTGTACCAGTTACCATACCTGCAAAATGGGGCTAACAACAGTATCTACCAAATATGCTTGTGGTTTGAATCATGTATGATACTGATACATTACAAGAACTCAATAAATGCTAGCTGTTGCTGCTATTTTAGTCACTGTGTGAAGAACATTATAGAACCAGGATCAGCCACCTGGAATAAAACTGCCCACCTATAATGTTGAATCACAAATTGAAAATACAAGAGTATGAAAAATCCTGAGGATAGCAATATAGTATTTTAGACTAATACCTGGAATAATAAAGCATTAGAAGTTATCTCAATGGCAAAAATCAAAATCAGACTGCAGACTACATGGATATATGTCCAATCAACTGGTAATCTTTGTGGGGACACAGGAGTATATGATTGTTACTGATTTATAAACTCAAAGCCAAACTTTTTTTAAGGTGGTGAAGAACAATGAGACAAGGGGAATACATTTTGCCTCCCTTCTTTCCCCCAAAATATGTTCTTCGACACCCCCATCCCTGGCCCCCAGTGCCTTGCCATTTTTCTAAATCTTTTTGAAAAGGTCAGAAAAGCAGAACTAATCCCATTGTGTTCCCAGCATACTACTTAAAAAATTCAGCCACCTAGCAAATGTAATAAAGAAGGATTGCTGTACCCAAAAACAATCCAAAAAACGGCTACCCAACCAGAGCATTCCAATTAGTAAAAAGGACATATAATCCTGCTGCTTTGGGTGTGGCTCTACAGAGAGGGATGAAGGGGCTGGGATTCTAAGTGCTGTCTCCAGCATCTCATGGATTAGACATCTGAACCAGGGTGAAGATCAGAATGCCCTAAAAGCTGTCTGTACTCTAAGACCTCTAAAGCACCCACTTCCTCGCCCAGGGCCAGATAAGGAACCAGCAACTCAGTAGACGTCTCCAGGAAAAGCAGCAGGGATAAACTTGAAAGAACCCATTTCATGATATGGGGTGAGAAACAAGAGGCATGTTTTTCCACAATCTTCAGTGGCTGCAGCTCAACCCTCAAGAACAGTAACTTCAGCAGCCACTTCATTATATTTCTACTGTAAATGATACAGGCCTGAGCCAAGTCAGCACCAAAACTCCCTTCAGAATTCAGTCGGTGTTAGGTCATCTGTACTCTATTGACAACTGCTGAACTCAAAACCCCTAACGAGGCATCTCAGCAACAATATGTGTCCTGCCACTAATGAGGCTCTTTTTCCATGAATAATGAACAAGAACATCATCTCTGTTGCCAGGTACACAACATAAACAAAGCTCAACACAAGGGCCTTGGTATGGTGAGTTTGTCCATTTGCAACAAAAGAATTTTTCAAAGTGTGAGCCAAGTTTCAGTGGAGGGTGGGACGGGCTGTTGTAACAAATAATGTGAACATATGTTATCAGAATCTAATAAATCAGTTTTTGAATGTTGTGGAACAGAGGCTGTGCAATGGAATAGTTAGAGACAATGGAGAGTTCCATTTCTTTATTTTACAATCAGTCTTATAACACGAGGCTGATGATTTCTGTAACAAATGGAGATCTTCATGAAAGGAGCCTTAAGAGGCTTGCCATCCCAAAGGCTCTACTGATTAAAGTTTTATTTCTGAAGGCTTGATAACATCAGATTGAGTATAGGTCAGCATTAAGGATTGCTATGGCATTGATGGCTACAGAGTGGCATTTGGAAAAGTGCACTGCTGCCTGAACCCATGGCCATGGGACTGAATTCCTTTGGTACTAAAAGAATGTCAACATACGAGGATTTTTGCCTACAAGGCAGCCCAATAGTTTAGACCCCTAAGCTTGGACCACTGTTTAGCTGAACCATGAGTAAGATTTTAGCATATAAATAGAGAATACAAGTGAGCTGACATGAAAGCCAAACAGTCTTTATTTTGTTTACTTAAAAGTGCTCCACAAATACTTTTCTCTGTTTCTCAAATCAGTTCCATACTAGGTAGCATATATCTTGTTACACAGGGTACTTATGTCTGCACAGGCAAAATGATGCCATCACTGGCTGAAGGCTTTTCGTTTCCATATATTTGAGAAAAAATTTGAAGAAAATGAAACAAAAACAAAAACAGTCTCATAATGCCTGAGTTCCCTCAACTATAGGAGATGATAACTCTCACCCATTTCAGAGATTCCTTATGAAGAAATGTGTCAAAAATAAGACCCAATGGCCAGGTGTGGTGGCTCACGCCTGTACTCCCAGTGCCTTGCGGGGCCAAGGTGGGAAGTTCACAGGAGTTTGAGACCAGCCTGGGTAACATAACGATAACCAGTCTCTACAAAAAAAATTTAAAAATTAGCCAAGCATGATGGCACACTCCTATAGTCCTAGTCACTTGGGAGGCTGAAGCAGGAGGATGGCTAGAACCCAGGAGTTCAAGGTTATAGTGAACTATGATCATACCACTATACTCCATCTGGGGTGACAGAGAGGAAGGCCCTATCTCTCTTAAAAAAAAAAAAAAAAGACCCAAATGGTATAGTTTGCTCTGTATGTTTTGTAATCTGAATAATTCTTTAAATGCACTTTAAATGCACTGAAGATGCTTACTAAAGAAAAAATATTTCATAAAGCAAAAAATGATTATATAATAAGTAATCATTCCCTACATCCATTTTACAAGGAAACACTTTAGGAAGATGGTTACTGAAATGAGGCAGAATAGTATGAAGCTCTGCAGATATTTCAGTAACAATGTCGTGGCAGGTAATTATGTGGACAATTTTTGTCCAATTAATCAAATAATGAATTCATGGATAATGACAATATGAGCATTAGAGTTTTAAAATATCTAGGATGTGCCGGCTTATTTTTCTGGTTTCTTAGGAACAGGCAAAATGGAATAAGTTCATGAGTGAGTAACCAGAATGGCAAAGGGACTTCAAAGCCTGCCATTTAAAGAAATGGGGATATTCTGCTGCTAATGAGAAGAGCTGGGATGAAGCGGACATGATTTCATCTTCCAATATTTACTGAATTGCCACATGTGCAAGGGATATTAGCTGTTCTACATTGCTCCAAAGGGTCAATGTGACCAATAGGCTGTGGTCACAGTGAACTGATGTGGATTTATAGCAAGAGCTCTAACAGTCAGTGCTGCCCCTACAGGATAGGTACTGCCTGTGAGGTTCTGGGTGATTCCTGACCGCAGAGGTAATAGAGCAGAGTAGACATAACTGCCTGATGGGGAGAGCATGAGGGGAGCCTGTACGGAGGGAAGGAGAGGAACGAGACACATGCCATGTGACATTTCTGGTCCTTGCTAACCATGAAATTCTAAGATCATACCAAACACCATCATAAAACTGTAGGTGAAAATTCTATAAGAGTATGGCTACAAAAGTGCTGTGCTATTTGAAATGACCCTTCTAATCTAATCAGGGAAAATACATCAAAAGAGGAATAGTCAAGTAAATAAAAATACCCAAGAACTTACCATCATACTTTGCTAAGACTGCCTGAACATCAGCATATGCTTGTAGTTCCAGAAGGGCTTCTAAAAGGTTTTCATGGATATTGAACATACTCAGAAGGGGGAACTCCTTCATTAACTAGGGCAGAAGAAACCAAGGAATAATTAGTATATTATGTATGTCTTATAATTTTATTGTACATATTTTATTATATATATTTATTGTATATATCACGGTTTGGATATATATACACAAAGTAAAATGATTACTAGAGTTAAGCATTTTAAGAAATAAGTATTTCTTATTTATTTATTTATTTGAGATGGAGTCTTGCTCTGTCGCCCAGGCTGGAGTGCAGTGGTGCGATCTCAGCTCACTGCAACCTCCACCTCCTGGGTTCAAGCAATTCTCCTGCCTCAGCCTCCCAAGTAGCTGGGACTACAGGCACATGCTACCATGCCCGGCTAATTTTTGTGTTTTAAGTAGAGACGGGGTTTCACTATGTTAGCCAGGATGGTCTTGATCTCCTGACCTCATGATCTGCCCGCCTCGGCCTCCCGAAGTGCTGGGATTACAGCATTTCGTATTTTTAAAGTATAATACTGAATTGTATTTATATAAAAGTATAATTCAATTCTTAAAAGTATAATTAATATTGGGTTATAAGAGTTCATATCAATTATTATTTTGTAAATCATTAAATGCTTCTTATTTTTCTGGTAAGGTGGGATAAGATTCAAAGACAGGTTTTCATAAAAGTTGAAGAAAATGCTCAAGAAAGATAAAATGCCATGGAGAAACCAAACAAGGTAAAGGCTGAAAAATATCTCACGGGCTTTACCAGTTAGGTCACCGGTAACTTTGCCAACAGCAATTTGGATGGAAGCCAGACTGTAGAAGGGTAAACAAGGGGGCATTACCCTTTCAAGCAGCCTAGTGGCAAAGTTAAGGAGAAAAAGTAGAAAAATAACTAGAAAGTGACACGGGTTAAAAGAAAATTTGTAGGTAGTGATGGGGGTGGTAGTAAAGAGGAAGGTTTATGAGTTTCTGCCTGGTGGCCTACATAAAACAGGGGCCACGATCATCTTCTGAGACTAAGAGAATAGGTGGCAGGGAAGAAGCTTAAAGATGGGGTGAAAGTGAAAAACAGCCACACAGTGGAGAACTACTCAGGACAAAAAAAAAAAAAAAAAAAGGATTGCTAAGGCTGTCTTGAGGGCCTAACAAATGGAGACCATGAATTTTAGAGGTTATAACTGCCATGGTTGTCAAGTTTTACCTAGCGGTGGCCAGCAGCCCAGGTACAGTAGCAAGATGTCAAATGATTAGGTTGAGCCTGGGCAGACTGAATTAGGTTCAATAAAATTCAAGGAGCAAGAGACTGGACTATGATGGTGAACGAATGATTAAAGGAATGGTCCACGGGTTCCACACTGGATGAGGATGAAGAGAGGCCCAAAGGAAGTTAAAATATATAATATTGAACTTCACTGGGAAGCAAAGAGAAAGAAGAAAGACCAAGAATTTCAGAGCAAAGTTTTTATCTTCAAGAAAGGTAAAATCTGGCCAGGCATAGTGGCTCATGACTATAATCCCAGCACTTTGAGAGGCCGAGGCAGGTGGATCACCTGAGGTCAGGAGTTTGACACCAGCCTGTCCAACATGGCAAAACCCCATCTCTACTAAAAATACAAAAATTAGTCAGGCATGGTGACACGCACCTGTAGTCCCAGCTACTTAGGAGGCCGAGGCAGGAGAATCACTTGAACCCAGGAGGTGGAGGTTGCAGTGAGCTGAGATCATGCCACTGCATTCCAGTCTGGGCAACAGAGTGAGACTCCGTCTCAAAAAAAAAAAAAAAAGGAAGAAGATTAAAAAAAGAAGGTAAAATCTTATCTTAAAAGAAAGTTAACCAGGTTCAAAAAAAGAAAGGTAAAATCTTATCTTAAAAGAAAGGTAACCAGGTTCTTTATAGAGCAGAATCACAGATATATTCTCCTCTAATCCTCTACCTGGATAACTGCTATCTATTATAACATAACAACCTCTAAAAAAGTGATAACTGTTTTTGATGTCAACATCTTTAAAGTAATTATGCTGAGAGAAATAATACCAAAAACAGGCTAATTCACTGCTAAGCAAAAAATCAGTGAATACACTGCATTGACCATCCAGTTCTTCCTTCATTAGGAACATTTACCATATTGTTTTGTTTTTTAAAGCCAATAATCATTTACCCTATCTTTAAAAATAATTTTCTGCAGCCCAAAAGAGCATCATATTACTAACGAAAAACCCCTATTAAACTGATTATGTGTTCAGTAAGACTGATGGTCCGAACTTCCCTAGAGAGGCCTGCAGTATTTTCACTGTTGATAAAGGAGGTGAATAAGACTATACCACACATTGCTGATGTTCTGTAACCAATAAAAGTATTTCTTGTTCTGGTTCATTTTGATTCTAGTTGAGATTACCCTTTGATTTTTTTTTCTCTTTCTAATTAAAGCAGTTAGAATTAAAGCTCTCTGTCATTCAGCATTTGGCAACACAATAAAGACATTCTCTAAATTGCAACATTTAAACATTTATTGTTTTCAGCCAATTCTTCAGGTAATGATCAAACTTCAAGGACACAAATCATATTCTATAATTTAAAAAGTGCAATTCCAAATATTAGTTGCTGAAGCTTAAAAACTGAGTCTTACTAAAACTCAGTGAGACCGCATACGCAAACATGAGGTCTCACCCAGTTCCAACAGAACTTAAGGTAAGATGCTAGGAGCTTAAAGAGCAGTGCTTTCATTTGAAGCTTGGACAGAGTATACTGTGTCCAAAAACAAATCACCAATAAAAGGATTTTAAACATGGTAAAAAGCAAATGTTGGAGAGGTAATCAAAGTCATATGACAATTAGCAAATCTAGCTTTCCTAATTTAATATAAACCAGAACAAAAAGTGAACCCTCTGCTGCCTCCATTGCCCTTTCCGGCTCCTCAAACAAGCTATCTTAGAGAAAAGCCCACAACTTCCTTGGCTCTGTTTACTCCACACTGCTTCGCTACAACCTGGCTTGCCTCCCCACAATCTGAATCTGCTTGTCCCCATTTACAGGTGACTGAAATTGCTCCCGTGGACACCCTCCGCCCTTTTCTTGTTTGACCTCTGCATCATTTGAAAGTCTGATGGCTTTTTCTTTGAAACACTTGCCTCTCTTGGCTTCTTCAACAGCATTCTCTTCTGGTTTTCTTTATACTTATCTCACAGCTCCTTTTCTAGTTTCCCCTTGTCTCTGATTTAGGAGTAAGTCTTCTTGCAGGTTATGTCCCACATCCTCTTATCTTAAACACCCTGATCTCTAGAACTGTTGTCATTTCCAGGGTCTCAGCATCAGCATCTCCATGGGGATGACTTCCACAACCTAACATCCTGCTCTTGCCAACTGTCTTCCTGACAGTTTTACCTGAGTGTCCTTAAAGGCAACACACCTAATACTGAGATGATAATTTCCCCCTTCCCAGGCCAACCCTTCAAACCTGTTCTTCCCTCCTTGGTATTTCCTATTTCAGAGAAAAGAACCATTAACCTCTTGTCACCCTCTTCTCCCTACAGCCACTTTAGAGGCCCTGCAACCCCCGAGAGTTGATATTTAAAACATGCTGACAGCTTTCATTACATTCAATGAAAGCTGTGTTATGCAAACATACACCTTAAGAATCATGAACACTTGGACACAGGAAGGGGAACATCACACTCTGGGGACTGTTGTGGGGTGGGGGGAGGGGGGAGGGATAGCAGAGGGTGATATACCTAATGCTAGATGACGAGTTAGTGGGTGCAGCACACCAGCATGGCACATGTATACGTATGTAACTAACCTGCACAATGTGCACATGTACCCTAAAACTTAAAGTATAATAATTAAAAAAAACAAAGTAAAAAAAAAAAAGAATCATTACCATCTCCTCTTTTCTCTAACCATGCTGCCAGTAACTTATGCCCCTCATACGTTGCCTAAATTGCTCACACAGCATCTGCATTTGTCCATTTGCCTCCAATCACCTCTTTCCAATCCACCCTTCCAATATTGTCATAAAGGCTTTTTTTTTTTTGAGAGACAGAGTCTGGCTCTGTCACCCAGTCTGGAGCGCAGTGGTGCAATCTCAGCTCACTGCAAGCTCTGCCTCCCAGGTTCATGCCATTCTCCTGCCTCAGCCTCCCAAGTAGCTGGAACTACAGGCGCCCACCACCATGCCCGGCTAATTTTTTGTATCTTTAGTAGAGATGGGGTTTCACCATGTTAGCCAGGATGGTCTCGATCTCCTGACCTTGTGATCCACCTGCCTCAGCCTCCCAAAGTGCTGGGATTACAGGTGTGAGCCACTGCGCCTGGCCCATAAAGGCTCTTATACACAAGTGAGTCCATCACACTCCTGCTTAAAAGGCAATCACGGACATGACGAGATTTATCCCAAGGAAATAAGCAGATGTTAATACAAATTTACAAAGCTGTTTATCACAACATTATTTGTAATAGTAAAAAAAAAAAAAATGCAAGCAACTTAAAATTTAACCCATTATGAGATATTTAAGTATAATAAACTATAGTCACCTTTTGGGCTATTATATGTTGTCATTAGAAGTTAAGTTCTCAAAAAACTTTCAACAGCATAGCCTGGGAAATGCTGGCATACAATATTACACTAGAGAAAGCAGGATACAAACTATATTTTGTAATAAAATCATGCTTTTCTTATGAGCCTATGCATAGAAACATACTTGGTTAGAAATACACTAAAATTATACCAATATGCTAAATTATACTAATATACTAAAATTTTAACAGCAGTTATTTCTAGTTGATGATATTAAAGGTGATTTTTATTTCTTCCTTCATATTTTCTATATGTTCTAATTTTTAAAATTTTGTTCTAATATTCATTCTATAAACTGGGGAGGGGGACAGCCATTTTTAGGAATACTGGCTTCTCACTGAATTCAGGATATAATCTAAAATGCTTAGCATGGCAAACGTAGCCCCTTGTGACAAGTCCCTGTCTAATATGCCAACCTCACTTCTAGCCACTTCACACGCACCACGCATCTGGCATAGAACAGCTTTCAGTTCCTTAAACAGGCCATGTTCACTCATGTTCCAAGCTCCTCCTCCCTGGAGTGCTCTCCTGTCCTGGTCAATCTGGCCGCTCCTCAACTTTCAGGAAATCTTTACCTGGCCCCTGACTCCTGACCTCTTACCTTCATCTGCTGGTTAAGTACTCCTGGCCTGAACTACCAGAGTCCTTGTCACAATCATCTACTTGTCCATCTTCTCCATGAGTCTGAGAAGAACGTGAGAGCAGGAACTTTGCCTTATTGCTGTATTCTTGGTCAGTGACCGACCTATCATAGGTGCTCAACACACACTTCATGACTGGAATACTTTTTAAAGGCTTTAAATTTCTATTGCTTTGGAGTACGTATTATAATATTATATGTCTACTGCCACAGCTCTACTTCAGGCCATTGAGTTACATATCCCTAAACGTGTCCTTTATCATTTATAATCTTCCATTATCTACACCTTGGACAAGGTATAGGTAGAACCTGTACGTTTTGACTCAATGCTCAGAATTTTCTTATACTTAGAGCTGTCTGAAAATGGAATAGATGGTCTAGAGAAGTCTCTGTCACCAGAACTATTTATATACAGAGAAGCCAGTCATGGGATAGGGATACTAAAGAAAGGACCAAGAACCTTTCAAATTCTGCAATTCCAGGTAAACAATTCCCAGCTCCTAAGCGTAACTTTTAAGGCCCTCTCTCAGCTCAAGGCCAGATTCCTCCGGCCTCTCCTGTCTTCTGCAGGATTAAATTCTAGCCTTGTCAAACCAGACTATTACACGCCATTCCCAGAATCCTTTCTATAGTTACTAGCCACCGTGTTTCTGCTCAAACTGTTTTCACCACCTGGAATACCTTTTCCTCTCATTTACAAGGCAGCCTGTCAAAATCACCCCACCCTCCAAAGCCCAGATCAAATGCCACCTCCTAAAGTCACAGCATCATAGAAAGTGAGAGCCAGAAGAGTCCGTGGAGATCATCCAAACACCCTCCTCACTTTACAGATGAGCTCCCTCCCACCCCCGCCCCACCAAAAAACAATAAAGGCTGCAAGTTTAAGTGATTCAGCCAAGTTAGTGCTGGGATTATGATTCAAACCCAGTCATCAGCACTGAGTCCAAATTTCAACACATCAGAACCCTAGTTTCTATGTTGCCAAGTCCAGAACTAAACCATTTTGCTTATGCTTCTCACACAATGCTATTGTATCATCTTTGTATTGTGTTTACATGAATTTAAGAAGATAGCTGTATTGCAGAGGAAAGAGTCCTATATTTAAAGTTATTCTTGAATTAAAATCCAACCTCTGCCATTAACTACCTGTGTGAATTTGCACAAATTATTTACCTCTCTGAGCTTTGGTTTCTTCATCTCCTGGGTCTTAGCTCATATGGCATCTTCTCAAACTCTCTCTACCACCCTACCTAATGTCACCACCCACCCCCTCATATCACCATTTTCCATTGTTTCTATCACATTCTGAAATCATCTTATTTATGCAGCTGAATATTAGATAATTCAAAAAACAAAACTAAAAACAATAAAATAGAGGGTGAGAGGTGGGGGGGTCTAGTTTTATTCTTTTGTGTATGAATATCCAGTTTCCCCAACACCACTTTTTGAAGAGACTGTCCTTTCTCCAGTGACAACGGTTCTTGGCACCTTTGTCAAAATCAGTTGGCTGTAGATATGTGGATGAATTTCTGGCTTCTTTATTCTGTTCCATCGGTTTGTGTGTCTGTTTTGATGCCAGTACCATGCAGTTTGGGTTACAATAGCTTATAGTATGATGCCTCCAGCTTTGTACTTTTTGCTTAGAATTGCTTTGGCTATTTGGGGTCTTTTGTGGTTCCACACAGATTTTAGGATTGTTTTTCTATTTCTATGAAGAATGTCATTGGTATTTTGATACAGATTGCAGCAAAACTGTAGATTGCTTCCAAAAACCTCAATGTAAGGTCCAAGACTATAAAACTACTAGAAGAAAACATAGGGGAAATGCTTCAGGACATTGGTCTGGGAAAATATTTTATGAATAAGACCTCAAAAGCACAGGTAACATAAGCAAAAATAAATAGGATTATGTCCTATTTATAAATAAAACTTCCGCACAGCAAAGGAAACAACAGAGTTAAAAGACGGACAACCTATAGGAGAAAATATTTGCAAACTGCTTCTCTGACGGGATTAATGTCCAGAATATACAAGGAACTCAAACATCTCAACAGCAAAACAACAAACAATCCAATTAAAAAATGGTCAAATTATCTGAACAGATACTTCTCAAAAGAAGACATACAAATGGCCAACAAATCTATGAAAAAATGCTCAACCTCATGATTATCAGAGAAATGCAAATGAAAACTACAATGTAGTATCATCTCCTCCCAGTTAGAATGGCTATTGTAAAAAAGACCAAAAATAAATAAATAAATAACAACAAACACTGGCGAGAATGCAGAAAAAAGGCAATTCTTATACACTTTTGGTAGGACTGCAAACTAGTATAGCCACTATGGAGAACAGTATAGAGGTTCTTCAAAAAAACCACAAATAGAATAAACATATGATCCAGCAATCCCACTACTGGGCATTTATCCAAAGGAAAGGAAATTAGTATATCGAAGAGACATCTGCACCCACATCTTTACTACAGCACTATTCACAATAGCCAAGACATGGAATCAACACAGGTGTCCAACAACAGATGAATGGATAAGGAAAGCATGGCATATACACACAATGAAATATCATCCAGCCATAAAAAAGAATAAAATCCAATCATTGGCAGCAAGATGGATGAAACTAGAGGACACTATTATGTTAAGCGAAATAAGCCAGGAACGGAAAGTTAATCACTGCATGTTCTCATTCCTATGGAGAAGCAAAACAAAGTTGGGCTCCTAGAACTAAAAAGTAGAACAGAGGATACTAGAAGCTGGGAAGGATAGGGGAAGGGAGGGATAGAGAGAGATTTGTTAAAAGATACAAAATTATAGCTCAACAGAAGGAATAACTTCTAGTGTTCCATACCAGTGTAGGATGACTACAGTTAACTTTAATTACAAAAACAGATAGGAGACCAGATTTGGCCCACAGGCCTTAAGAGTGCCAACTCCTGGTTAATAGGAATAAGATGTAAAAGCCAAAATATCTTCATAAAAGAAGTTTCATAATGATATTATATTCTAAAAACATAACATCTCTTACACACAGCTGGTTTGGCAGACTGTAGCAAAATGGAAAAAGCCCACCATACAACCCAGCACCTCTTCTCCCAGCTACATCCCCTAGAGACTGTTTAGTCCATTATCTGTTTAGTCCACTATTTATGATGGGATTTTCCTCATCCGTAGTGAATATCCCCACAAATATCCCCCGTGTGCGGATATTCACTATGGATGAGGAAAATCCCATCATAAATAGTGGACTAAACAGATAATGGGGTATACTTATATGACAAAATGCTATTCAGCAGAAAAAAGAAATGGGTTAGAACTTAAGATATCTTAATGTGGACAAAAATCAAGCAGTTTTATTTTTTCCCCCTATCTAAAAGGATTATTCATTCAGTAAACATTAATCATTCATTCAGTAAACATTAACAAATATGAAATCCTTGCCATATGCTAGGCATCAGGACACAGAGTTCATTAAGACTGAACCCACCTGTCACATAAAAGATAATCAGTAATTTTTTATTCTCACAAAAAGTGGCAAATGATTGTTATTCTTAAAGGCAATTCATAAAAATGAGAGCAAATTATACTTAGAACCCCAGTAGTCAGAAAGATAAGATGAACACATAAGGCTGAGATCAACTGCATATACAAGTCACCAAAATCAAGTAGTTTTCAGCGAATAAGTACACTATATCTGTTCTAAAATCTGATATGATATAATTAAATCCAAAAATGCACACAAAACAATACAATATATAGTTTATGGGCTATATTACAGAAATGTCAGAAAAGAAAATGAGGGCCAGGTGTAGTGGCTCACACCTGTAATCCCAGCACTTTGGGAGGCCAAGGCAGGCAGATAATTTGAGGTCAGGAGTTTGAGACCAGCCTGGCCAACATGATGAAACCCCATCTCTACTAAAAATACAAAAATTGGCTGGATGTGATGGCTCACACCTGTAATCCCAGCTACTTGGGAGGCTGAGGCAGGAGAATCGCTTAAACCCAGGAGACAGAGGCTGCAGTGAGCCAAGACTGCGTCATTGCACTCCAGCCTGGGCAATAGAGCAAGACTCCATCTTGGAAAGAAAAAAAAAAAAAAAAAAAAGAAAGAAAGAAAACAAACTGAAAAAACAGACTCACTGGTGCCTCAGGGAAGGTGAATAGTGTGAGTGGTGGTCAGATGAGGGCCACAGCTTTATCTATATTATTTTATTTCTTGTAAGAAAAGAAGGTGAAAAAAGAACAAAAAAATAAATAAAAGAAAAGAAGGTGAAGGGAAAAAATGCAAAAATTTTAACTAATTAATTTGTTACTATGTATTATTACTTATTTTAAATTCTAAGCAGTGCAACTATGATTTTTACACAATATTCTGCATACATTTTTATATTTTAAAAGTTTCTTCCTCAAAAATAGGGTGTTTGTGACATGTACTTTTCATATGTAATTCTTCAAGTCATAAAGAGTTGAATTTTCATCAGACCTTGATTTGTTTTCTTATTTTCTAAATGCCTTTTGAGGCAAAATTATTTCTTCCCTTCAGGGGTTTGGCTCTGTAGCTATTTATGGTGGTGTTGGCATTTAAAAAAAAAAAAACAACAGTGTCCTTGATTGAACAATATTTAGATAATTTTCCCCTAAAATAATTTGATCTAATAGATTTTAATACTCTGTACTTGAATTCTATAATAATATCAAGATAATAACTGCTAATCCCACATGAACC
Source organism: Homo sapiens (assembly GCF_000001405.40). Classification (NCBI taxonomy): domain Eukaryota; kingdom Metazoa; phylum Chordata; class Mammalia; order Primates; family Hominidae; genus Homo; species Homo sapiens. The sequence goes on along the minus strand of NC_000007.14, from coordinate 117,160,970 downwards.
ACAGCTGGAGTCCCACTTCTTAATTCTCCATGAGTTTTAGAGAGTAGGTTCACTGACAGATATGGTGTAAGGAACTTTAAGAATTACTATTTTATCCTGAAGAATGCCTCAGAGTTACATTAACTATAAGGTAAGTCCCTTCCCTGTCTAACCCTTAGTGTTGGGGTTGGGATTAGGCTAGATAAGACTACCTAATAAAATTTTGGGGTCACAAAAATTCCTTCTTGCTTCTTCTCTAAAACCACATCCATGACTCTCTGGCACATTGTTTTCAAAATAAAAGAGAATAAATACATATATGTATATATATATATATACACACACACACAAGTATATGTATGTGTATATGTAATATATACATATGCACAAACTCATATTTGTGAGGGATGTGTATATGGATGGATGGATGGGAGACAGAGAGAGAGAGATGAAAGGGATTGTCACGGGAGAGAGGGCACATTATAGAAGTCAAGAGCAGCACCACTTTTGCAATCAGATAGATCTGGGTTGATACCCAGGGAAAGTGAAGTTTCTTAGCACCAGGTGAGCTCATTTTCCTCATCAGTAAGACGGGGATAACACCTAGCTCCCACTACATGTAGAGATCCCACACAGACACATAGGGAGTCATTATCCATAAATAATGTTGACACAGATATAGTACATTTTCAAAGGGCTATTTGATTTGCTACATGTGAATAGTTTTGTTTTCTTTCTTTCTTTCTTTTTTTTTTTTTTGAGACACAGTTTCACTCTGTTGGTCAGGCTGGAGTGCAGTGGGGCAATCTTGGCTCACTGCAACCTCCGCCTCCTGGGTTCAAGTGATACTCCTGCCTCAGTCTCCAGAGTAGCTGGGATTACAGCTACTCTGGAGGCTGAAGAATTAAATTAAATTAAAATTAGCCACACACCCGGCTAATTTTTGTATTATTAGGGAGACAGGGTTTCACCATGTTGGCCAGGATGGTCTCGAACTCCTGATCTCAGGTGATCCACCCGCCTCAGTCTCCCAAAGTGCTGGGATTACAGGCATGAGCTACCGCGCCTGGCTTGCTTTTTTGTTTGTTTTGTTTTTTGAGACGGAGTTTCTTGCTCTGTCGCCCAGGCTGGAGTGCAGTGGCATGATCTCGGCTCACTGCAACCTCCGCCTTCTGGGTTCCAGCAATTCTCCTGCCTCAGCTTCCCAAGTAGCTGGGACTACAGGTGTGTGTCACCATGCCTGGCTATGCTATATGTGAATAGTTTTCATTTTTTAGTTGCACAATAGAACATAACTCGATTTATTTATTTTAAAATAATGTACCAAATAAATACTTGGTAACATAATTAGCCTTTCTATTACAAAAAGACCACAGTCCCCATATCAAGCTTTGAATGAAAGCATATGATAAAGGCCTGTTTTCTATCAGCTAAGTCATTCTAAATAAATCTTTAAACATGCTCACTATCTAGCATAGTTCTGTTTATTTATTGCCCGCTATCTTCTCCACACTGGTAATTGCTTTCTCCTGGCAGCAAGAAATTTATATGCCCTGTTTTGCCCAAATATTACAGCTCAAATAGAGTGAAAACGCTAACTCTCCTGTGAGTCCTCTAATACCTATGGGGAAGAACATGGGATGGGCCAAGGATAGAATTTCAGTTTCAATTTTACATCATCTGGCTATTGTCAGTTCAAGTTTATTTCAATGGAAGAATCTGAGGCACTTCTGAGGTTAACATTTATGAGCTCAAATGGGAAAAAAAGGCAGAGTTAATTCACTGGATTTGAAATACTCTATGGACATAATTTAGAACTACGGTCTGTATGCTTTTTCTCAGCTGACTTACAGGATGAAAACAACAGTTTAAACCTTTCAAGTTTGATTTGTATCTATTTAAGCATTTTATTAGTTCAGCTATGCATGTATTGTTCCTTGAGTGAGAAAGGCAATGGGAAAATTCTTACATACTTTAAGGCAGAGGTAACTAAAAGAGATCCTCAGCCAGCCAGATTCCTACTGAGGTCAATACAAGCTTGGGCTAATTAAAGTTTATAGAATTTGGCCTGTATCATATTCAAAGAGCAGATACTATTTTGTTATAGTTGCAAGTTTGACATTATTTAATTATAGTTTCAAATAAAGGCATAAATAGAAAATAGAAAAGACACTGTATAATGCATGGTTATTATTTTGCCAGTAATTTTTACTGACACTAAGGGCCATGAACAGAAGAATGAATTGTTTACCAGAGTCCTCAGAGGCCCACGAGAGTTCCATTTATACAGATCAGTATAAAATGCAGTACTGAGTCCTGAGAGGCCTAAACATACACTAGTAGAAAATGTCATTTTTCACAACTAATCTAAATATTAAGCTGCATCCATTGAAAAGTAATATGGTCAATATATGATCCGCATGTTCACTAGTTCACCAGTTAACAAGTTCTTCACTGAACTGAGCGCATTAAGTAAATGCATCCATCATTGAGAACTAAAGAGAAGTAACAGTTGCAGGCATGCTGATGATCTTCCAATGAGAGTTTTGTATCTCCCAAAGACTCAAAGGGCTGGAAGGTTATCTAAATAATTATCTACTTTTCCTGTCAAAACTGTGATCCGTTTAGTCCAAAGAGGAAGCTTTTCCTTAAAAATTAAAATGAATGAGACAAGCTTTGCATTTATGCACAGCCCAACAAAAATGTTTTCAGTGTAAAACTTCCTTTTCCGTTTGTTTCTCAATCAGATAAAAACAACAAGCAAATCTGGTCAAAACTTGGAAATCTTCAAAGATTGTCCTCCACTTCTACCTGCCTCAGTGACAATTCTTTACCTAACTTTAAGACATCTAAGAACTTTCCAAAATCAAAGGTCTGACAGCACCACTGTTTTATCTATGTTATTAGGGAGGAAATTTCTGTACTCTAAACTCTATGGCAAACTGCAGTTTCACAAACCCCAGAGTGAGGTTGTTGGGGAGGAGGGCAGGAAAGAAGCTGGTCTCATGCTGTCTTGGGGAAAAGAACGATTTATAACCTCCTCAAAACTGATGGGTAACTCTGAGTAAAACATTTCTTTCTCATCTTAAACAGCTTAAAACAGGGCTGTGTCCTAGCCCGGAGATCATGAACAAACCCGAGCAATTTGATGCATATTTTGAATGGCTTGGAAGCAGGCCCACAGACAGAGGGCGATAAGCATTCCTCCCCCTCTGTGATGACATGGCACTGCTCTCCTGTGCCAAGAGTGGCCTCAACAAGCAGCTAACCACACTGGCCAACAATTACTGTCAGAAAGGACTTTTTATGCCAAAACCACTATCATTGTGTTTGGCAGGCATCCTTCCACATTCACATGGGTAATAGTAAATAATTCTATTCAGTAGATTAATGCATATGGTTATCTGGGGCACAGTTAACAAATATTCATGCTGGCAGGCATCTCATGACAGGGTCATGCTGAAAGTTAACTATTATAGAAGATTCTTCTATGGCAATAGGCAGAAGGTTGGTACTCCAACCTCTGACATTCATCTACACACTGCTCTTCACTTTGCCTTCTAACATTCTCTTTGCTCCCCAAGTCTTTCCACTGAACCCTCCTGGAATCTGAGTCCATGAAACACACATTCCCCAACACGTCCACATGCTATTTACAGAAACCAGCCTGAGTTCACTGCTTCTTTTGCAGCTGTTGAGTTACCCCAAAAAACTTTTGTCTATGAGGCAGGATGTAGGGCTGGCTTCTCCTCGTTGCCCAAAGTGCATCCAGATCATTAATGCTCAGCCCTTGGGCAGCAGTTCTTGCCCCTCAGAAGCTCATGCCATCATGTTTCCAGCACCTGCCAGCATTCTCTTACCATGTATTCTACCAAGTAACAGACCCGCATACACTGAAGATTTTGGTATCTGGCTACATATTCTTACTCTTGACCTTAAGCCTTACCCTCCACAAAGATAATTTCAGTCTATGTGAACATCCCATCTGGTAACCTAGACTCTTAGTGTTTTACCTTCTCAAAATAAGAAGACTCCATAGTCAAATTCCAGACCTTGACGTTATCTAGATATGTTCCTTTAAAATTCAACTGTGCAATGCTCTGACCATAACATACTGCTCTCCGGTTATCTCACACCATTACTCCCACTAAACTTCCTCTGTAATTTCACTGAGACCACCAGTGCCTTGTCCTCTCTACTTTTTTGTTCTTATCTTTCTTGGGCCACTCTCATTTCTGTAAAAATTCTTTTTTCTTTAAGCCCCCATGTTAACACACTTTCCTGGTTTTACTCTTGCCTTTCCAGCTGCTCCTGCTCAGAAGCCACTGGATGCTTCTCCTCTGTCAATGTTGGAGACCACTGGGACTCACTTCTTAATCTTCCCTCTTCTCTATCTCTCCACATACATGATCCTATTCAACATCATGGCTTTAAATCCTGTATATGTTGATAACTCCCAAACTCCTCACCTCTGAGTTCCAGGCCTCCATCCAATTTCCTTCCTGCAATACCTACCTGGAGCTATAATAGGTATCTGAAACTCTACATGACACAAGCACAATGCCCACTGTACCATTTAAAACCCGTCCCTCTCCTAGTCATCCTTCTTTCAGTAAATGGTATGACCACCACCAAGTTGATTAGGCTAAAAAGCTGTGCACTTTTAACTTTCCTTGATTATACCATTTCTTTTTTTCCACAGCCAATCTATTCGATTCATTTTACAAATAGTTACTGAGTAGTTACTGTGTATCAGGCACTATTGTACTGGGATACAGTAATAGGCATAAAAAATTCTTGTCCTCATGAAAATAGCATTCTGGGGAAAGGAAAAATGGAAAATAAGCAAATAAATAAAATCCATAGACTGTCAGATCATGATAAATTTTGAGGAGAATAAGTAAAGCAGGGAAATGGGTTCGTGAATGTTGGTACAGCACAGGCAGATGTGATTTTTAAATATAGCAATCAGGGAAGGTAGGATTGCAAGGTGACACATAAACAGAAACTGGTAACAGAGCAAGTCATGAGAATGTCTGGAAGAGAAGCATGCTGGGGAAAGCTTCCAGCAGTGTAAAGTTTCTGAGGTGGGAATGAGTGGTGTATTCAACAAATGCAAGAAGGCCAGCATGGCTGGAGCATAGTGAACACAGCAGCTGGGCTGTGGACAGCCTTGTAGGCCACTTTTAGAGTTTAAACTCTGAGTGAGATGAGAGGTCCCTGGAGAGTTGGAAGTCAAATGTAACATTATCTTACATATGCTTTCAATGGCTTCATTCTCTGCTATGTGGAGATAGAATTAAGAGTAGAAGCAGAAAGACCAGTTAAAAGGGAAGGCTGTTAGTATACTCCAAGTGAGAGATGATGGTTTAAACCAAGGGGAGGCCTATGAACCAAGGGTAGGGCGTTGAGATACATATGTCCAAATATATCTCAAATCCAACCACTTCTTCACTGCCACTCCCAAATCCAAACCCTCTTCAGCTCTTGCTTGGTATACTATCACGACCTCTTGACTGGCCTCCTGCCTCCATTCCTGCTCTCCATTCTTGACAATGTAGCTTAGTAAGATCTCATCCCTCCTCTGTTGTATACATTTCAAAAGCTTCCCATTGTACTTACAATGAAATCTAAATGCCTTACACAACTACAAAGCCCTAAATGACATGGCTGCTCCCTGCCTTTTCAAATTCATCTCATTCTGACCTTCCCTTTAGTCACCTTAGCCTCCTTTCCATTCTTGCTAAACTCTTCCCAGCTTCAGGACCTGTGCATTAGTTCTTCCTCTGACCAGATCTTCATGTGGCTGGCTCCCTCTCACCCTTTAGATCTCAGCAAAAATATGACCTCTTAGAGAGGCCCTTCCTGAGCACTTATCTAAATTAGGCCCTCCTGTTACCTACCATGACAGCCTGTTTAGTTTCTTTATAGCACCTATCATTATCTTTAACTGCCTTTATCATTCATGTCTCCCCTCCCCATGCTGGTAGGGATGTTGTCTGTCCTGGTGTGAGGCATTCTATAGATGCTTGCTTTTAAAAAAGAATGAATCCATCATCCCTTCTTACACTCCCTCCCCTTCCTCCCTTCTCCAACCTAGAGCCCACGGCCCATCACCTTTCCATTTCCTTGCCAATTCCTCAAGTTCCTGACTTCCTCACATCTTTTCATTCCACTCACATAGCAACACCCTCACCCTAGATCAACCCAGATGTCTATCATTTCTGCTCCAACATTCAGGCCAAAGGGCACAACTATGAGGTATAGAGGAACAACTAAAGTATATTGATCTCTGACCTCTATCAAGCCAAAACTACCCAGTAAACCTCCAGGATTTACCTCTCTGCTGACTTCTTTCCTGCAAATTCCACCACTCCCTTAATACTCTTAACTCACCTCCTTTCAGTTAACTCCCAGCAGATGACCCTGTCTTCTATCTAATCAAGTAAACAAAAGTCAGCAGGCAGGAACCCTGTCACTCTGCACCTCTACCATATCCCTCCTCTGCAGGCCCCACCTGCATCCAGATCCATCTTCCTAGCCCTGTCAGCCACACAGGGAATCCTCTTTGTCTTAGTCTGCTCAGTCTGCTATCACAGAATGTCACAGACTGTGCATCTTAAACAACAGAAATCTATTTCTCACAGTTCTGGAGGCTGGGAGGTCCAAGATCCAGGTCCTGGCAGATTTGGCTTCCGGTGAGGGCCCTCTTCCTGGTTTGCAGAGGAGCACCTTCTTGCTGTATCCTTACATGGCACAAACAGATCCTCTCCTGTCTTTTCTTATAAGGGCACTGGTCTTATCTGTAAGGGCTCTACCCTCATGACCTAATTAGCTCCCAAACGGCACCGTCTTTAGATGCCATCACAGTGGGGAGAGGAGCTTTGGCATATGAATTTGGGGAGAATACAAACATTCATTCCGTAGTACTCCTTTAGTTAATCCTCCCCTCCTATGCTCTGTAATTCATCACGCTGCACTCCTCAGGACTTCATTCTATCAGTGATCCCCTCTCTTTCATATGCATGTTTAATTTCTCCCTTGCTTTTCAGTATTTTCCCATCCACACTGGCACATGCTCAGGTCTTCTACTGCTTACAGGTTCCCTTCTAGGTATCATCACCTCTCTTTTCCTTTTCCATCTAAGCTTATTGCAAGAGTTCTACTACTCCAGTAGACATCTTACCTCACATTCGGGAGATAACACAATTGAATCTATTTTATACACTTTACATTCTACTGATCTTGCTTTTGCCAAATTGCCAACCACCTCTTTGAAGTAAAAGGTAACAAATAGTTTTCTCCACAACAAATATTTACTGAGTAATTGTGTGACAAGTACTGGACTAAGAATTGCTCAGATCATATATACATTTTTCTCTGTAGCATTTAATACTGTTGACCATTTCCTCCCTCTAAGATGTTCTGTTGCTATGGATTTCATGACACAACAGTGTCCTAAACTTTTTTCCTACTTCTCTGGCCACTTCTTTTAAGTATCCTTTGACTGATTGATCCTGCACTTCTCCCTCCTCTTCTTTTTTACTCTACTCACTTTTTCCTCCATAATCTCATCTTCACTCACTATCTAAATCACCTCCCATGCTGATCCTTCCCAGAACTTCCTCTAGCCCATATCTCTCTCATAAGCTCAGGGTCTGTATATCCCACTGTCTTCTAAATATTTCCATTTGGATGACCCATAGGTTTAGCAGATCTAAAGCTGAAATCATTCCTCCTGCCCACCCATCCATAAACCAGCTACTTAGACTACAATCTCAGTCCCCATGATGATGATGTTTTCTGCCCAGTTTCCCAGGCAAGAAATCCAGACGTTATCTATGACTTATCTTTCTTAGTCTCTTCCTCATACAACACCAACCACCCTGAAAATAAAAGCAAGCAAAAACTTACCTAGTCTCCAACTTCTCTCAACTCTACCTCTTAAATCTCACAAATTGAACCCACAATCCACTTGGGGTTATTCTACCGGGACCCACTAAATTAAACCCAGAACATTTGAACTGTGTCTCTCCATTACCGAAAAATAGAAGGCAAGGTTGAAACAGGAAACTATACAAGACAGGAGTGAGCATTTCCCTCTCTCTCTCTCTGAGACAGACATGTGTTGTACTCTGAAGCAGCAGCATAAAATGACCTTTGACTCTTCAGCAAAAGATCTAAAAAAATTATCTCCCTAAAATCAGTGATGTATGAGAACACCAGATGGAGTTATTTATTAATGCATAAACTCTGGATCCACTTGTGAAGGCTCTATACAGCCCATATCACAGCAGTAAAAGGACTCAGGCAAAAGACTTACAAATGTAGATGGAAGACTGAACAAACCTAGCTACTCCTCTCCCCTGCAACAAAACCTATTGAAATTATTAGAAAATGGTGTCGAAGGAGAGAAATCTATACCTGTAATGAAAACAGGAAAGCAGGTGGGAGGAATGGCTGGCAGAGTCAAGAGATTTTAACAATTTCCTCCAAGATAAACTGTTAAGTGGGACATGATTAAGCCACAGCAGAGGAAGCTATAGCTGTTCTGAGAAGAGCCTCACAGAGGTTCCAAATTTGGAGTTGGCAGAGACAGAAAGCAGGAGTGGGTTGTGGGACAGTAGCCTTATGTAATTAAACACTTGACTTCAGAGCAGCTGGGCTGAGCAACACTTCTCATTGCCCCAAGTTTAATGGAAATAAAATGACTGCCTGCTCTATAATCAGAGAGGTGTTCACTAAAGAAACTAAAGATTTGTTCATGGTATATATATATATATATATATATATATATATATATATATATATATAGTTTTTATATATATAATACATATATTTTATATATATATAAATTATTATTATTTTTTTTTGAGATGGTGTCTCACTCTGTCACCCAGGCTGGAGTGCAATGGCATGATCTCGGCTCACTGCAACCTCTGCCTCCCCGGTTCAAGCGATTCTCCTGCCTCAGCCTCCCAAGTAGCTGGAACTACAGGCATGTGCCACCACACCGGCTAATTTTTGTATTTTTAGTAGAGACAGGGTTTCCCCATGTTGGCCAGACTGGTCTCAAATGCCTGACCTCAAGTGATCCACCTGCCTCAGCCTCCCTAAGTGCTGAGATTATAGGCGTGAGCCACCATGCCCAGCCTGAGGTCATAAATTCTTAGTCAAGTCCTCTTATCTTGAGTTTTACGAGGATTTGGGGTGGAAAGTGTACCCCTCTACTCCCCATACAGGCATTCAGCCATCCATCCATTCATTCCACAAAAATTAATTGAGTGCCTATCTATCAAGTGCCATGGAAGATGAAGTTCCTGCCTTTGTAGAATTTATTTTGTAATGGAGGTGGGGAATACAGACAATAAATAAGTAAATAAACAAATAAGTAATTTCAAAAGTGAAGGGGCAATTAAAAAATAAGAAAAATAGATAAGAAAAAAATAGTGTGTGTGTGCACATGAGTGTTTGTGCATAGTGCTCCTTCAACTGGGTATCATGGAAGGTCCACTCTAAAGTGCTATTCCAGCTCAGCCTAAATGACAAGAAGGAGCCAACCAAGTGAGGATCTGGATCAGTCTATTCCTGTGCAAAGGTCCTAAGAAAGGATCAAGCAAGCTTGGCACACTCAAAAAGAAATCCAGTGTGAGTCCAGCCTAGTGAGTTAGAAAAAGAGTAGCATAAGCTGAGTTCAGAAGAGTAGGCAGGGACAAGATCATGTGAGGCCTCGCAGACCACATACAGAGTTTGCATTCTATTCTAAAGGCAATGGTAAATCACTGAAGGCTTTTCAGCAGAAAAGTGACAAATGCTGATCTGAGTTTTAAAAAAGTAGTTTGAGTTACTTTCATCAGAATGGACTCTATACAGGCGACAGTGGAAGTCTGGAGACCGACTGCATAGCTGAGATGAAAGACAGTGGTAACCTGAATGAGGATTTCAGCAGTGCTGTTGGAAGAAGTGACTAGACTGTGTACATGCTTTGGCAGTAAAGCCAATGAGGACTTGCACATATTAATTGAATGTGAAAGGTGAGGCAAAGAGAGGAATCAAGGATAACTCCTAGGTTTTTCACGTGAGCAACTAAGTAGATGTAATGTGACTTACCAAGATAGCCAAGATAGTGAAGAAACAGATTTGGCATAAATGATTGGAAAGTTCAATTTTTTTGACATATTGAGTTTGAGGTACTTATTAGATACCTAAGTAATGATGTCAGGTAGGCAAATGAATATAAATCTGGAGTTCAACAGAGAAGAGGGAAATACAACTATAGGAGTCATTACCTTACAGCCTGTATTTAGAATTGATGGCCAAGTGAGACGGCTGGAAAGGGAGTGTCACAGGGAAGAATGGAGGCCCAGGCAGAGGCTGCAGCCCTCCAGCACTGAGAAGCTGCAGGCAGGAAGAGCCAGGGAAAAGATGGAGAAGGAGCAGATGGAGAGGCAGAAGAGAAATTACACAAGTGAGAGACCCAGACAGCAGGAAAGAGTGTTCCAGGAGGGAAGTAACTGAAAAGAGGTTACAACTGAAATGCCAAACTGGCCACCTGAAGAGCTTAAAAAAGCTAAAACCAGAAACAGAAGAGTCAAGAGAAGATGGAACACTATGAAGAATTTTTAGGCAATGTAAAGCTTATGGAATATGGGTAACTGCATGAAAAGAGTGGACAACATTACCTCCTAAAATACTTTCAGGGAGAGATTCAAACAAAAAGGAAACAGAATCCCTGAGGACCTCAGCACTTGAAGGCATGAGGCACAGAAGAAGCCAGAGAACAAGACTGGGTTTAAGTCTATACCCATAGTGACTAGACACTCCAGTTTCTCCTTCCCACCTCAGACAACCACGAAACCAGGGATATCAGGCAGAGTGAGGGACTGAGCGAGGCCTGGTGCTAACAACAGAATAATTAAGGTGACAGTCTGGATAATGAACGACACAGCTCTGTCTCCCAACCTGATCCCAGAAACACTGGCAGTCAGGTGTATAGTCCACAAGGAAAAGACCTGACGATCTTTCCATGGAGGAAATGAACCACCACAGAAAAAAAGATCCAGGTACTGACATTTGAGGGCAGTGTGTGATTAAATGATAAGCCAGTTGCCCGGGCAACCACAAGTAAACCCTATCAGGCAATCATCCCTAGATAGAAACATACAGCCTCCAAAAGCTTTTTGGTGCTTGGTTTTAAATGTTAACATTTAGCCAAGGATAACTAGACTTCTGAAGTAAGTTCCTCCAATTAAAAAAAGAAAAAGGAGGAAAGACACAGTAAAAGAAGCAGAACCAAGTTTTAAGAAAAACAAAAAAACCACAGCTATCCATCCAAATTAGAATAAAATGTCAATGGGCTCAAAAAACAATGCCTTCAAAAAAAAAAAAAAAAAAAAAAAGGTAGGACACGGACAGTCAAGGTGATAAAATGAAATACTTGCATATAGCAAAAATTGGAGGGTGAGAATACCTCTACACACCTAAATGCCAGAGGAGCCCATCAGAGTAGGAGCAGAGAGCATCTCTCCAATGAAAACTTGAGAAGGGCCCCTCCTGACCCTCCATGGAACAATAAGAAATCATGAATCAAGAGTGGAAAATGGGACAGTGATACATTAAGCTGTAAGGACAGCCCACCTGATTTAAAGAAATGGGTGTTTAGGGGTAGGAAGGTCGGTGGTAACTATCTTTACTCTGTTTAGGCAGTAATGATTTTACTGGTGAAAGAGTAAAGATGTCCTACTAGAGCCTAAGCTTGTATTTAAATGGCTCAGTGGGAGGTCCCAGAAAGCAGGTTTGTGTACCTGAGGATTCTTGAGTCACAAAGGTAACTTCCCCAGGCCCAAGGAGAGGGCAAAGGCTAACCAGGGTATCTGCTCTTAACAAGCAGTAGAGATAGCGGTCCAGGAAGAAGGATATGATCAACGCTTTTGCATTGATTATTTAAAAGGGAAACCCAGGAGACCCAATTCATTGTCCTCCCTGGTCATCGCATGCATTGCTGGCTTTGCCTGTTTTCTGGTTTCTGTTCCTGGTGGCCCAGGTCTGAAATAAGTCTGTTTCCAGTGATCACCTCTCTGCTTACCCTAGAAATCAACAACTTCACTGGCTTCTGCTCACAGAAGCAACCCTGCCAGCCCAGCAGAAACTCAGACATCAGTGCTCCCCACACATCTCACAGAAGGAAAAGCTGTTCACAAATGTCCATGGTTGCCTCCTGATTTAGGGTGGGAAGCAGGGCACCATATGCTAAATTAATTCTATCATTTGGGAATAATTTATAGATATTGACATAGTGATAGGCTTAGTAACTGATCAAGAACCATAAATATAAGTATGGATCTTAGTGAGTTGGGAATATCAGAAGAATAAAACAGAAATTTAAAATGTTGAATCAGTGGAAGATATTTTCAATGGGAGAGAAAGTACGACATAGAAAACATGAAAGACAGCACACACGCTCAAAAAAAGCAGTAATTATTCTGTTACTCTCTATAAACACGAATGGGATAAACATAGCAATCAAAAGTATAAAACCCTCAGATTTGAATAAAGACAATATTCATCAAAAATTTTACAGATCCAAATGATCCATCAAAAACTTATAGGAAGCTTGATTATAAAATTTAGACAACAATAAACCAGTTAAATATGAATCACAATAAGTTAGAGTAGGTATTCTTAACATATGTTAAAAAATTCAAGGAAGATAAATATAAGAGACATTATATACTCATAATAACATATCAGTAAGTCATAATAATCACCAACATAAACGCACCCAACAACAAAACCTCAAAATATATAAAGGAACAAATAACTGAGCATGCAAAAAACAGATTAATAAACAGTTGGAGGTGAATATTCTATCACATTCTTCTTAGAAACTGATAGAGCAAAGAGACAAAATAAGCTGATATATGAGATTTGAATAATATGGTTTATAAGCTCAAACTAGTAAATACATACAAATCTTTATACCCAACAGGGATTATATTCCCTTCAAACACAGATATAACATTTATTAAACCTGACCATATGCTAGGCCTCAGGGGAAGTGACCATAAATTCTCCCCAAATCAATATCATATGATGTATGCTTTCTAAGCATAATGTAAAGAAAAAAATCAATCAATGACGAGGGGTAAAACATACTATACAGGGTAAAATGAAATTTAAAAGAAATTTAAAAATGCTTAGGATCAAATGGTAAAAAGGCAACAAACACAGAGGATAGAGGGGGAGAAGGATGAGGAGGAGAAGAAACAATAATACAAATATGGAAAGAAAAAACAGAATAAAAACAAAAAAGTTGAGGAAATAAACTAAACCTAATTGTTTTTAAAAGACTGGCAAAATAGACAACCTCTGCCAAGACTAATCAGGCAAAATAAGAGTAAAAACTAGCCAAATAAAATACAAAATGAAAAGGAAGAAAAAAACTACATAGTATTTTTAAATTATGAAATAACATCATGAAAAGCTATATGTAATAAATTTTTAAAATATATAAATATGTATATTAAATATAGACGTGCTTGAAGCAGAGCCTAGTACTGAGATACATGGGCATAGTCAGGTATTGCTCGTAAGAATTTAATCATAGGCAGCCATTCTGAAGAGTGAAATTGCAGGACTCACTGGAATCTAGCACGTATATAATCCCACAGCCTAATGAATGTTTCTCACATGTCTACAAGGATGTTCATTGCAGCACTGCTGGGATAACAGGAAGTTGGAAGAAACCTGGAGTTCCTTCACTAGAGGAAAGGTTAAGTAAAATAGAGTAAGAACACAACATGGAATATGATGCAGCAGTTAGAAACTGCAAACTAGATGCAAGAGGTACATAGAGCAAAAATGGACAGATTGAAAAACAGTGTTGAGTAAAACAGGGAAGAAGCAGAGATCTATAGACATATAAATTAAACACACAAGACACTACATTCTGTATTCTGCAAAGACTGTTATAGTCACAGTTTCTCTGAAATCAATTAGATTTTATCTTCCTGAAGTTCCTCACCAACTATATTTTAAGAGGGATCTAATCAAATCCCCCAAAATGTCCCAACAAAGTATACATTTGTCATAGTCCACAAAAAGATCAAGAAGTCACTACTTAAGATAACAATGAATAGGTGCTCTCTCAAATGTAACATGTTCAAAACTGAACTCGTAATTTTCTCTCAAAAAACCTCTCTCACCCCAGACTTCCACATCTTAGCTGACACAAACTCCTTCCCTTTCAAGGCAAATATTTAGAATCAGCCCTGACTTCTCTTTTTTCTTGTACTGCATATCTGATTAATTAGCAAATTCTGCTAGTCCTGCCTTCAAAATATATCTAGAATCTGATCACTTCACACCACCTTCTCTGCTACCACTCTGGCCTGAGCTGCCATTGTGGCTTGCCAAGATTAATACAAGAGCCTGCTGACCGACTCCTCCGCTTCTCTGCTGCTACACAGCAGCCTGTAAAAATTAAGACTGGTCATGTCACTCCTCTGTTCAAAACCTTGCAAAGCTCTCCATTTCACCCAGAGTAAAAGCTGAAATCCTTACTGTGATCAATAAGCCCTGTATGATCTTTAAGCTCCCTCCCTTCTCTCCCCTGGGCTTATTCTGTTCTATCCACCCAAGATTCCTTTGCTGTTGCTTGAACACTCCAGACATACTGCTGCCTCAGGGCCTTTGAAAATACATCACATGACTAACTTTGGCATCTCCTTCAGTCTTCAGTCACATATGCCTTTACAGTGCGATGGCACTGTAGAAGTGTAGGTGATATCACAACTTCCTCAATTCTTTGACTTGTCACAATGAGCATAAATTACTTTTGTAATTTTATAGGACACTCATGGTATGTGTGAGTTAAATGACACAGTATTTGTAAATTTCTTAGCAGAATGTATGGCACATGTAATACTCACTCTGTAGGTTATTGATAAAAACTAAAAACCCTGTAGTTCTCAGCTGGGAATCCTGTAGATGATGATGAAAATGCAGAAAGGACACAAGGAGCTCCCTCTGACTATTTTTTTAAAGGAGCCAAATGTAAGAACACAGAGGGTTAGTTAGCAGCTATCATCTTTACAGGCTAGGCTGAGAGTGGGTTTAACATGGTCAAAGGCATACAAAACATGTTTTTAGCTGACCTGATATAGCAGTGAAGTTTTAGAAGAATGTAAATTTATACAGGGTATCTGTATTTTGCTTTTATATATGACCTGCTATTGTGGGTTAAATTATGTCCCCCAGAAAGACATGTTGAGATCCTAACCCTCAGTACCTATGAATGTGACCCTATCAGAAATAGTGTTTCTGCAGAAACAATCAACTTAAGATGAGGTCATAAATACAATATGACTTATATCCTTATGACAGGAGGGAAATCTATACACAGAAACACACACACACAGGGAGAAAGCCATGTGAAGACAGGCAGAGACTGGGGTAATGCAGCTACAAGGGAATGTCAGAGATTGCTAGCAAACACCAGAAGCTGGAAGAGGCAATTAAGGATTGCTCCCTAGAGCTTTTAGAGGGAGGACGGCTCTGCCACCTGCCTTGTTCTTGGACTCCTAGCCTCCAGAATTGTGAGAGAATAAATTTCTGTTGTTTAAACTATCTAGTTTGGGGCATTTTGTTATCACAGTTCCAGGAAACTAATATGCCTGGGAATAAACTAGTCACAGGTCTGGTTTTACGCTAAAATTCTAGGTGGATGAAGTTTTTCTTCACCACATCCATATTTCCCTGTGTCTACCCCATTTTCTACTTTTTTTTTGAGATGGGGTCTCATTCTGTTGCCCAGGCTGGAATGCAGTAGCACAATCATGGCTCACTGCAGCCTTAACTTCAGGCCCAAGAGATCTTCCTGCTTCAGCCTCTCAAGCAGCTGGGACCACGGACCACAGGCGTGTGCTACCACACCTGGCTAATTTATGTATTTTTAGTAGAGATGGGGTTTTACCACGTTGCCCACGCTGGTCTCAAACTCCTGGGCTCAAGCAATCTGCCCCGCCTCGGCCTCCCAAAGTGCTGGGATTACAGGCGTGAGCCACCATACCTGGCCATTTTCTACCTTTTTTGCATCCACTACTTTGTTCTTTTGAAAGTGGTCTCAATCTTTATTTTTAAATTTTACTTTTATCATCATAAGAAAATACAAGTAGCACATATAATACTCAACATTACCTAAATACAAAAAATAGACAGCTATAATTTTAATGCTAAAGACTTTCTCTATAATCAAGGTTTTTCCTTATGCTTATACAAGTGACTCTCAAGGCATGGTCAGGGAACCCCTGGAGGTATGGTTAGGGAACCCCCAGAATTTTGGTTTTTTTTTTTTTTTTGGAGACAGGGTCTTACTCTGTTGCCTAGGCTGGAGTGCAGTGGCCTGATTACAGCTCACTGCAGCCTTGACCTACCAGGCTCAGGTGATCCTCCCACCTCAGCCTCCTGGGTAGCTGGGGATTACAAGCATGTACCACCATGCCCAACTAATTTTTTTTTTTTTTTTTGGTAGAGATGGGGTTTCATCATGCTGCCCAGGCTAGTGTCCAACTGCTGAGCTCAAGCAATTTGCCTGCCTTGGCCTCCCAAAGTGCTGGGATTACAAGTGTGAGCCACTGAGGAGTGTCTGACATCTTTTCGGGGAGTCCTTAGATCAAAACTATTTTCATAATAATAAAATTTTTCTTTGCCTTTTTCACTCTCCCTCTCCCACTCCAAGAGGTCACCTGTTGGGCAATATCACCATAGACTGAATACAGAAGCAGATATTAGCCTCCAGCCTCCTGCTCATCTGGACACTAGAGAGGTTTGTAAAAGTATAACAGCAATGTCACTCTTCTTATTTTTTTGTTTGAACAATATAGTTAGTTTTCACAAAAATGTTATTTGTATTAACATATAATGTATTTGTAACCATTATTTTAACATCTTTTCAAATTTCTCAGTTTTAATTTTCTAAAATGGTAAATATCAACAGGTAAACGCACACGAAGGTTTGGGGATCCTCAATTATTTTAAAGGTGTTCTGAGACCAAGAAGTTTGAGAACTATTAGTCTATATTAGCATATATTTTTAATTGAAAAAATGGAATCAAATTATACCTATGTTTATACTTTTCCTCTTCACTTAACAATATCTCTTGGACAATAACAGTAAGAACAGCAACAATGAGTCGTTATTACTCATGAAGTCTGGTCCCAAGTACTTTGCTTGAATTATCCCGTTTAATCCTGACATCTACCCTGTGAGGTGAGTACTAAACTAGCACCCTGGGCACTTCTGATACAGGTGGTTGTAGACCACACTCTCAGAAATACTACCTTGTTACATGACCTTTAACAAGCACCAATGTCAAGGGTTGTTAGGAAAATTAAATGAGGTTATATTTGTAAAGCACCTAGAACAATGCCTAGGACACAGTAAACACTACAGAAACGTTTGTCATTGAGATGATATTTAAAACTCTGAGATTGAATGTAGCCACCCAGGACTGGCCAGGGGACACTTCAAATTTTGGAAGTCACAAAGATGAGGAAAATCCCGCAAAGAGATTATGAGATTTTAGGGAAACTAAGAGTATAGTTTTCTAAAATCAAGTAAATAAAATGTTTCAAGAACAGCATGATGATCTGTGAGAAATGAGAGGCCAGGATACAGGAAGAGGTAGTGTTGCAAACAGAGTGAAACAAGAGTGAGGGAGAATGGCTCAGAGGTCAACAGGAAACTGCAAAAAGACCGGGGAAAGGTGATAACGCCAGAGTCTACTTTCAAAGGAACTGTAGATTTTAGGGAAATGAAGCAAACAATGATCTCGAAGCATGCATGAGGGGCAAGGGAGACCACCAACCCACATCACATTCTCCTCTTTGTCAGCCCTCCCACCAGGACCCCACCAGGTTCATTTACTCTTCCTGCCCTGGGATGGATCTTCAGGGAATCTCATTTGGGCAAAACAGCCCCCAAAACCAGGCTGGTCAAATCTGGGGGTGCTTCAGAGGCTTACACCCACACTAAGGGAAGCCCAGACTCCTAACACACAGAGTGGATAAAACCCGATGTCTGGGCCAGGCACAGTGGCTCATGCCTGTAATCCCAGCACTTTGGGAGGCCGAGGCAGGTGGATCATGAGATCAAGAGATCAAGACCATCCTGGCCAACACGGTGAAACCCCATCTTTACTAAAAATACAAAAATCAGCTGGGTGTGGTGGCATGCGCCTGTAGTCCCAGGTACTCGGGAGGCTGAGGCAGGAGAATCGCTTGAACCCAGGAGGTGGAGGTTGCAGTGAGCCAAGATCATGCCACTGTATTCCAGCCTGGAGACAGAAAGAGACCCCATCTCAAAAACAAAACAAAACAAAAAAAACACCCAATGTCAGCCCTGAAACAGATCTACTCACCTCAAGATTCTCTAGATCAGTGGTTCTTAATGCGGGATGATTTTGCCCCCCAGGGGACATTTAGCAACTTCTGGAGACATCTTTTTTTTTTCACAACTGGGGAGGTACAGGGGTTAAGCTGCAATTGGCATCTAGTAGGTGGAAGCTTAGGATGCTGCTAAACATCCTACAATGCACAAGGCAGCTCCCCAATCTGACCCAAGATGTCAACAGTGCTGAGGCTGAGAAATCCTGCTCTAGACCGAATGACTGAAGCACAGCAGCTTTTGAGTTCTTTCATACAGGCAATCTATCCCATCCTTATTAGTTTATCCATGACAGTTCTGACAGTGTATGGCTAAGGGACTAGACCATGGTCATCAGCCCTATGACATTCATTCCAAATCTACTCAAATAGGGCCAGGGAAAGACAGAGGGAAAACTTGAGGTTAGCTAAACAGTAGATGTCAAAAGGAAAAAAGAAATTGTATCGTATATTAAATGTTGAAGAGGCAAAATTACCAAACATGAGAGCAAGCAGAAAGACCTTTCCTTAAATTTAATAAAGCAGAAAATGCAACTTTTTATTTTGAATAATAAATAACACCTTACATTACAGTGATGTTCAAAAGCCAGCATGCAAGGCCAGTAATCTCAGAATTTTGGGAGGCCGAAGTGGGTGGATTACTGGAGACCACGAGGTCAAGATGAGCCTGGGCAACATAGCAAAACCCAGTCTCTACAAAAAATACAAAAATTAGCCAGGCATGATGGTGTGCGCCTGCAGTCCCAGCTCTTTGGGAGGCTGAGGTGGGGAAACAACTTGAGCTTGGGAAGTCAAGGCTGTAGTGAGCCAAGTCGTGCCACTGCACTCCAGCCTGGGCATCAGAGTGAGACTCTGTCTTAAAAAAGAAAAAGAAAAAAAGAAAAGAAAAAGAAAGAAAGAAAAAGCCAGCATGCTCTCTTAGCTCTGCTTACTGCCAAAATATTCCTTCAGCAGTAAGGTGCCGCTTCCATATTCGTGATTGCAAAAGGAAGCTAATTAAAATGAGTTTTTTTGAAAAACATCCTGGGAATTCAAAATAATTAACGTGTTGCTTTAAAAAATGAGAAGTGATGAATCTTGATGTTAAGGAGTCGACGTGTTTACCTCATCAATATTTCACAGGTGTATTGCCATGAAAATATAAGAAATTATCTACTGCTGGCCTTCCCAGAATTCCCTTTCATTTTTTTTTAGAATCTCTTTTCAATTAACAGTTTCCCCTTCCTTAAGGTGTTTCCAGAGAAATTTCTTTAAACGATTCTGCTTTCTACATGGAAGGCATTCTAACTGACATTTCTATTTCTACTATGAAATCTGCTCTAGGAAAGTTTTAAACTCATGCATATGGGGAGAAGATGGCTGTGTCTTAATAAGAAATTAGATCATCCTGCCTAAGCCTCTATCAGCAGGCTGTCTGGAATCTACTGAGCTATTTTATCAGAGAAAGTCTTCCAGCAAAATG
Source organism: Homo sapiens (assembly GCF_000001405.40). Classification (NCBI taxonomy): domain Eukaryota; kingdom Metazoa; phylum Chordata; class Mammalia; order Primates; family Hominidae; genus Homo; species Homo sapiens. Next base: position 117,141,085 of record NC_000007.14, on the reverse strand, counting down.
GTTTATGTGCATGCTGTTAAAGGAGTGAATCTCTCAGGGAAGTCGCAGTTATCTTGACCCATGACCGGAGAGGAGCCAAACAAATTAGGCCTGGCCAACAACTGTCTCCTGCAAGGCTGGGAACAGCCACAGCTTTAGCAAAGAGAAGGGTCCTCAACCTTCCCTCCTCTGTTTGTGGTGCAAGGATTGATAAAAGCAGTCCCTGAAGGAAGGAGCACTTTGAATATTTCTCTTCAAAACATATCTCTACCATGTCTGAGAGTGTTCCTTACAGGACTGTTATACCAGAAGGCCCATGTCTACTGGATGCTCCATAAACCCAGAAAAAGGAGCACATGTATTGGTATTCTAAGAATATGACAGACTTTTTTTTTAGAAACGTAATATAAGAAACACGCATATATATACAAACATGCATAAATATGTATGTGTATGTATACACATATGTCGAGAGAGGAAGAGAGAAATTAACTGAGTGATCAATTCATTCAAGAAAAATAAATTAGAAATATCGTAAAATGTCCATCAGGAGAATGGTCAAGCAAATGATGGCATATTTATATAACGGAGAAAAATCGGAAAAAAAATTGTAAGCATGCCTACTATATGTCAGGTGTTTTCACATTATCTTATTTAATTCTCCCAGTCAATTATCGTTTCAGGTAAGAATCATTATCCCCAATTTACAGAAGACTAAATGAAAAGCACATAAAAGGTATTAATAAGTTGCCTTGGGTCATGAAGCTGGTAAAGAGCAAAGCTGAGATCCACATCCAGGTGTTTTGACTCCTGCTTAGTGTTTCTCCCACTGCATCCATCTCTCCCCCAAGATCTACATGTGAACTAGGTCAATCAATGGAATTGTAAGTATAAAATAATAGTAAACAAAAAGCAAATCATAATGTAGATGCATTGATTTTAATCACATGAAATTTTATATGTACTGAAAATTATGATAACCAAGAGACTGACAGAAAAAACCTGAAATTAAAATCATCAGAATTTGTTCCTCCTATTAAGTTGCTTAAGCACTCAAGAAAATCACCAAAATTAGCTCCTCAATGCATGCCTGTTCCAAGCTAATTAAAGTTAAGAAAACTCTGTTTAAAAGCTGAATGTGGCTGGGCCAGGTTAAGATAGAGAAATACCTCATCCTTCATAAAACACCCAGCTCCTTCAGAGCCAAAGTGACTGGCAGAGGGATGAAGTATATCAAAGGATGGAATTTCTGTAAGTTAAAAAGCTTTGAGAGCAAGTTCATATCTCGGCAGAAATCTCCTTTTCTTAAAATTAGCACTTATACCATATAACATTCTTTGAATTCTTCCTTCAAACAAAATAATTTAATTGAGGGAGATTCTCTTTCCTAGAGAGCATCTATCACCTGCAGTCAAAGAGAAATACTTTATAACCTTCCCTTCTAGTTCCTCTCCTCAGATTTGGGGGCTACACTGTTGCCTAATGGAGTGGCCAAAACCAAAGCATGAGTCTCACTTGGGCCTTCTCACATCATGCTGTAACTTGCAGAAATAACCAGGGGTGAGCGTTGAGTGTTGGTGCTCCCTCCTCCAAAGAGTAACCGGGAATTCACAAGAATAACTGTCTTTCCAGAGACAAACTCAGAAAAGGCTCACCAAGTGTGCAGTCCTAGTGTGCTCAAATCCATGAGCTGAGAATTGAGCAAGATGCCACTTTTATCTTGCCGCTTGGTTCTTTCATTTTTATAATAGGCAGTTATGTATGCCTTCTAATTCAGCAAAAGAATGAAATGTTGACAAAGGTTTTCTGAGATTGTTTTTAAAAAGAAAATAGCCTATAAATACAATTCATACTGGTGTCAGTTTCTTTATGAAAAGTATTTCCTATTAACAAAAAACACGGAAATCCAAGTTCCCCAACTGGTTTCCCTTAAAACCTCTGTTTTGTTTTAAAGTTACATAATAATAACCTCCCTTGGTTCTCTTTTGTTTTAAAACTTCCACCTATTTGCTCTCTTCTTTTGTCTTGACTACTAATAAAGAATCCTGGTTCAAGAATCTAGGAAAATGCTTGAAACAACTACAATAGGATTAACTCATAATATTATTAAATTTGAGAGTAGTAATTTGACCCATAATTAATTCGAATCTTCCTAACAACTACACAGAAAAAAAATCAGTTTGCTAACATGGCTGGTCTCATTATTGGCTTCCAGCTGCAGCCCCAAAGGTTTAATAAGGACATCTATTGACATTTTTAAAATATGCCAGCCACTCTATTAGAAGCTTGTATGTATTATCTCATTTAGTCCTCGAAAAAATTCTAAGAAGTAATTGTGAGGACTGTTATTGTTGTTCCCATTTTAGAGATGAAGAAACTAGGGCAAAGAGAAGCTGAGTAACTTGCCCAACATACATCATTCATCTAGTAAATTGGGAACTAGAGTTGAACCCCACACAGTCTGGCTCCAGAACCCATGGGACCACCACACCATCACTGGTACAGACTGCTATGGCCATTCAGCGGGCTCCTATATCTGTAAGCCACTGATCCCAAACACAAACTCAAACTCACATCTCTCATCATTTTCACTGCTTCCCTGGTCCTCCCGAGTCTTCTGGCACACATTGCTAGCCTTCTTTTGATGTACACCAAGACATTGGTGTCTCGTCCTGAAGAGGGAGATATAAAACACCAACATTTAAAAAAAAAAAAAATACAGAGGCCCATTTGCCTTGCCCCTAAAGGAAATTTTCATAGCACTGACAACTTTGTTAATAGTAGAATGAAGATCAAGTAAAGTAAAAGCACTTAGACTCCCAAAGGTCAAATCATCTGACTAATTACCTAATCCATGCTTTTGAGTGAGGATGTTGAATATTTGATAATAAATAAAATCATCTGCCACAAAGTGCTGCGAAAATGAACATACCCACAGTGTATACGGTTTACAAGCAGGAATTCCACATTCTTCAAGCGTGCATTCTTTTGGTAAAGATGCAGAGGTGAATCTCAGGTTACATCCTGATGAACTATTTTTTTTTCATTCTTGACATTAAGTCTGGAGAAGCCTCATCTTAAACTTCTGCTTTATATTATTCTTTCCCTAACACTAGTGACATCATAATCATCTCCAGGTCCCCTAAGCAGTTGATTTTAGATGGCAATATAACACATTCCAGATATGACAATAGAGTATGCAACAAAATGAAAAACTACCCTAGTGTTAGAGAAAGAATTGACAAGCTAAATAGTTGTAACAACAATCACTAAAATGACTCTTAAAAAGTACGTTAACAATTTCTAATCTTAATCTTTTATTTAATTATATGTCTTGTTGGATATGTTTTCAGACCAATGAGAACATGCATGTGCTTAATCCTCGATAAAAATTACCATGTTTGAGAAAATATGACACACCTGTTATAGATTAAGTACATGTATAATATGCAGCTATTAAAAGATGTTAAGACCAAAGTCCTAACATTTCAAGACTTAAACAATGAGAACAAGATGTGTGCTGAAAATCTGCCAAGTACCTACAAATTATTTTAAAAATGTGATTATATTTTTGGATGGATTTAGGCAACAGGTTGAAAAGATTTAATTTAGAGAAGAAAAGAAAGAAAATTAATGTTGTATTATAGGTTATGTAATTTTATGTATTGATTTCCATTTAGTTCACAAAATACACATTTACTACATGTCTTCAAAATGCACTGCATTACACTAAAATACTTTTTTATTAAAAAGTGAGACATAGATGGTGATTAGAGACTTTATTAGCATATATATGCTGCAGAATAAAAATAAAAACTTAGGAATTGATGTGGTACATGTGAGGACATACTCATGTATATGCAGGCTATAATGCAAAGATTTTGCTGGCACCTTAGTTATGGGGACTAATGCAGTCAGTTTCTACACCAAACCCAAGTTTAACGTTAACATTTAATTTTATAATCTCAAATATGAAGGAGATACATCCCTACTCTCTAAGTTTCAGGAGGGAGAAACTAAGTGAGAAACAAAATAACTTTGTGAATTTTGGTTGGACCATGGAAATACTCTCAAATTTTGGTTGGACCATGGAAATACTTAACTCTCTTACCACAAGGACTGCTAAATTTCTGCTTCAACAACAAACAAACTGATGAGTCGAGGGGCTCAGGGAATTCCAGAAATGATTTCGTTGTTTTGTTTCTATACTGTTCCCCCACGAAATGTCATTGGCTTTCAGTTTAGTATACTGAAGTGAAAGGTCTCAGATTTTAAAGAGTTATCTTAAATTTAAAAAGGCGTTTTTTGGGGAGTTTAAAAAGGCATTATTTTAATATAAAAAAGATAAATAACTAGGAGCTCATGGCTCTTTCTCTCTGGAAGCCAATACCAATGTTTCTTATGTAAGAGATAAATGCTGATACAATCACCAATAACTTATATTCTTAATTGTCCTATTTCAATCCATGTTGTAGAAGATCTATAAGATAAAACCTTTGCTAACACTATGGCTAATTTAAATCCTGTTTCCCATCTGGGTTTTAAAGTTGTGAGCAGAAGCAACTGATGAACAGAAATATGTAAGAACTCAGGAGGAAAAAAGGTTACTATTAAAGGTTACTGCCATTTATTTCTGCGGTTAGGAATCTATGGGCAGGAAAGAGAATGTGAATATAAACAGCAATGAAGCTGTAAGTTAATTATTTACTAACTGCACTTATAGGAAAGAAGAAAATTAATAAAAACAAAGCAAAAGCCAATATTTTCTCTTGTCTAGGAGAATCATATTTTGAACTGGACTAAAAATTTGCTCTGATTAATAATTTTTACAATTCTGATCCCCCAATGCATCAACCTGCAGGAAACCTTACTATGTTGGGCTTCATACTGGGATCCATGATGTTGTAGCTGCTGAGAGCGTCGGTAACAGCCATCTCCAGCCTTCAGGGCCTGCTTAAATAATTTTTCTGCTTCAGCAATGGTTGTTGCTTCCTCTTCAGCCAAGAGAATATAAGCAGTTGCACACCTGTTCATTCAGATAATAGCCACCATCAATTACAAAGCCAAGGACATGGTAATAGACTGTAGGAGCTCATGCAGAAAGGCAAGGAGTTACGCCAAAACATGCAGAGTGGCCAACTGGTTCATGCACTCCTGTTTGTAGTTGCTGACACAAAATAATGGTACAAAAGAAACATCTGTATTTTAGCTTGAGAGGTAGGATGCGTAGTGTTAAGAGCATGGGGCTCACATGTGGACTTCACCCTTTATATTAGTGTGTCACTTTGGGCAAGTTCTTACTCTGCCTCCCTGATGGAGAACAACATGGAATCTTTGTTCACAGTGTTGTTGTGAAGGTTAAGTAAGGTGATGCATGTAAAGTGCTCAGTACAGTAGCCAGCATGTGGTTAAGTGCTCAATAAATGTCAGCTAGTGATGGTGATGATAACAGCTGTTATTAAATAGTTCCTTCCAACACTCAAAGTTAGAGGTGCTATATACAGGTTTACTTCTGTTAACTAAACACAGATTATCTTCAATCTAAGGATTTCTTCAGAATAAGAAATTCGTTAAATCAAGTTACTCACTGAAAAAAAACACAGTGCTTCAACATCTCTTTACAGTTAGCACTGACTTTCTGCTTCAGAGAACACTGGAAGAACCTACAAGTAGTGTTATTTCTGAAGAACTCAAAATCTGACTCAGCCACAGTAGCTAACAAGTTAAATCTCATGCCTTCAACAACAATAGCTACCACTTGTTGCTTAGTATATATTAAGCACTGTACCAGGCACTTAACATATATCATCTCATATAATCTTTTCAACAACCCTCTTAGGTGGGAAGCCAAAAGGATAATTAATGAACATGGGGAGTTCTTGTGAATTTAAACCTTCCAAAGCATATGAGGAACAACCCACTGCCAAAGAAAGGGAATGTAATAGGGAAGTGGTGAGGCTGTAACAGACCACGCAGGTCCTGCACCCATCCTTTCACTCTCCTTCCCCACTGCCTCACTTGTGGCCATTTCCCTACTTATTTCCATCAGACCACAAGAGAGAAAATAAACAGAAAGTAAAACCAAATGTTACTTTTACTGTCCACAAACTGCAATAGCCAGCTAGGAAAAGGAGGCTGAACTTCACAGCTAATGTAAGGGCTGGGGCTACTAGTTAATCTTAGCCTTAGGAAGGGTCTGTAAGGTCTTTAGCCAGTCTCTCTAATTTCAGGCAGGAACCATCAATGGGGCTTTAAACAATGTGGTGAGGTAGGGAGAAAAATGCCCAGAAAAACAGCTATAAAACCAATTTCTACAGATGGCAGCATCCATGACTTGGAAAGAACCATAATGATGCTGAAACTATACAAGTGATTCACTGGAGAAAATAACTGGGACAGGCATCAGAAGAAATGCTTAAGGCTTCAGATGCCAACATATAAATATGAGGCAAGGGTAATGAAGTGAAAATTGAGATTGTAATACTGAGTGGTAGATACAGTATCAGAGGAATTAGCTATAAGATTGTAGTTGTTGGGCTGGGAACCCAAGAATGGTTGGGGCTAGCTTGCTTGCTTTGCTTATTTATATTTCAAATGGTATTCTTAGGAGGAGAGGCAGAGTAGCACTACTGGCCAAGAAACATACATCTATGTGGAAACGCATGAGTTTGGGATAGAAACATGCTAAGAGCTTGTGAGTGAAGGAAAAAGGAGAGAGCAATAGAAGTGCTAATGGTTGGGGAGTACAGAACAGACTGCTCAGCTCGATGGAAGATATAGATGATGCATCCTTGTCACAACACAATACACATACAGAAGCAAGAAAGTGTGGTGATGGGGGTGTCAACCATCCAGATATCCACTAGAAGTCTCATTTGGTTAGAAGTAGGGCACCCAACAGGTTCTTGACTTACTTTGGTAACAATTTTATCTCCCAGATGGTAGAGGAAGCAATTAGGGGAACTTCAACTCTGGACCTAATTCTGACCAAGAAGAAAAAAATAGTTGGTAAAATGAAAATTGATAGGAACATTCAGAGAGAGTCACTATGTCATTTCGGAGTTCAGGGTAATCAAAGAGGGGAAGGTGGACTTCAAAAAATTCAAAGAAAAGAGGCATGATTCAATGGCATGAGATTCAGAAGGAAAAATGGTTTAAGAGGGTTGAGCAGCTTCCAAATGTTCAACTGTAACTGCAATCACAAATGATCCTCTCAGGAAGAAAAGAGGGGTGGCACTTAAGTAACCAACACGGCTTCACAGAGATTTCTCCCAGGTCAGATTTTTAAAGGACATATTTTAAAAGATGGAAAGAGGGCATGTAATGATGGTCTATAAGAGAGTGGAATGAGCTTATAAGAATAATGTCAGGAGAGCTACAATTCCAAATTAGCTGAAGCTTGCAAAAATAACAATAATAATAATAATAATAAAACAAAATAAAATACTAAAGACAACCATTTATTCCCTATTTTAAAATTATATTTAAGGCCCTATCACCGTCCCCATGTCACAAAGGCAAATAAGTAAAAAAAAAAGACAAACAACATAATAACATCAAAACAAGGAAGGTTTATTGTTAAAAGCAGTAGATAATAAAGAAAAAGCAAAACTCTCTCCCTCCTATTTTGTTCCTGGCTTCTCTATCAAGGAGAATGACTGTCAGACTGAAAAAGGGAGAAGAAATTAAACTCTAAAATGGGTAAAAAGATGTAAGATAGCAAATAATTGATCCATTCTAAATGAATTACTGGACTGGATGGGCAAATCCCAGGAAACCGAAAGACCTTGTAGGCAGGCCATGGAATTGCTCTCTGTGGATAGTTGAGGAATCACAAAGAATGGAGAGGTGCTAGAAGATGAGATGATAAATGTAGCATAAATTTTCAAAAAGGGGAAGAAGGCAGACTTCCCAAACTACAGAACACAGTGATTTGGAAAGATATTCTAATGGATTATTAAAGGAATGGTCTCCAAGCACTTTAAAAAGAAAGTAGTGACGACTAGAAGCCAGCTTATATTCACTAAGAATAAATAAATCAGATTGTGCTAGCTTAATTTACTGTAATAGATTTACTATAAATTTAAGATCCGCAGCTACGATTGGCATTCTTAAGATCCAAATGGAGAAATATGAGCTGAGTCACAGTGTAACTGGGTGGCTTAGTAATTGAGTGAACAATACAAAAGATGGTGATTCATGAAGACATGAACCTGGAGGGTAGTTTCTATGTCATGTCACAGGGCTCTATTCCTGGCCTTCATATTTTTCTCAGAAATATGGATGACACACAGAAGGCAGGCATATCGAATTTGTAGATGACAAGAAACTGGAAAATAAATATGTTGCATGACAGAATCAGAAACCGTAGATCAACTGGTTACAATGGCAGGATTTTCAACTCTCACGACAATCTTTTTTTTTTTTCCCTAAGATCTCTGAAGAAGATTCTGTAACCTTCTTCAGAAAAATCATAAAATAGTTTAACAATGACCACTTGGCAAGGATAGTGTTGAGGTGATTCAAGCACCAGATGGGTGGTTCAGCTAAGTGACCTTTAAGGTCTCTGCCAACCCTGAGTTTTTATGACTCCAACTTTAAGAATCTTTCTCATTTTCTGAGATCTCCAGAAGAGATTTCCCAGCCTTCCTTGGTAACCCACAGAATGTTTAACAACACTCAAGACAGCATTTCCTCTTATCTTTGTCTTAATCTTGAAGTATTTTCTAAAATTTTTTTTTTAAACCTTATGTTGTTATCATGTTTTCCCCACTAGCAGAAGTTCTACTAGAAAATGTTCTAGTGCAGATGAGCATTCTACATCTGGAAAATTTTCCCTGTCAGAATGTTTTAGATATGTAAAGAATTGTATTTATTTTATATCCTCACAATATCCTAGGGATAGCCCTTCAAGAAATTAATTTAGGATCACAGCAAAGCCATTGAATTCATAAAATGACTAAAACCACCTCCACATGGTGGCTGTCCTTCATTTAAAAAAAAAACTTTTTTAAATAGAGTAATAACTCCCCAAATAATCCTCCAGTTCAAATGCAGTTTAATTTAAGTATCCTATCAATGGCAACTGAATATATTCAGCAAAGGATGAGATTTCCTTTTTAACAGCAAGATTTTCCCCCACTTACTCATTTATCTCCAAGGCTTCATGAGCTGCAGAAATCCTAGCTTGGGGGTTTCTCTCTCTCCAGGCTTTCTGCATTACTATTTAAGAAAAAGAGAAAACACCAAGTCAATCCATACATATAATTAGGTAGACTCAGTAGAGGACAAGAGCTAAATTAGGAGTGTCAGCTTAAATTACAAGAACATATTTCATTGCTAAGAGGGTTGGCCAAAATCTCCAAAGTCATATTAGTGTATTAATGTGCTATTCCACAGTATTTCAACTGCTGATAGCAAACCTTTTTTGTGCTCACAAAACTACAGGCTAAGGAAATCAAGAAAAGGCACTCTAACAGAGATTTTGCGTGTCTTTTGCACATTAATGTCATTTGTTCTTGGAGAATATATTTTATGCATTTTGAGATGACATTGCTACCAACCTTTTCATTCACTTAGATACAACATAATTGGTCATTTTCCGAAGCACTTAACACAGACTCTTGGTGTTAGAACATTCTGAAACCATTTCAAGAATTATGCGTGGGTCAGTAAAAAATGCTTAAGCTTTTGCTTAACATGTGTACTTATATCCCAAATTTACCTGCAAACCTAGCTTTTATACATCAGAGCAGTTTCTGAACATATGGTGGGAAGCTCAATGGGAATATTTACTGTACCATGATGTTTCTACCATAGCAAAGAGTACCATTTTACAAAGGAGTAACAATCTCCTTATTTATTTTATAAATTTGTATTTTATAAATTATTTTAGAGTGTGTAGAGGTTCCCTTTCAAAAACATTTTTTCACCTATTTACTTTGAATAAATTTTATAACAAAAAATTTCAGTTGAATTATCTGAAACTCAAGTAATGTAAAATACACACTAAACAAAGTATTTTCTCAGATGGAACACACATCTAGACTCCAATAGCCAAGGCCATGACCCCATTCGATGCTAGTTAACCTATAAATAGGCAAATAAAAGTCACTAAAATATATTCATTAATCATCTGAATCCAGTAAATTCCAATTTCTACTTTGAATATCATAAAGGAGATAAGGCCTTCATGCTAACTCAACCAAGAACTTCATTAGCTTCATATAAGATTCATATTTCTTTAAAATATATAAAACCAACTTCGATATATTTTTAAAAATCATGATTCAAATTATTATGAGGGGACTCATTTCAACATAAATACTTCATTGTGATAAAGGTTTACTTAATTATCAGAGTTCTGGGTTCTTATTAGTCAATCAACAATTTAATATTTTATTCATTGGAGTTTTACAGAGTGGATATTCTAAAAGCAGAAATCTTGACACTTAAGCCAAAAAGCCCTCCCATTCAGAAGGATGTATGGATTTTTCATACTTGCATCTGCGGGACGCAGATGGTCCGAGTCACAAGTAAAGAATGTCTGGTGGTCTTGGGCAGAGAGATTCATGTCATAGTAAGTAAGAGGCTCTCGTCCTGTCACCCAAGTATACCTGCAAAGGAGAAATAAGATGATTAGACACTTTTGAGAGAGAAAAGCAAGACCTATAAAATATTAAGCTGCAGAGGCGTTGAAATATAGACCATTAACTGAATACTAAAATAGCTTTGCTAATGAATAAAAAAAATTTTTAAAAATCATCTTATTCTCCCTTCAGGAATTATATCAGTCAAAAGAAATAAACATTTTCTCCTGTGTTTTTGTCTTAAAATTTACTAGCCCTTGCTAATGAAAACCTTCCCTAATTCATATTATGAATAGACACTTTCCTAAAGCTATGAAAATTCTAATTTGCCTAATTACTTTGCTAAACTAAATTCCAACATAACTTCTGCGACATCTCTATAACCATATTCCAGGTAAGCTTCAAAATGTTTTCAATGTATAGTATATATTGAAAAGAATAACTGTTAATACAAAAACTCTAAAAACTACACATTTTTGTACATTATCCCAAATCTAGTGCTAAAATATTTATAAAACAGAAAAATCAAAACATTTGAAGATAGTATTAAAAAATGGACGCACTACATAGACTGTTACAATGACCCCTAAATGAACCAGCAAAAACATTTGCTGCTGTCTTTGCTCTCTGAACCAGACCCATTTGTTTCCCAAGCTGTCAAAATGCTTACCGATTGTATTCAGCACCCCTAAATAAATTTAGTGGATTTCGCCATACTTTGCATTCTGCAACAAAGAGAAATATGAAAATGTTACGCGTAAGTTCAGTGACACTACAAGCTAATTAATTCAGCAAAACACCCTTCCTGCCATTTGATAAGATAATTCTATTCACTACCCTTTACATGGGAAGCAATGTGGAAAAACTCTGGGTGGTTAATCACAAAATGTGGCTCAGGCTCCGGGACTTTGGAAAGTTTTGCCTAATCTCTCTGGGCCTGAGTTTCCTCACTTGCCAAATCAAGATGCATGCCAAAATCAGCTAGTTCATAACTCCTAAAATTATTTCAAGAGGTCCAAACTGATTCTATGAATTTACTTCTAAAACCTTATAGATAAAAGTATAGGCAGAAGTAAAACTATTTTCTGTCAGTCTAAAACATACCTCATAATAACGTTGTACATGACAAGACAAACTATAGAGTATAATATGCAAACAGCCTTATAGTCTTAATTTGGGTTCATGCTAACAGTGATTTTATGATAATTTACCAGTTTGCTTTTGCCTTACAGGAAAGGAATAAGAAAATTAATAAGATTACCATATTGTAGGAAGAAATGCAATTAAAAGAAATTGTCTCAAAGCATTTTAATATCATTTACTTGCACAGATACATATACTAATCATCATACTAATATCATCATGTTAGCACATCCTAATAGGTCATACCTCTTTATTATACCAGGACCACAGAAATTTAGAACAAAAGGACTTTAACTTAGAAAAGCCAAGCATTAACTTTAAGACTGTGTTATAATGGTAAGCATATGACTAATAAACTACAATTCTTTTAAAACAGTCTATGATTAAGACTTTCTACTGATTCAGAATACTAGATTTTGGATGAATAAGATTTTATTATAAAAAAATCAGTTAATAGTATTCAAAACATCTATGTGCGTGTGCAACCAGCAAAAACCACATCCAACAACATATGTACAAAAAAGTGAGCAATTATTGCAGAAATCCAAAGGACATTGAAGGCCACGTGGTGATTCATTAGGATCCTACCCTCAGTCCTGTACATTCAACATCCATCCATCCACTGAGCATTAATTTGAGCACCCACTGGAGGAAATAAGTAAACCATCAATTTCAACACAGTGTGATAATGGAGAACACAAAGCACTCTGGGAACATGTGTGTAATCTCAACAAATATTTGTTAAAATAGTAAAGGATATACACATAACAGGAATACGTGTTTTCATTTAAAGAAGATGTACTTATTTCTAAATTAGGGCAGGATCCCACTTAAAATTTACACAATATTTATAAATAATGGCCCTAAATTTTTTGTCACTTAGCTTAACTTGCCATTTAGAAAATGATCTTTGTCCACTTAATTTAGCATCTCTGAATTTTGTTCTTGTGAAACTGAGATTTGATGGCTGTCACTTCATATGGCATTAACTACAAAATTATGCTTCCTGTAATTATTTTTTCTCCCCTTAGAGGAATCACTAACACCTTGACTCCAGATCATGGCTTGAAACACACTGGTGAGCTCAATAACCATAATCCCTGCTCTTATGGCTATTATAACTACCTGGACCTCACCACTGCCAACCCCTGCTCAGAGAATCTCTTTTAAGATTCAAAGTGCTCTTCTTAAAGCTTCATGAATATTGCAAGATCTGTATCTAGCACAAAATAAACATGAATATAGATTTATGGATAAGGATCCTCGTGGTAGAATTATTTACTATAAAACAAGGACATTTGGGGAGATGCTTCTCCTCCACAGAATCTCATCTGAAATATTAGTAAAAAGGCTAGGGCAAATATTTTGTCTCCAACAAATACATCATCATACTACCTGGAAGGATAAACACTGTTTAAACATCAATTGACAAATCACAAAGAAAACTGTTTTCAATTAAAATTTCGACTCTATTATATATCAGATGCAATTGAAATTATTTCTAAACAAAAAATAACTCCAAAGATAAATCATGTATATACCTAAAGTATTCACTGAGCAGTATCTAAAGATGCTCTTTATTTAAGAAGTGTCACAATACAGCCAGCAGGGGGTGCAGCAAACATTGTGAAATATTGCTTTTATGACTTCCATTAGAGAACTGAGCTTAAAAAGAAATCTGTGTTAACATTGGTGTCATATATGTGTGCTGCATTCAGTTTAACTATCCCTAAAACTTAGAAAAAAGGATCTAAGTAATTGTAACAGATGTAAACTGTTCTAAGTGAGAATAAAACATGTAATGAAGAAGTATCTAAGAAATGTCTTCATTAGTTATGCCCTTTAAATTGAAGGTGCAAGACAGGTATATTTTTATTTTAAGAAACAAGCAACCTAGAGGTCACACATGAGCACATGTCAAAGTTGTGCTTTAAAATTAGGCCACAGCTATGTTAATTTCTTCTTTGTCCCTCTGTTCCATAATCTTATCTTGTCTGCAAAAACTCAATCTAGAATCACTCTAGGTAACATACCTCATAAATATCAGGCTATGTGATGGTTTAGTGATAGAGACAAAGGATGTAAATGCCAAGCATATTAGAATATGAAGATTTAAGTCAGGAAGTACTTAGATCTCTAGAGGGTAAGAGTTTCTTATGTGTTCCTTTAAGGAATAAATTCCTTATTTCAAATCAGATTTAAAATTTTACCTCCAAAAAGGAATTTTCCATTCTCCATTAACATCAACAATTTTAATGCCCTCAAGATGCACTAGAAGTTGATTGGGACTTCATCATGAACTTGCTAATATCAATAATAATATAGTTAAAAATATACCCTTGATACAACAAACATGCTCTCTATAGTTCCATATGCAGCAATTCACAGTGCAGTCTCTACTCACAAGTGCTGACAGAAATGTTCCATCCTTAGCACACATGCAAGAATGAAATTCAAGAAAAAGGGCAGCAGCAAATATTGAATAGCACTTGCTTAGTTCCCAAAGTCTGCGGAAGAGATTCCCTACTTTGTCATAATGAGATCATTACAAGCTTCTTTGTGAGAGACAAAGAACCTAAAGAATAATGTTTACTATCTACAGCTAAGTACTTCTAAAAGCAAGCTCTAATCCTTTTTTTTCAGCCCTCCCTCTCACTATTCCCTACTAAAACCTTCCATCACAATCATACTTATTTATTTCATGTCTTTTCATACTCTTCTACTCTTCTGCAATGCCCACCCCATCACTCATAAGACTGTGTGGTTTAAACATGTATTGAGTGGGTAATTATGCATTAATCTCTCAATTAGGCCATGGGTTACAAAAAAAGATAATAGCTTATGTCTTAGAGGAACATTTAGCCTTGGCAGAAAAGTGAAAAGGGTATTGAACTAACTGGCACCCACCTGAAGAAGCTCTACAGAGGGAATAAATATTCTGAGAGAACCACAGACTTTTCCCTTTGTCACAATACTCAAGAGAAGAGAACTCAATTCTCATAAAACAAACAAAAAAAAGGCTCTATAGTCACAGAGCTTTTAATCACACAGAAAGAAAATATTATTCTACACCCAATTTAACTCTGAAAACTTTTTTCTAAAATTAAAAAAAAGATAGAAAATCCCTAGTCATGGGGACTTCAAAAATTATAAATTGCTAATTCAAGGCCCAGAAGGGTTTCTTATACTAAAAAGTTACCACATCTTCCCAGAATCTAAAGTATGGATAAGCATGACAATGTTATTACAAACAGTAGTAGCAGCAACTTTTGTTGTTGCTATGAGCTTGATTTTCATGGATCCTTTCTGTAAAGGGGCTTAAAGCTCGATTTATCTACATTCCTTACATACATTAGTTAGGGGTATATATTACACCCTTTTTACATAAGTAAAAAGTACAGAAAAGCTAATTTCCCTAAGGTCTATGGTAAATGAGATTAAGGCCTGGTGTCCAGACTGCCCGACTCTTATCCATTACATGCAACAAACCTGTTAAACCCTGCAACATCATATTTTGGAAATATTGTGAATCCATCAGTTAGATTTTTCACTAAAGAAACAATTTTTAAAAACTCCCCTGGAAAAACATTAGGAACTTTTTAACACTTTTAAACACTTTAGTTTCAAAGTACAACAGAAAAGGGTGCTAGCTAAAGTTTCATTGGCTTGTATTATAAAATTAACCCCAAGCCAGTCAATTTCTGACAAGTGATTGTGCATATGTTTATTAGCTTTGATATCTCAGAAATGAATACCCAATTCTCTACATTATTCAGATCAATTTAAAGCAATCATTATTAGTAAAAATATCCATATTCTTAAATAATTAAGCTTTAACTGTTTCATAACTTCAAAATGTTATTTTGAAACAATGATTAGAAGTAAAGGCACAAAAATATGTAGGTAGCTTTCAATTCAACAAATATGTTACTATCTCAAATTCTTTATGAAATAACAAAAGATATAAGTAAATGTGAATTTTAAGACCATTATTTTGGCCTCCTATTCAAGATAATGTACCACTTTCTTCAAGAATACTGTCGAGATGGTTAAATCTGTAACAGCATCTGTCATGCACTTCTCATTGGTCATTTTTCACCTAAGTCAACCAACCCTACCAAATAATGTGGAAATTATGAAATAACTTTACTAAGTAAGTGTTCACTAGCTACTAAAACTATTTTAGGTATTATCATCATTTAACTGGAGACCTAATTTGTACTAGAGCACAAATTTTAGTGTCAAAGGATTTTAAAAAGATGTGAAAAACACTGGCTAAGATAATCACTTTCAACACATCCATTAGATTTTGGTGAGTTTACCCTCATTAAGACTATTAGAGAGCAGCCCGAAAGGTCCTTGACATGTAGCATTTTGCAGTTTTGCTGAGGGATATATTTGAAATGAAAGCACTGAATGGCCTGGATATAAAGAGTCACTCAGCTAGTGAGTAAGCCCGGCTGACCACAAAGCCATACCTCCAAGTGACTGCCATTCTCCACAGTCGTATTTGTAGAGAAATCAGCTCATCTGGGCACACTGCCAAATGGCTGTCCTCTGACCTGACATTTCCACATGACCTCATTTAATGCTGAAATGACTTTATGCAGTAGACATTACTGCTATTCCCATGTTTGCAGATTAAGATACTAAGACATAGCAAAGTTAAACAACTTGCCCAAGGTCACACACAGAAGATTAGGACCACATCTGTCTGACCCCAGAGCCCGAGCTGTCAACCACTGGCAATCCTGCCACTGAACTGTTCCTACAGTAAGTTAGGTTAATGTCACTTCAGAAATAATGTCATCCACTGCAGTACAGAATTTTACTAAAATTATTATTTTAATTGCTTAATAATTATGTTAATCTTGGTTTATACACCTCATAGAGGTTCTGGACAAGGTCAATTCAATTTTTTAAAGTGCTTAAGAACTTGGATTGTGAAGTAAGACTACCCAGGTTATCCGCCATGTGACCCTGGACAGATTACTTCACCTTGCTATACCTCAGCTCCCTTAACTATAAAAGAGAGATAATAATAATATCTGCTTCCTGGGGCTATTGTGAGGATTACAAGAGACAATATCATATAAAGCTGATAGCAGACACTAAGAGTGTTAGTTATTATTATTGGAACCAAATGGCTTCTTATCGATAAAATTATTTGTTCTAGTGCTATGAAAATTTGGGACCGACGAAGGTCTTGAATATATTTTTTTTACTCTACCTAAATTTCTACATCGCCATTGTTTTTCTTTATGATCTGAATTTAATCAGCACTTAAATTGCTTCTGGCCATGTAATAAAATTTAATTCAGAATTTAGAATATATACATTTATATAGAATTATTAAAATTATTTAGAATTTGGAATATACATATATACTTATGAAGATTAAAAGGAGATGATTCGTGACAGGAAGCCAAGTGACTATCCAGTTTGTTTAAAGATCCAATTCTATGCAAGAGGCTATTAAAGTATCTCAGAGAATTTAAACTTGACTTTGGCAGGGATATTTTTCATGTGACAGAGCACTCTCCACTTTTCCCATTATCCTGAAGAAGGTAAACACTGCAAACCTTTGTCTTTATGGCATCTTATTTGAGAACAAGGCAAATTATCAAACAGATGTTCCTATAAACTCAAATTCAGAATGTTACTGGGCCCTTTTAAATGCCTATTTATCATCAGCTCATAAACTAAGCTGAATTAAGAAATGGTAGTGAGAAACATGGTGATGTGGCAGAATATATCAGCAGGGTTTATCAGAAACTGCATATCTGAGAGGAAAACAGCAGTTTAGCTCCCAAATAAAGCAAAACCAGTGGAATGGACACAAATGCTAACTTCAGCCAAACAATCTGAAGTTTGAAGTAAGAAACTGTATAATTAACTACATTTCTCCACTGGCCCGCAGATAAAGATCACTGCAAATTGTGAGCAAGTCTGCATTCAGGCCACTTTGTACAAATCCAGAAGTTTAAAAATATATGCACAATCTGCCTGTAACCATAACAACCTTTCTCACTCCTCACTCCACCACCCCCATCCCAAGTCGTTCTTAGGTAGGCCATGTTTTTCAGCTTTTATTCAAAACAAATTATTCCTTAAGGAAAGAGCTACACTGAATTTTCATATAGAACAATGTTTATAACTGATATTTCCCCTTTATTCTTACTTTTTTCAATGATTTTCTCAAATAATCAATAAAATACCATTACACTGCCTTTGCCAACATCCATGAGACTTTGTGAGCCATGTTATATTTCATGTACAATTCAGCAAAGGGCCATCTTATGATGCTCCAAGAAAATCAATAGATTCACCCTTCTGTTATTAAGGCAATAGTCATTTTATTATTATGAAGGCAATGGGAATTTGTAAACAAGTTTAAGAAAATACACTGATAACCCTCAGCTTTGGACCTTCTTGATACTTAGCATTTGAAATGAGACTATGAAATAGAAAGTGATTAAAAGTAGAGATAAATTCAGACAATGTACCTAATGTACCCTTTTAGTATTTTTCTTATTCAAAAATCAAAATCACCACAAAAAAACAGAAACAGCAATGGTATTATTCCAGTGGTATCTGGCACTTCCAAACTAGCATACATGTTTGTTTAGCTGAGTCAGCCAAATATCAGAAGCCCAAATGTCAAGAAGTGGGCAGATGGAGACCTAAATATACTTAAGACAAGTTAATTTCCATTTTTCTAAGGATAACTATTTGAACACTGTTATGATACCAGAAAATAAATGCTGTTATCTATTATACAAGAAATGAATGGAAATATAGAATGCATAGTAGGCACTCAGTAAATACTAGTAGATGTTAATATTAAATGAATACTGGTAGATAATATTATCATTGAACTAGTAATAATATCCAAAAGCTCAGTCTTAGCCAAGTAAAAAATACAAACAAAAGTGAGAATTTCCACAGGTTATCCTCAGTGAATGAATTCATTTCTTCCATGATAATTGCAGAACCTTGTGTCTAACTAGATCTGATCACATCACTCCTCTGTTTAAAAAGTATCATTGGTTCCCATTCCACTGAAGATAAGGCCCAGGTTCCAGATTCCTTAGCACAGCATGAGCTACTTGGCAACTTTGGCTTCTGTCACAATCCAGTCCCTTTCCCATATGTCCTGTTTTCTAGTCACATGAAGCCAATTTTTATTTCTCGAACATGCCATGTTTCTCATGATGCTCTGCCTACAAGTCTCCCTTTTCCCTTATTCATCCATCCAAATCACTATCCAAATCAAATGTCACCTCCTGGGAAGCCTTCTCTGATAGTCTGTACACTATCTCTCTACTTCCATTAATCTTTAATATTTTTACCTTTAGCAACACTTACAAAATTGCATTATAATTTTTAAGGCACGGCTTTATTTCTAGCTTCTTGTAGCATCCTATTTCTTTGAAACTCAATGAATCAATGCATGAGTGCATGCAAGGCCTGTACTTTCTCCTCTTATAAAACAGGTGGGAAGAATTTCCTAGCTCAGTCTCTTTGTCACCTCAGTAAACATTTTCTAAGTACTTCTTATGAACCTGGTCTTGTATAGGTTTTTAAGAATATGATTTTTTTAAAGGCAAAGTTCTTATCCCCATGGAAAACTCTGTCTATTGAAGGAGACAAAGTGGTAAGTGCTCTGGTTGCATGAGGAAAACATACAAATCTAAGGAAAACAAAGGAGGAGATCCTGACCTAAGCTGGGAAAAGTAGTTTGCCCCTTTAAGGAGAGAGCCACCAGTTCTAAAACATGAAGGATAAAGAAGAAATTTAAAAAGCCACATTAGGTTTTTTTCTTCCTCTCTAGAATAACCCATCCACATTTCATAACTGTCTAACCAGGTTATAATTATCAAGGATTAGTGTATACATAAATTTTGTTCCAGATTTTAAGTCAATACTCTTTTAATAGACTCTGCCAGCCAGCTATGAGTAGTACTGGACACCTCTTGGCACAATTTATTTTATCCTAAAGGGTACACATATAAAAGATGGCATTGCTCAGCCAGGTAACAAAATTGTCTGAGACTTTGTAAACTCATCCACTCTCTGAAAGGAAAAGAGACCTCACCAAAGCAAAACATTACTTTATCCAGCTAGTATAATAAATGCTGTTTATTATTCTAATGAGGAATCTTGATCATTCAGTCACCAGGCATGAGCAGTGGTGGATAACTGCTACCACTTTGCAGGTGCTGTGAATATCCCACAGATTAATTGTGCTCTTGTCTGACTTGAGTCACTATAGCCTTTGAATGACAAAGAACATTGTAGAAAATTAACAAATTGAAAACAGAAACCATCCTCATTAGAGATCATTTTTTATAGTGAATACATTTATATTTTCATTGAAGTTTCCCTTCTCTCTCTACTTGATCTAAATCTCTTGATATCATTTCTCAATGCAATGAAGAGTTCATACCCTTCCCATTGTCCCTGTTATTTTGCTGTCTCTCTTAGTGGATGCCTTGATTAAGCCTTATTCTTTATATAAATGTTGATGCTATTCTTAGTGCTGTAACAGCAGCTTTGTTTCAAAGAAATAGTAGACACTGCAAGATGCTAGAGATACTACAATAAAGCCATACCTTAAAAATTACAATGTAATTTGATGTGTTGCTAAAGGTAAAAATATTAAAGATTAACAGAAGTAGAGAGATAGTGTACAGACTATCAGAGAAGGCTTCCCAGGAGGTGACATTTGATTTGGATAGTGATTTGGATGGATGAATAAGGGAAAAGGGAGACTTGTAGGCAGAGCGTCATGAGAAACATGGCATGTTCAAGAAATAAAAACTGGCTTCATGTGACTAGAAAACAGGACATATGGGAAAGGGACTGGATTGTGACAGAAGCCAAAGTTGCCAAGCAGCTCATGCTGTGCTAAGGAATCTGGAACCTGGGCCTTATCTTCAGTGGAATGGGAACCAATGATACCTTTTAAGCAGAGGAGTGATGTGATCAGATCTAGTTAGACACAAGATTCTGCAATTATCATAGAAGAAAATGAATCTATTCACTGTGGTCTGAGAAACTATGGACAAGGAAGCTATAGCATCAGGTTGGGAACACTGACCTAAATGACCATTGGTTAAGTCAAATGGGAAAAAATAACATTAGCTCGGCACAGTGGCTCACACCCGTAGTCCCAGCACTTTGGGAGGCCAAGGCGGGCAGATTACTTGAGCCCAGGAGTTTGAGACCAGTCTAGACAACATAGCGAAAGCCCACTCTACAAAAGATACAAAAATTAGCCAGGCATGGTGGTGCACACCTGTGGTCTCAGCTACTTGCTAGGCTGAGAGGTAGGAGGATCACCCGAGCATAAGAGGTGAAGACTGCAGTGAGCCAAGATCATGCCACTGCACTCCAGCCTGGGTGACAGAGCAAGACTCTCACATAAAAAAAAAAAGGAGGGTAAAATTAATAAGATAAGCATTTCCTTTCCCTAGGATGTTTATACCCTCCCTCTCTGATACAGGTTGTCAACTCCATGGGAAAATGATCTGCATTTTTCTCTGAAGCCTAATGTTTAAATAACAACATTCTTAATCTCTTAGTATGAGTAACAATAATAATTTAGTAACAGTAAGCAAATAATATTGCAAACTGAAGGAAATTCCATACCTGAGACACTTTGCCTATTGGAATCTGAGTCCCCGTTACTGGAATTAGAATTGTTGGAAGAGTTGTTGTCAACCCCTCCCAGAAGGGGGCGCAAGTGGCTTACTGAGACTTGTTCAATGAATGAAGTTCCGTATTTGCGAAAATACCACCATTCAAATATCTAGAACAGAAAAATAAGCGTGTTTATGGTCACTGTTATCATTTACGACTTCTGTACACATGCCCATAAAACATGTTACATTTACTAATTCCACCTTAAGTATATTTTATTTCAAAAACTGTTTATTCTAAAAATTAGATTTTAGTAAATTTAATAATAACATTTAAAATTCTCAGTGTGGTTTTCTCTGCTTAATACTGGTTTCAAAAAACTATAACATCAATCATGGATAAAAGAACACTGTTAAGAACTGCTCAATATAATTTTTCTCCAAATTTATATATAATATTCAAATAACAAAATCACCATAGCTGAAAGACAATTCCAGAAATGTATATAAATAAGTCAGTTTTTGAAATACGGCTTATGAAATATTCCAGTTCTTTGCACTTTATATTCTGATAAAAACCATACCTCTGTAAAATGCTTAAGAGCAAAATCGGGGTAGGGGCGGGGCAGGAAGGAGTGGGGGTGCTTGGTAAGACCTCCTTAAGGAAATACTGGTTTTACAGAACAAAAGAATGAGCTGTATCCCGTTTCCCACATGGATAGCACCCAGCCACTGAGGTTCAGCATTATTCCACTTGCAGAGAAGTGCTCTATAAACACAAGCATCTGTTGTACACCATTAATGTTTCCTAGTTCACAAGCCTACTAATTGTTATGTACTGTGAATTACAAAAGGGAAAAGAAGTAACTTTCAGTAATGAAAGAACAATGATGCTTACATGATTAGACTGAAGTCAGGACCTCCTAAGCACTGGAAAAGCAAGTGACCTCCCCCAACCCTTCTTACCTGGGATCTCTGCCTCTCTACAGTGAACACTTCCTACCACTGCTCAAAGCGGTTCTCCCCCACATCTTTTTCTCTCCTCCCTGACTGGGGGTTTCCTTAGGCAGTCACAAATCATTCCACAGAAGAAATTTAAGAATCAATCATATCCCAGAGTCTCATAGGATAGCTACATTTTTATAACATAAAATGTGCAATTAACATAGAATTACCTTTACCCTTACTTATTCCATAAAAACAAGATTATCTACCCTGGAATGGACTTTGGGATATAATTTTAAAACTGATGTTTTCCCTGTTTTGTTCTATTAAAGATTTCTAAAAAGATATAAGGAACATTTATGAATGACCAGAAGGAAGTATTAATCAAACGAAATGTTTCCAATCCTATAACAGGACACCTTGATTTAATCCCAGGTAGTTACTCTTTTTGACTATAGGTTGAGTATCCCTTACATGAAATGCTTGGAACCAGAAATGTTTTGGATTTTGAATATTTTCAGATTTTGGAATATGTGTATCACACTGGCTGAGCATCCCTAATCCAAAAATCCAAAATCCAAAATGCTCCTATGAGCACTTCCTTTGAGTGTCAGGTCAGCACTCAAAAAGTTTCAGATTTTGGAGCACTTAAGATTTCAGATTTTCAAATTTTTAAAGTGCTCAACCTATCGTGAATTATCACATGTTAAAACATCCAAGTATTTTCTCTGGGCAGAGACGGGGGAATATACTATCAAGTTAAGAAAGGACAAGACTAATCTGTAACATTTGGAATGACTAGGAATGGGATTTTGCATAAAAGAAGAAAGCTCAGGAATGATAAATTTACACACCATGGATCTAGAAGGGAGTCTATAACCCCAGGTGAGTTATTATCTGAACGTCGGTTTCTTCAACTGTAAGTGGAAATCATATTTGTTATTTATCTCAAGGGTCCTGAATTTTCATACTAACCCCATGTAAAACACCTAAGTCGGTGCCTGCTGCAGTTGGTTTTCAAAAGTAATAGCAAAGCTGCCATTTACTATGTTAATGATGCACATCCCTCCCATGGGCAGCACACCTCACATGCTGCCATGAGGCACCCCACTTTATGCCAGTCTATAATTCAGGTTACTACAGCATTTTGCCTGTTACTAGACAGTTGGTAGAAAGTACTGTAAATCATCATGATGAAGGGTACTGCTCACTGTACAATCCTGACCACTCAACAAGGCCCTCAATAGATTCATGGCTTTGCATTTATTAGAAGAGAAGACTCCAAAGGACCCAGAAAATTCTGTGCCCCAAGTCATTTTTCTGCTTTCTATATTGTGCTGCTGGAGCACCTGCCAGTCCTTAGTTCATTGATTCCATCACACAGCACTACATGTTCCACACCAATCACAAGCGGTGCTCCAGGATTACAGACTTAGCCCCTGCCACTACAAGTCTATGTCACAGATCCATAATACCTCTCACAGGCTCCTGGCATGCCTGTACCCATCACACACACACAAACCCTGGGTTTCTTCAGATTTCTCAGTTCTTCCAGCAGAATCATAAAGTGTCAGCGCTAAAAAGGACCTTAAAGGACTATGTAGAGTCCACTTACAGATGCAGAATGAGAACTACCCATCAAGTTACAATGACCTGACCAAAGTCACAGAGCTAATTAAATAGTCACTTAGCCTAAAGCCCCTACTCTCTGTCACTATCTTACCAAGGCCCTCTATCAAGACTTTATAGCTCCCTTGCTTCGTATAAACAGACAGATGTAGCCTATCATTCCTTTTTTCAAATCTTTACTTCCAAGTGCCCTCTGACACTGTCCCTCTGTGCTTTCCTAGTTATAAAAACCAATTCAGAAGTAGTAGTCTATCAAATGGGACCAGATTATTCATCCTAAGGTAAAAAATGACTCATATTAACTGGACATTTGCTTTGTAATAGGTGATAGACCTTCTACCCAGTATTTCTAATGCAGTAATAATAGACCTCAGTAAAGACTGGGTTATTCATGCAGCTGCTTGGGGAGGAAAAGGAGGGCCTTCTCAGGTCTGTCATATCACTGCAATAGTACAGCCCCTGCTGTGTACAGAGAACATAAGTATAAAGATGGACCTCTGCTGTGTACAGGGGGCACTAGAATAAAAAAGGACCCCGTCCTTCTAATAAATATTGAATGAACAACTAGGAAAGAAAGAAGGGAAGAACTCAAAGCCTTCTGAAACTTCAAACAGTGTCTTCATGTAGGGTCTTAACATAAAAATCTTTCCCTTATCCTGAAATATGTCAGGCTTTGGGCGAGCACCTCACAGTATTTTAAAAGAGCTGCACAGATCCAAATGGGCAGATGGTGTTATTTAATGCGCACATATTTGGTGTCACTTTGAATTCTTTTCCCTGGTGCATACCTACAATGTAAACAGCAAAGCTCTCATAAACAAATTTAGATTTTAAAAGCACTTCTTGGACATGCTAGTAGCTCAGTGGGCCTGTCACAGTGGAACAAAACAGTTTTTGGTCTGACAACCAAAAAATTAAAATATAAATATGCATTTCATAGTCTTAAAAACTTAACCTCTCCTGCGCTTTTTTCCTGTTGATGCTCTGCCCCTGAGAGGGTCAAGTAAGACGAGAACTAAAAAGTATCAAGCTGGTTTGGGATTTAGGAAGTCAACAGGAACCTTACCATTTAGTTTAAAGGCAAAACCCCTTTAAACTAGATAGCTGGGCTATGTGACCTTGGTTGCTTTTCTTGATTCCTTGGGGCTTAGTTTTCTAATGTGTAAAATAAGATCACTGTAAGCATTCAGTTGATGTTGGATGAAGAGATGGAGAGAGAAAGGGAGGGATGACTAGAAGACTGAATGGAAGGATATTTGGAAGGTTGACTGGGTGGATGATAAGGGCTGGCCTGGTTGATGTAACAGGAGATTGTCTAAATCAACAGTGGGATCAATAAAAGGTTTTGTGTTCATTTTGTTTTTTATGAAAAAGAGAGGTTCACACATGTTTGTGTTAGGGGAAAAAAATCCAGTGGAAAGAGAGAAACTGATGGTGGGAAAGAGTACAAATTACCCAGAGACATGATCCCAAGTCCATTCTGCCTTTAAAAAGTAACCTACCGGCTGGGCGCGGTGGCTCATGCCTGTAATCGCAACACTTTGGGAGGCCAAGGCGGGCAGATCACCTGAGGTCAGGAGTTCGAGACCAGCCTGGCCAACATGGTGAAACCCCATCTCTACAAAAATATAAAAATTAGCCAGGCGTGGTGGTGGGTGCCTGTCATCCCAGCTACTCGGGTGGCTGAGGCAGCAGAATTGCTTGAACCTGGGAGACGGAAGTTGCAATGAGCTGAGATCGCGGGACTGTACTCCAGCCTGGGTGACAGAGTTAGACTGTGTCTCAAAAAAAAAAAAAAAAAAAGTAACCTACCACTTCTCACTTCTTGCTCTAAGATAGGAAGAAAGAGAAAGAAGAATGAATAGGGGGAGACATTCTATTTTGGAAAGTAGAGTGTGATATGAGCTGTTTCCCAGGTTAGAAGGCAATAACTGGATAAAAACTGGGTGACACTGATCTCAGTGGAGGTGCAGGTTAGGTATATCTTCTGGGAATAAGGGAGGTGGGGATGGAATTGGGAATGAGAGGGCTGAGGAAGTGGTTTGGACCTATATCTTACAAGGCAGAAGGGCCAGAAGCTATACTCAGGGCCCAGATCGTATTTAAAACAAAGATCCATTTGGCAAGGACCCAGTTACCAATGCCCAGTGAGCTCCTTCATTATTATTTGACAGAAGCAGAAAGGATAACCAAGGAGCACTGGGGCTGGGAGCTGGGGGCAGAGACCCAGGTTTCCAGCTGGCCTAAGCTTCAAACTTGTCTCATATTTACCTGCAGGGAACAAAAATCAGACAAAGGAACAATAAACAAGGCCTTTCCATCAATCTTGCAGACCTAAAAGTAGACTCTTTGTTCAAGATGCCTAGGTTCTTCCTATCCAATAAGTCCTCCTCTTCTTTTGAATTGCATATTCTATACATAAAACACTCCATGTGTCAGGAATTTCCCTATGCCCTATTATCACACTCAAAAATGCCTCCAGATTTCCACACAGCAAAAGCTTAGTAATTCCACACCAACACCATTAAACCCATGGGAAATAGAAAGATGTCAAAGCTTGAAACTGGCTAAGTGCTTCTTAAGAATTAAAGTAGACAATGATGTCACAGGAGGATAGATACAGTGATGGCAGAGACTGAAGAAGGAATACGAAACTTTATGGCAGTCTACTCCTAGATAGAAAGATTGCCAAATCAACACCTGCTCCAAGTCTTCAAAAATATATCTGGTGGTAAACAGTTTTTTTTTTTTTGGCAAAAGGGATTATCTGGGCTTAAGAAGATAAACCCAGGCAGTTGGCATGTGTTACAGTAATACCTGTAACATTTTTAGTTTCTTTTTTGATCCTAAAGTATATTCTTTTTACCATATTGACTCTTTCAAAGTCCTTCCTAATTCCTCATGACAGATCAAACTTTTTTTTTTTTACATTCTTGGTTTCTGTATATTTTGTTTAGGAATATGGAATAGCAACTGAGTGGGTCTTGGCCTCCTGCTTCCTAGATCTCAGCCAATCCCTCTGCAGCCACCTGTTCCCCTCAACAGTTGCGGGGGCTATGTAAACTGGCACTCTGCCCTTCCACCCGCCTTTGTGGCCACCTGTTGCCGAGACTTTAAGAAAACACAGGGAAGTAAGGCTCTCTTCAAGGTCAACAGCCAATGGTCCATCCCCACCTCAGTGTCTCTAAGTTCACAGGATGAGATTTTCCACCGCAGCATTAACTACTATGGCCTAAAAGGGAGGGTAACTCTCCTGAACAAAGCCCTGGAGACCACTGAGAATTGGGAAAAGCCAGCCTGTGTCATTCATCCCAAGCCCTGCCAGCTGTCCTCTAGGTCCCTCCTCTAGAGATTCTAATTCAGTTGGTCTGGGTGGTGCTCAGAATCTATCATTTTAAACAAGCTCCCAGATAATTCTGATGCAGTCAGTTTCATTCATTCATTCCTTGGATCTTATGTGCATTTGACAAATATTTTCTAAGTATTTACCCTGGCATTTCATATACAGTAGCACACAGAAACACAGATATGGTTCCTGCCTATTCTAAAGAGGAAGAAGACAATAAACGATCACACAAATGAAATATAATGATAAATGTGCTAAGCATTGGTCTATGTTCTAGGCTGGACAAATCTGGCCTAACCCATGGCCAATTAGAAAAAGAAAAAATGTTTCCTCCAAAGAAGGTTGCAGTCTTCCTCTTCTCTCTTTCTTTTCCTTTTTCTTTTCTCTTTCCCTCTCCCCACTCTCTCCTTCTTATCTACCTGACCCACTTCTGTGTGTCTGTTAAAATGAAAATATCAACCGCTACACCCTGCTGCTATCCACCTTCCCAGGCAAACCTTATGAGAGGCAGAAAGATGCTAGGGCAGAGTGGTGGAAATTTAAATTCTAGTCTTCACTCCATCCTTACCTAGCAAAGTTTCGTAGGTAAGTCACAAGTTTTCTGAATGCCTAGTCCTTAGGTCTTTACTGATTTAAAGTGGATTGCTTCTGAGCATTCCTGCCTCAGCACTGCAACTATATGACTTTCAAGTCTCTCAATTTGTGCTGAAATGCAAGCTGAAAAAGCCAAAATGGCAGTTTTGTCCCTTTATCCGCCATTAGCTCATTCACCTTCTTCACTTCTGCCATATCTTATCATTAATCTGTTCTACCCAAATGCTGAAATCCACAATCAGTCCACGAGAGGTATCAATCTACTTTCTTTGCCTGACACGGGGTCCCCTGCAGAAGATCATTTACTTCCGTGGTGAACACAAGAAGCTGTAATTTGACAAGGTTAAATGAGCCTATTTCCTCTCATTGTCTGCAGGCTCCCCAGCCATCTGGCCCTCACAGCATCTCTCTCATTCTTTATTCTAGAGTCAAGAGACAAGGTGCTTCAGAGATGACACAGCTTGACATTTATGGGCTGCTTCCCACCCCAATCCCCCAAGAGCCCTTCTAATCAAGTTTCCCTGTGTCTTTTTCCACTCTTCGTTCCAGAATCACCATTATTTTGGGTGATCCATATGGCTATCAATTAAAGTGCTACCTGAGTGCTGTTCAACTTCTTGAGATGGATGAAAAAGGAATGAAAGGAGACATAGCAATCTTCAACTCCGCTCCTTTACTTTTGAATAAGAGGTGATGGAAGGCAAGGTCAGAGAGATCTGGGTTCAAATCTCATGATTTAACTGCTATATAACCTTGGCCAAATTATTTAAACTTTGTGTCTGTTTTTACTTAGCAATATAAAGACACTGGTCATACCCACCACTCAGAATTTCAATCAGAACTAAATGAAATAATATATGCAAAGTGCTTAATATAGTACACCTGGCATGGAGTGGTAACTCAATAAATAGATCTTTTGTTATAACTCATTCCTATTCAATCGTCATCTGCTACCACTTTCCCAAAAACACACTTCTTTTACATTTAATCCATGAATTAATTATTTTATTTACCATTCTGATTTTCTCCATTTCCTGTTCTTGATTCTGACTTCTAAAAATTATGCTCTGGATGCCTCTTAAAAATACCTCTGTTATATATATATATACACACACACACACATGCATATATATGTACATATATGTATATCTATATACATATACACAAATATACATATCCTGTATCCTATTAAAATGTGTATTGATCCCTATATCCAATGAAATACATACACACACATTTTAATAGGGATATAGGAATCTATGTATAAATGTCAATGCAACATACAGAATTGTATGCATTCTATCAACATTTTGAGATAATTAAGGGGAGCATTTTCTGCACATATCCACCTTACCACTCTCAAAAGCGAAGCAAAATCCAGAGATTTTCTCCACTATAATAAACACTCCCTGCAGAGGCTGGGCATGTCTTTGCTAGCAGATAAGACTAACTTGGCAGGTCTGGACTGTGATGACAGGTGCAGTTCTTGTGGATGGAACTGGACTGGGATGGGAAGGCTTGTGCCAAGCAGGCAGAGGGGTATCTTGAAATTAAGCAAGGGAAAAAGCTGGATGGATGGGTATAGGCATAGGAACTAAAAGGGAAGAGTGAGCTAGATGGTATAACAAAGTCATTGCTAGCTTTCACCTTGTGAACTAAGAAGTATTAGGGATATCTAATAAAATATACACCTGTTTATTTTTAAGTACATTGTATATCTGTTCAGTTAATTGACTTTTTCTTTACAGAGGAAACATCAGGGTTTTTCTTTGTTTTTAGCTCTCTCTTCCAAAGAAATCAAATTTAATTTGATAATTTTAGTCTCCAGCATAGAAATCCTGAGGCCCCCAAATAATCAATTTCCCCAGGGTCAGCCGTGTACTTTAAATGTCCATGGCAGGCTCCTAGGACATTGCTTAGGTGAGAGCAGTTAGGTAATTATCTCCCTGGGGCCAGGAAGCAAACTGCTAAGCATTTCCATGCACACAACTATTTTGCAGAGCACCTGATCCTTTACCTCAATGCTGCCTCTCCCTGAAATGCACTCAGCAGAAAAGGATAGTGGCTGAATAGAAACCTTACCCTGGGTTCATTTCGAGGCCTGGCAAAGCTGAGTCCCTAAAGGCTAGGCATGTCAACAAGCTCTAAAGCAGGAGCCTAAAGCTGTACACACTGTAGTTATTTAGCTCTCACTACAGACCAGCATTTTGAGAGAGACCTTTCAAAATGTTCCTACAGGAGAGGTTTTCCTTTGCTCAAAGTTTCCTATCAGTCGGAAGCATCCTCTGCTTCCTGAGAATGCTGCAAGACAAATGTACCATAAGATAGCCCAGCAATGATCATCCGGTTCAGCAGGGGCACAGAAAACCTCACCAGCCCAGATCTGCAAAGGCAGCCAGGCTCTAGGGAAATCCCTTTATTGCTGTTGGGGCTTCCCCATCTTTGAGTTAAAAAGGAAAACAACCATTAGGCCTAGCTCACCAGAGTGAAAGGAAACAACCCACACGGAGGTAATTAATTTATAGCCTGTGAATCTACACCACGCTACTGCTAGAATAAAGTCCAGACCTACCATTTGTACAGCAGGCTAGAAAAACAGCTGACCACAGAGGCAGTGAAATGAGTGACAGAGTGCAGGCTGCCTGCACAAGATGGCCTGGGTTCCAACCCTGCTCCTCCATTGCTAGCTGTGTGACTGAAGGCAGGTTACTAACTGGCCTATTCTACCTATTGAGCCTACCTGTAAGTAAAAAGGAAACAACCATTAGCAATGACCCTGTTGTACGGTGGGGAAGAGTAAATGAGTTAGCATGCAAAGTGCTTTAGATCAGTGCCTGGCATCATCTAAGTAGGTAACAGTCTTCAGTGACCCTCCTCTGAGAGGAGGAATGTATAAACAAAAGACAAAAGCCTACCTTTCAGCATCAGAGTGAATTACTGGTTTCAGTATGAAATTGTATCCAGAAAAGTTCTTTTTTTCTATTTGCTTACTTAAAAATATTTCCAAGATGTTTTGAATGAAAATGTTAAAATACTATTGTAAATGTAAATGATAATCATCAGAGGGAGACTTGTAATGCCTTCCCTTCTCCCTCCCACAAAACATATATGCTAAAAGATTGCCATGTTTGGGGCATATATTTAGTAAGAATTTACCAAGCATTTTCCCAGTCTGAAGTTGCCTCTATTTAGGAATATTAAGGTAGGTTTTTAATCATAAAGGGGTGCTGGATTTTGTCAAATGTTTTTTCTGCATCTATTGAAATGATCATGTGATTTTCATTTTTAATTCTGTTTATATGGTGTATCACATTTATTTACTTGCATATGTTAAACCATCCCTGCATCCCTGGTATGAAACCCACTTGTTCATGGTGAATTATCTTTTTGGACATGCTGTTGGATTCAGTTAGCTAATATTTTACTGAGAATTTTTGTATCTACGTTCATCAGAGATATTGATCTGTAGTTTTATTTTTTTGTTATATTGTTTCCTGGTTTGGGCATTAGGGTGATACTGGCTTCACAGAATAATTTAGGGAGGATTCCTTCTTTATTTTTTGGAATAGGGTCAATAGGATTGGTACCAATTCTTCTTTGAATGTCTGATAGAATTCAGCTGTGAGTCTATCTGGTCCTGGACTTTTTTTTGTTGGTAACTTTTTAATTACCATTTCAATCTGTTCAGACTTTCAATTTCTTCCTAGTTTAATTTAGGATGGTTGTATATTTCCAGGAATTCATCCATCTCTTCTAGGTTTTCTAGTTTATGTGTGTAAAGGGGTTCAAAGTAGCCTTGAATTATCTTTTGTATTTCTGTGGTATCAGTTGTAATATCTCCTATTTCGTTTCTAATTGAGCTTATTTGGATCTTCTCTCTTCTTCTCTTGCTTAATCTCACCAATGGTCTATCAATTTTATTCATCTCTTCAAAAGAATTGGCATAGAAGGGACATACTTAAGGTAATAAAAGCCATCTCTGACAAACCCCCAGCCAACATTATACTGAACGAGGAAAAGTTGAAAGCATTTACCCTGAGAACAGGACAAGGATGCCCACTTTCACCACTTCTATTCAACATAGTACTGGAAATCCTAGCCACAGCAATCAGACAAGAGAAAGAAATAAAGGGCATTCAAATCGGTAAAGAGGAAGTCAAACTGTCAAGTGTTTGCTGATGACATGATCATATACCTAGAAAACCCTAAAGACTCATCCAAAAAGCTCCCAGGAGTGGTAAATGAATTCAGCAAAGTTTTAGGATACAAAATTAATGTACGCAAATTAGTAGCCCTGCTATACACCAACAGCGACCAAGCTGAGAAGCAAATGAAGAACTCAACCACTTTTACAGTAGCTGTAAAAATAAAAAAATAAAAAAATACTTAGGAATACACTTAACCAAGGAGGTGAAAAACCTCTACAAGGAAAACTACAAAACACTGCTGAAAGAAATCACAGATAACACAAACAAATGGAAACACATCCCATGCTCATGGATGGGTAGAATCAACATTGAGAAAATGACCATACTGCCGAAAGCAATCTACAAATTCAATGCAATTCCCATCAAAATACCACCATCATTATTCACAGAACTAGAAAAAAACAACCAAAAAATTCATATGGAACCTAAAAAGAGCCTGCATAGCCAAAGCAAAACTAAGCAAAAAGAACAAATCTGGAGATTCACATTACCTGACTTCAAACTATACTATAAGGCCACAGTCACCAAAACAGCTTGGTACTAGTATAAAAACAGGCATATAGACCTATGAAACAGAATGAAGAACCCAGAAATAAAGCCAAATACTTACAGTCGACTGATCTTGGACAAAGCACAGCAAAAATATAAAGTGTGGAAAAGACACCCTATTCAACAAATGGTGCTGGGATAATTGGCAAGTCACATGAGTAAGAATGAAACTAGATCCTCATCGCTCACCTTATACAAAAATCACCTCAAGATGAATCAAAGACTTAAATCTAAGACCTGATACCATAAAAGTTCTAGAAGATAACATTGGAAAAACCCTTCTAGACATTGGCTTAGGCAAAGACTTCATGAACAAGAACCCAAAAGCAAGTGCAACAAAAAAAAAGATAAATAGATGGGACTTAATTAAACTAAAAAGCTTCTGCACAGCAAAAGAAATAATCAGCAGAATTAACAGACACCCCACAGAGTGGCAGAAAATCTTCATAATCTACACATCTGACAAAGGACTAATATCCTGAATCTACAAGGATTTCAAATAAATCAGCAAGAAAGAAAAAAATCCCTTCAAAAAGTGGGCTAAGGGCCGGGTGCAGTGGCTGACGTCTACAATCCCAGAACTTTGGGAGGCCGAGGCAGGTGGGTCACCTGAGGTCAGAAGTTGGCCAGACCAGCCTGGCCAACATGGTGAAACCCTGTCTCTAACAAACACAAAAAATTAGCCAGGCATGGTGGCACATGCCTGTAATCCCAGCTACTTGGGAGGCAGAGGCAGGAGAATTGCTTGAACCCAGGAGGCAGAGGTTGCAGTGAGCCGAGATTGTGCCATTGCACTCCAGCCTGGGCAACAAGAGTGAAAATTCTGTCTCAAAAAAAAAAAAAAAAAAAAAAAAAAGAAGTGGGCTAAGGACATGAATAATAGATAATTCTCAAAAGAAGATATACGAATGGCCAATAAACATGAAAAAAATGCTCAACATCACTAATGATCAGGGAAATGCAAATCAAAACCACAATGCAGCACCACTTCACCCCTGCAAGAATGACCATAATAAAAAGTAAAAAAATAATAGATATGGGTATGGATGTGGTGAAAAGGGAATACTTTTACACTGCTGGTGGGAATGTAAACTAGTACAACCACTATGGAAAACACTGGAGATTCCTTAAAGAACTAAAAGTACATCTACCATTGGATCCAGCAATCCCACTACCAGGTACCTACCCAGAGGCAAAGAAGTCACTATACAAAAAAGATACTTGTACACGCATGTTTATAGCAGCACAATTTGCAATAGCAAAAATATGGAACCAGTCCAAATGCTCATCAATAAGTGGATAAAGAAAATGTGGTGTGTGTGTATGTATACATATATATATATATACACATACACACACACCATGGAATACTACTCCACCATAAAAAGGAATGAAATAATGGTATTTGCAGCAATCTGGATGGAATTGGACATCATTATTCTAAGTGAAGTAACTCAGGAATGGAAAGCCAAAAGTATGTTCTCACTCATAAGTGGGAGCTAAACTATGAGGACGCAAAGGCATTAAGAATGATACAATGGGCCAGGCACAGTGGCTCACGCCTGTAATCCCAGCACTTTGGGAGGCCGAGGCAGGTGGATCATGAGGTCAGGAGATCGAGACCATCCTGGCTAACACGGTGAAACCCCGTCTCTACTAAAAATACAAAAAATTAGCCGGGCATGGTGGCGGGCGCCTGTAGTCCCAGCTATTCAGGAGGCTAAGGCAGGAGAATGGTGTGAACCCGGGAGACAGAGATTGCAGTGAGCCGAGAAAGCACCACTGCACTCCAGCCTGGGCAACAGAGCAAGACTCCAACTCAAAAAAAAAAAAAAAAAAAAAAGAATGATACAATGAACTTTGAAGACTCAGAGGAGGAAAGAGTGGGAAGAGGGTGAGGGATAAAAGACTACACATTGGGATTGGGTATGGTGTACACTGCTAGGGGGATGGATGCACGAAAATCTCAGAAATAGCCACTAAAGAACTTACTCAGGAAATACCAACTGTTTCCCAAAAACCTATTGAAATAAAAATTTAAAAATAAAAATAAACAAGCTTTGAAAGAAAAAAAAGAATATTAAGGTAGGAACATGAAGACTTAGGTTCTAGGCCTGACTTTGCTGCAAACTAACCACATGAGCTTAGACAAAACATTTCCTGGCCGGGTGCGGTGGCTCACGCCTGTAATCCCAGCACTTTGGGAGGCCGAGGCGGGTGGATCTTGAGGTCAGGAGATCGAGACCATCCTGGCTAACAAGGTGAAACCCCGTCTCTACTAAAAATACAAAAAATTAGCCCGGCGCGGTGGCAGGCGCCTGTAGTCCCAGCTACTCGGGAGGCTGAGGCAGGAGAATGGCGTGAACCCGGGAAGCGGAGCTTGCAGTGAGCCGAGATTGCGCCACTGCAGTCCGCAGTCTGGCCTGGGCGACACAGCGAGACTCCGTCTCAAAAAAAAAAACAAAAACAAAAACAAAAACAAAAAACATTTCCTTTTCTTTCTTCTGTTAGTCTCGATTTTCTTCTCTGAAAAACGAATGGCTTAGGGATGAATGATCAAAGTCCTATCAGGTCAACAATCCCTGATTCTCCCCATGGCTTTTTAAAATTGATACATAATAGCTGTACATATTTTCAGGGTACATGTGATAATTTGATACCTTCATGTAATATGTAAAGATCAAATCAGGGTCACTGGAATATCTACCACCTTAAATTTATTTTTCTTTTCTTTGTGCCAGGAACATTCAAATTATTCTCTTCTGACTATTCTGAAATACACAACAGATTGTTAACTATAGTCACCCTAACTATCTGTCAAACATTAGATCTTATTTATTCTATTTAACTGGTATATTTGTACCTATTAATAAACCTCAGCCAGGCATGGTGGCTCACGCCTGTAATCCCAGCACTTTGGGAGGCCAAAGGAAGAGTATTGCTTGAGCCCAGGAATTCAACACCAGCCTGGGCAATATAGGGAGACTCCATCTCTACAAACAATTTTAAAAATTAGCCAGACATGATGGCACGCACCTGTGGTCCCAGCTACTTGGGAGGCTGAGACAAAGGATTGCCTGAGCCCAGGAGGTCAAGGTTACAATAAGCTGTGCAGTGTGCAGTACACTGCAGCCTGCGTGACCTTCCCAGCCTCTGGTAACCACCAATCTACTCTGTATCTTTGAGATCCACTTTTTAAACTCCCATATATGAGTGAGAATATGCAATATATGTCTTTCTGTACTTGGCTTATTTCACTCAACATAATGACCTCCAGTTCCATCCATGTTGCTGCAAATAACAGAACATTCTTTTTCATCACTGAAAAACATTCCATTGTGGAACATTCAAATTCCAAAGAGAACTATTTACAAATTAACCTCTGTTCCCTGATTCAATCATTCTCCCTAGTAATCATGTATTACCCTCAAGAAAATTCCTCTTTTCCCCGTCCCACAACTTGTTTCTCCACCATAACTTGTTTTGCCAGGATCCAAGACCCCAATCTTTCTGTAACCTCAAGATCATATATAAGCTTCTTAACCCCACTGAGATATTGGGTAATCACTCTGTAGTTCTCCTGTGCACGTTAATAATACATTTCTTATGCCTTTTCTCTTATTAATCTGCCATTTGTCAGTTAATTTTTCTGTCAACCTTTCAAGGATGAAGGGGAAGTTTTCTGTTCATCTCTGCAATATATACCACATATTCTTTACGCATTCATCAACTGATGGGTACTTAAATTGATTCTAAATTTTGGCTATTATGAACAGTGCTGCAATAAACATGGGACTGCAGGTATCTCTTTGACATACTGATTTCCTTTCTTTTGGATATATATCCAAGAAGTGAATTGCTGGATCATATGCTATTTCAATTTCTAGCTTTTTGAGAAACATCCGTTTTCCATAGTGGCTGTACTAATTTACAATCCCACCAACAGTGTACAAGAGTACCCCTTTCTCCACATCTTCACCAGCTTCTGTTACACCCAGTTTTTGTTTTGTTTTGTTTTTTGAGACGGAGTCTCGCTCTATTGCCCAGGCTAGAGTGCAGTGGTGCCATCTCAGCTCACTGCAACCTCCGCCTCCTGGATTTAAGTGATTCTGCTGCCTCAGCCTCCTGAACAGCTGGGACTACAGGTGTGTGCCACCACACCCGGCTAATTTTGTATTTTTAGTAGACACAGGGTTTCACCATGTTGGCCAGGCTGGTCTCGAACTCCTGGCCTCATGTGATCCTCCTGCCTCTGCCTCCCAAAGTGCTGTGATTGCAGGCGTGAGCCACTGCACCTACCACACCCTTTCTTCTTACAAAAATTAGCCAGGCACGGTGGCACATGCCTGCAGTCCCAGCTACTCAGGAGGCCGAGGCAGGAGAATCACTTGAAGCCATTCTAACTGTAGTGAGATGATAGCTCGTTGTGGTTTTGGTCTGCATTTCTCTGATGATTAGTGATACTGAGCACTTTTTCATATACCTGTTGTCCATTCACATGTCTTCTTTTGAGAAATGTTTATTCAGATCTTTGCCCATTTTATAATTGGATTATTTGCGGTTTTGCTATTGAGTTATTTGAGCTCCTTATATATTCTGGTTATTAATCTCTTAGATGAATAGCCTGCAAATATTTTCTCCCATTCTATGGTTTGTCTCTTCACTTTATTGTTTCCTTTGCTGTGCAGGAGCCTTTTAACTTGATATAATCCCATTTGTCTATTTCTGCTCTGGTTGCCTGTGCTTTGAGGTCTCACACAAAAAGTCTTTACCCAGACTAATGTTCTGGAGCATTTCCCCAATGTTTTCTTTCACAGTGTCATGGTTTCAGGTCTTAGATTTAAGTATTTAATCCATTTTGATTTGATTTTGCATATGGTGAGAGATAGAGGTCCAGCTTCATTCTTCAACATATGGTTATTCAGTTTTTCCAGCACATTTATTGAAGAGACTGTCCATTCTCCAATGTACGTTCTCAGTGCCTTTGTCGAAAATGAGTTGACTGTAAATTTGTGGATTTATGTCTGGGCTCTCTACTCTGTTCCATTGCTATGTGTCTGTTTTTATGCCAGTACCATGCTGATTTGGTTACTATAACTTTGTAAAATATTTTGAAGTCAGATAGTGTGATGCCTCCAGTTTTGTTCTTTTTGCTCAGGATTGCTCTGGCTATTCAGGGTCTTCTGTGGTTCCACATAAATTTTAGATTTTTTTTTCTATTTCTGTAAAGAATGTGATTGGTATTTTGATAGGGATTGCATTAAATAAGTAAATTTATGTGCAGAGTATTATAAAATTTATTCACAGAGTATTGTCATTTTGATGATATTAATTCTTCCAATCCACGAGCACAAAATATCTTTCCATTTTTTGTGTGTTCTCTTCAATTTTTTTCCATCAGGGTTTAATAGTTTTCCTTGTATGCATCTTTCACTTTTTTTATTAAATTAATTCCTAGGTATTTTATGCTCTTTATAGCTATTGTAAATGGGATTGCTTTCTTGATTTCTTTTTCAGATTGTTCACTGTTAGCATATATAAATGTTACTGATTTTTGTATGCTGATTTTGTATCCTGCAACTTTATTGAATTCGTTTATCAGTTCTGTTTTTGGTAGAGTCTTTAGGTTTTTCTAAATATAAGATCATGTTGTCTGCAAACAGGGCTCACTTGACTTCTTCCTTTTTCATGGTTTTCTCTTCTATCACCTATCTCACTGAAACTGATCTCCCCTTTTCATTACTTTCTCTCATCATCTTCTGTCTACTCCTTGTCCTCTCTGGATATCATGTAATTCTCAATATATTAATATAGTTTCTTACATAGCTCTAAATAATAAGTATATTGCCTCCTAATGAAAATATTTTTTAATTAATAAAGTTAGAAACCTTTGGATTGAGAGATTCATTCCCATACCTTCAGCACTTACCACAATTTTTTCTGTGGTTTTCTAGCAAAACAGTTTCTGCTGGCTTCCGTCCACCAAATCCTCTCTTAGATAATTTTCCTCTGCCCTCAATCCCCTAGATTGAAGAGATTATCTAAAGCCTTTCTCTTCTCCATTCATTGCTCTAGGTCAGACTCAAATATTTTTACTATTTCCCATTTGGACAATTTACGTTGTTCCTCAACAGGTTAAGTAGAAGTAAATTTTTGAGGTGATTGTTCTCTGAAGCCAAGAGTTCCTGCCCCCGCCCCGACAAATGTGAAGACCAATGTGGGGCTGCTGCTATATTCTTCTTTGCAAAGTAATAATAGTAAAATAACACTACCATACACTATCACCATCATTTCAGAAGAAAATTTTAACGTTAAAAAGTAAGAAGGACACAATCTCAGAATAAAATACAGTCCTTACATGGAATAAATTAGTGACCAGCTTTATAGCTTTATGGAGCCACTTTCTACAGGGTCTTTATTTTTCTCATATCTCTAAAGAACAGGGAAAACTTCAGAGACACATACAGGTGAACAGATTAGTATTTAAGAGGCGACATGGTATAAATTATCGCATATACCTTATTTCAACCCATTTTAAGGAGGAAGTTTAATATGCTTCACCTCAACTTGGGTTGGTCTTTGCAGCCAGCATTGGGCTTTCTAGTTGGATTTTCATTTATCCAAAACAGATTTTTAGTACCAGAAGTAGTTCTAGAGAAACAGAATTTTGAGGATAGATTTCTTTAGTTGGTTTTGGGGTTTCTGGAGTTGGCTGCTTAATATAATTAGACCCAAAAATGCTAAGGACTCTACTTCTAATAGTATGGAGAACACTGACAGTCCTTGGCGTGAACTGTTTAGAGAGTTATGCAAAATAAATGCATTTGATACTCCTGATTCACCACTCTTGAGAGGCAAAGAGTTTAGCAACTCTACACATAATACCTTTGACCATATGTGGAGAACCAAGGAATATAATGAAGTTGGTTGGTTGCTCCTAAGTTCACTGGACAAGGTGATGAAAACAACGAACTCAGGGATTCTAACTCCTGGCTCCAGAAGCACATACTGAGCTTCGAATCTTCTAAGAGTGCCCTTAGTGAGAGTCTCATCTCTTGTAGAGAAAGAGCTGGAAATTGTGGAAAATCAGACACAAGCTCTTATGTGAGTGGCTGACCTGCAATGATAGGTACATGCTCAGGCTCACCAGGTATCTACTGTTAAAGTGAGGGCATTAATTGGAAAAGAGTGGGACCCTGAAACTCGGAATGGAGATGTGTGGGAGGACATTTAACACCAACTTTAAACATCTCATGCCACGAGTTTAACAATCCATATGACACAGCAAAGCAAGATGAACCTGGATGTTCTCTGCACACAAAAAGATCCTCCCCACACTGCCATCATCCCTCTCCTCTGTTTGCAGGTTTCTGTCCTCCATACATTTCTTCATCTTTTTACTCTGGCTCCTCACAAGCTCAAGCTTCTGAAATCCACCATTATTCTAGGTCCATTTATGCTCTTTGCTCCACATGTTTGCACCCTTCTCTAAAGCTTTTCTGTTTTTCTTCTGATCATCCACTTCTCTTAACATCAACTCTGTAAAATTTTTCTTATGCTTGTTTCTATAATTTAATCACAAGTATATGGGTACAGAGAAAAAAAGCTTTTCTAAAACCTTTTTGCCTTAAAGGTCATTTAATTCTATTAGAGTAGTCCCACTGAGTTTAGATGGTCCCCATTTGAGGCCACTAAAATTAACTACTTCAAGTGTTACCATTTAGCACACCTGCAACTGTTACAAAGATAAGGTAATAGAGCCATACAAATGATAATCATATTGCTTTTTTGCATTTTAGGGATTTTTTTTAAAGGAAGCAATGCATAAATAAATGTAAATTTAGAAAGAAAAGAAGATGAAGGGAAAAAAAACTTAGAATTGTCACAATCCATGTCAATACATTTAAAAAAAAACTAAGCTATATTTCTATTGATCTTGATTTTGTACAATATTCCATTTTGATCGTTGGTTTTGTTTGTTTGTTTGAGACAGAGTCTTGCTCTGTCACCCAGGCTGGAGTGCAATGGCGCGATCTCGGCTACTGCAACCTCTGCCTCCCGGGTTCAACCCATTTTCCTGCCTCAGCCTCCCAGATAGCTGGGACTACAGGTATGTGCCACTACACCCGGTTAATTTTTTTTGTATTTTTAGTAGAGATGGGGTTTCACCATGCTGGCCAGGCTGGTCTCAAACTCCTAACCTCAAGTGATCTGCCCGCCTTCGCCTCCCAAAGTGCTGGGATTACAGATGTGAGCCACTGCGCCCAGCCCCATATTGATGATTTTTAGTTGAACTGAGTTACATTTATTTTACAATATCTTAGATAGTAAAATTTGACAGAGAATTATGTCTTCCTTTATTTTCCATTTCATTTACATTTGTTTTTCCCCTTCAACAAAGTAATATACGATTGCTTAAATTGTTTTCAAATATTTCAGAAATATAATGGGGTAGTAAAAGGCTTCTATGAGTCCACTCCCCAACATATATACATGTGCAAGATAATCACTGTAACCTGTTAGTGTATATTCTTCCAGAGTTTTTTACTGTACATACACTAATACACATATTACTAATCAGCATGTTTTTAAATGAGAAGGACTCCACCACTTACCAAAATAAGCCCTGATATTAGTGAGGAAGTGCCTGTTAGGGCCACGTAGAACTTCGGTGTTAATGTGTTCAAAAACATGCTCACTGAAAAAGAAAAGAGAGAGAAAGGGAGAAGAACAAGGAATGTATGAGTATGTCAGTAAAACCAGCTCTTTCATTTTTCTCTCTGGTAAAATCATTTATTTCTGATGATGATAATTCTTAGAACCATAGTAAGATCCCATTAAAATGATTCACCATTACATAGGCTCAGAATACTAGGTGTCAAGTAATATATACTGAAAGAAAAAAGCTACATACAAGAAAATAGAGTACTTGTAATTTCTAACTCCCAAAACAATTGTTGATAACGGTTTTCATGGATTCATAACCATGGAAGAGTTTAATCAAAGTTGATTACAAAACTGTTAGCCAAAAAGAGAAGGTGCTCTTACACATTTTGTGGGACCTGCACATCAGAGTCCCTGATGCATCAACAAGCAGTATTTCAACCTTAGAATAAACTGAAAATAGCTATATTTAATATATTAAATAGTTATTAAAGATTATTATACTATGGTTACCCCTAAGAAGGAAGGACAAATTGACAAGTTATTAGGTTGGTGCAAAAGTAATTGTGGTTTTGGCCAGTGTATGATGAGTAAAAGGTTTTTTTCAACTTACTTAAAAGGTTTTTAAACTGGTCATCGAAATAAATGGAGTCAATGAAATAAATGAAAAATAAACCTCTAAAAATGAATGTTCACTGCCAAGCACCTTCTTCTTCTTCTTTTTTTTTTGTTTTTTTTTTTTTTTTTTTGCGAAAGTGAGTTTATTAAGAAAGTAAAGGAATAAAGAATGGCTATTCCATAGGCAGAGTAGCCCAGGCACCTTCTTGACCACTCTGTTCATACCCACTATTCAGTTAACCTTGTTGCTCACTGATTAGGGTTCACTTACAAGTATTTTATACATATATTTTAAGTCATTGTTATTTATATCTAGATACTACACAAAACTTTTATTATTATCAAAACCACCACATACTTACTGGGCTTTTTGTGGGAGTATTCACATTTCTTTACTGAATCTGTTTGTAGAAGGGAATCACATCCAGTCTGGTTTTAGAAGTAGGGCTTTGATGTCATTAGAGGGAAAGGCTTTGGCATCTGTCCTGAGCTCAGCCCAGAAAGCAAAGTAATATACCAAAATGAACAGAGATCCCACGTTCACTCATTCAACAAATATTTTTCTCTGTTTATGAATGAGACAATGGGTAAAAAATGAAAGAATGAATCAGACACAGTTCCCACTCTCTAGAAGACCAAGTGCAGTTGAAACACACAAGCAAATGAGCAACTATTACATAAGTGCATAGATTGGTCCTGGGTGTAGGATTTTATGAAAACATGTTAAGAGGGATGCATCCCAGGCTGGGTGGCAGGGAGGAAGTCCAGGAGATGGACACATCTCAGCTGAATCCTGAAGAATAACTAAAAGTTAACCAAACCAAAGTGGACAGGAGGAGGGATGGGAGGACAATCTAAACAGAGGAAAGGACCTGCCTCAAGATGCCAAGGAGACAGCATGGGCCTTTCCAAGCAGATGCAAGGGTTGAGGAGGTTAGGAGACTGAGCAACAAAGACATGGATGTTGAAGGGTACACTGGTTCCATTCTTTCGTGCCACCCAAGCATCCTCTCAATAAGCTCGCCTCCCACTGCACCTACTCTTAAATGAATTTGTTTGACCTGTGGTATTTCATCTGCAATCACAAGAGACTGGACTAACACAATGTGTTCAGTCAATATTTACAACTCGAACTAAATGGACCTGGAACTTCCGGGAAGGTAGAAGAAGGCACAGAAGTAGTCATCAGCTTACTGCGAGGTAAGAGGAGGAAGCTACAGTTGAGTTGAGGAGGCTTTGCCTGGCCATCAAAAAAAAAAAAAAAAAAAATATATATATATATATATATATATATATAGTGATATGTCATATATATATATAGTGATATGTCATACATATATATATATATATATATAGTGATATGTCATTTCCCATGCAACAGTTTGTTCGTGGAAGGAAGGAGATTTTTTAAAAGGAAAAAAAATCAAATGTGCACAAAACACCCCTACAGCTTATAACTGCCAATATGATTCAGAGGTGCTTAAAATTCTCAAAATTTCCCTCCACACTATGAGTGACCCCACATTCCCTGTTATTTTTTTAAAAGTCAGCAGAGGCCAGGCATAGTGGCTCAAGCCTGTAATCCCAACACTTTGGGAGGCCGAGGTGGGTGGATCACCTGAGGTCAGGAGTTTGAGACCAGCCTAGCCAACATGGCAAAACCCCATCTCTACTAAAAATACAAAAAATTAGCCGGGCATGGTGGGTGCCTGTAATCCCAGCAACTTGGGAGGCTGAGGCAGGAGAATCGTTTGAACCCGGGAGGCGGAAGTTGCCGTGAGTCAAGATCACACCATTGCACTCCAGCCTGGGCAACAAGAGCAAAACTGCATCTCAAAAAAAAAAAAAAAGCCAGCAGAATATTCATTTTGTTATTC
The DNA here is from genome assembly GCF_000001405.40 of Homo sapiens. Taxonomy (NCBI): domain Eukaryota; kingdom Metazoa; phylum Chordata; class Mammalia; order Primates; family Hominidae; genus Homo; species Homo sapiens. Next base: position 117,097,300 of record NC_000007.14, on the reverse strand, counting down.
TGTAATTATAAACATTCATATCTGTACCATATACCTTTCAGTAGGTTTCTGCAAACAAACTGAACACCATTGAAATCCATTTCTAAAATAGAGGAAAAGATTTGTCTAAATTAGAAGTGCTTTAGTAGCCCTGCTGTTGACTGCCTAGCAACAAAAGCACAAAGCAATGGAGAGGAAAGATTTTCTGCTGAAAAATCACTGATCCACTGGAGGCAAAAGACTCAAGATTTAATCAGTAAGTGAAAAAAAAAATTGAGTTTTTTTAAAAGAGATTAAAAATAAAGATTCCATTCATTTGTTTTTAAGATTATATATCAATAATAATTAATAATTAAAATGTATTTCTCTGGTATATCCATGTATAGGAAGGTGGCAGACTTCACATAATGGTAGGCATTAAAATAAATGGAGATACAAACAGAAAACAGAGAAGCAGAAACAGAAACACCTAGAGAGTAGGAGATGCCCATTTAATAACCTATTCATTTATAATCTTATTAAACATCTGGCAAAAATCATAAGGACATGGCATGTGGCAATTGTGGACATAATGTCAGCACTTGGTACTTGCTATTTCAACCTATGTATTCATGTATTTAAGGATTATAACAAAGCATTTTCACAGATTAGAAAAGTTAATTTTCATTTCAGCTCCATGAGATCAATATTATTCGCCTTGTCTTGCGGCTGGAGGCTGAGCAAAGACCTGAATGCCAGTCAACCTGCCCCCAAGCTCATGCTTTTAGCATCACAGGGGACACACGGGAATATTACTGAAAAGCCTTCAGCAAAAAAAGCACAAAAGGAAACTACAGCAGCCTTTCATTAGAAAAGGAGAGGAAGCTCTAAATAAATGATACTATAAGATAGATTTTTTTAACATTGTACTTATTTTTATCTCGGCCTTTTCTAGATAAGTCCCCTGTGAGCTTGTCATTTCTGTGTGAAGCACTAGAATGGAAAGGCAGAAAGCCACCCTGAGAAGGGGGAGAATCTAGTTTAAAAATTCTTCTATTAAAGTAGGAAGGCTGCAAACTATAGCCCAAACTGCCCTAAAACCAAAAAATATCTTGCCTAGCTTCATCAAAGTCATTAGCAATTATTTTTGAAAACATATGAGGGCCTGATAAAGTGCCTAAAAATTGGACCAGAAAACTGTGAGGTATGTGAGTTGAGACATAAAATGGATATTCCTGATATTCTTTTTTTTTTTTTTTTTTTTTTTTTTTTTTTGAGGCAGAATCTCGCTCTGTTGCCCAGGCTGGAGTGCAGTGGCACAATCTTGGCTCACTGCAACCTCTACCTCCCGGGTTCAAGTGATTCCCCTGCATCAGCCTCCGGAGTAGCTGAGATTGCAGGCACCTGCCACCACACCTGGCTAATTTTTGTATTTTTAGTAGAGACGGGGGTTCACCATGTTGGCCAGGCCTCTCTCAAACTCCTGACCTCAGGTGATCCGCCCACCTCGGCCTCCCAAATTGTTGGGATTACAGGTGTGAGCCACCCACCCAGCCAGATATTCCTGATATTCTATAGACACATCAAGGTCACCTCCATACTTGTTAGGGCTAGGCAAAACAAAAACCAACATGTAACAACTAATCTAGCTTTGTGAAAATAAACTATAATACTTTACTAATGCACTATTTCAACAAATCAGAGGGCTTTTCATCGGACCTGACTGGGCACCTCTAACAGGTCACACTGCTCAAAGAATATCACCTCAGTTATTGAAAGGCAGCCTCAGGGAATGCATCATGTAGAGTTCTGAAGATGCTGAACCTTCACCTGGCATAGTCTTCTCATTTAATTAATCAGTAAATGTGAAGGAATTAAGTGTGGCACTGAGAAGAAACTAAGTAGGCAGGGTAGGTACATGGACTGAAAATTAAATTACCTCTATGGATCACAGAAAAGCATAGGTAAGAGGATAATACAGCAGGTTGAACTGTGGGAAGTGAAGAATCACCCCAGTGAGCAGGGAATTCACACCAGAAGGCTTACTCAGGAATCACGTGGCATGCCCCTATGAAGCCATGTCTGTAAGAAGCCAGCCACGTTCTGGCTCTCATGACAGTAATAGCCTGCCACTATCTTCTTCAGAGTATGAGCAACCCCCGTATTACACTCCTGGAAGAGGCCTCTGTAAAGCAGAGCAGGCATATAACCCAGTCTGTTTGCCTCCTTACGTATATTCCACCTTGCACAGGGAAGTCTTCGAATGAAGGAGGTAAGGCAGCATTAATGCCTTGGAGGTACTGACTAGATATAATGGAATAAGCAGCATGATGAAATCCACAGCATCCAAAAATATGGGTGTGCTTTGTGCCGTGTTCCTTTTAATGCTTTGCTAAAATATGACATGCAAAATGGAAAAAAAATAAAAGTTATTAAGATAATAATCAGCAATAATTCAAAGGGTTAAAAAAGAGTCCCTGGGAGAAAAGTTTAGAGAAACTAAGTTATTTAGGCTGAAAAAAGAAAACAAACAAAAAAACAATGGAAGGGACTTTATATAAAAGCATTATGCCTAGGAAAGAGACCAGGAATAGGAGACCCAGTCACCAAACATGAGACCAACAACAGTGTTGTGATGGCCCTGAGAGAGTCCCACGTTCTTGCAGAGCTTTGGTTTCCTATCTGTTTCCCAGAACTGCTCTGAGGCTGAGATGAAATGTGCATTTTCTCTTAACATCAGTCTATAGCTGCTGAGTGCCTACACTGGGCCAGATTCTGGGGACACAGCAGCTTACAGAGCACTGCCCCTGACCACAAGAGGCTCACAATCCAATGGGTGAGAGAAGCAAGTCATCGGATAAGCAAATGGGAAAGGACACACGAGGAAATTATAAGGGACAGGGCACCAAAAGGAATGGAAGATCAAGAAAAATTTCTGCCAAGAAAAGGCATCTCATCTGAGACTTGTAGGCTGAATAGAAAGTTAACCAGGTAAAGTTACTGATGGCTGCAGAGACTAGGGAACAGTGAGGGGTAGAGCGGTAGGCCATTCCATGCAGAGTACCGCAGCCCTGGGGCCTGAGGGTGAATGCCCAGGGAAGGAAAGTGAAGCGCAGTTAAGGCACTGGTGGGGAATTAGATATGTGAAATTACTATCTAAAGTGACTGTATACAAATACATGGAATATTGATTGACTAGTAGTGAATGGCTAGTCTCAGTTTCCACTATGATGAGACAAATTAACATGGATCCAAATAGCACTTCTAAAAATCAGGACAGCTGTGTGTCTTCCCCAAAATTACCAAAATGATTTTTGGAGGACTTCTCTCTAACAAGTTTATGCAATGCCTAGATGGACAATGCGGCCCAACTAAAAAGATAAAGAATAGGGGGCTTTGGTTTACTTACTTTCTTGGTAAATCAATGTGGGTGAAAATCTCTTTACAAAAAGTATTCGTGTACATTTGAGATTGTTTCATTGTCTATAAAATTTTAAAAGTAATACCTATCTTGCATAGTTGTCACAAGAGCTAAACATAATATTGTAGATAAAGTGCCTAATACGGCAGACCTCATCAAATAATATGTATTATGACGGCTGTTTTTCTTTTGATTTTTTTTGTTGTTGTTGTTGTTTTTTTGAGACGGAGTCTCACTCCGTCGCCCAGGCTGGAGTACAGTGGTGCGATCTTGGCTGACTGCAACCTCCGCCTCCCGGGTTCAAGTGATTCCCCTGCTTCAGCCTCCCAAGTAGCTGGGATTACAGGCATGTGCCACCACACCCGGCTAATTTTGAAGTTTTAGTAGAGATGCGGGTTTCACTATGTTAACCAGGCTAGTCTCAAACTCCTGACCTCACTGATCCACCCCACTCAGCCTCCCAAAGTGCTGGCATTACAGGTGTGAGCCACTGCACCCGGCCTGATTTGGCATCTTATATTACTATAGTTGTAGAATGCAGGGGAGACTGAGCTGAATGTGTAAATGTTAACAATGGTAGTAGTAGCTGTCATATTAGCATTAACTGAGCATCTTCTATGTGCCAAGCACTGTGCTACAGTGTACAGCCCAGGATGTAAAACATCCACATTGTGATTAGTCCTGTGAAATATGGATGCCCTACAAAACAAATGAAGAATCATTTCATAGAAGGGTCCTTTTATCTGGATTCTAGTTGCTTGGGGTAGTACTAAACCTGAGGGTGATTTTGAAAGCAGCCATTTTAGAAGGCAAAGAAATGTCCCTGAAGTCTAACATGTGCTCCTAAATCTCCGATTACTGCCTTACCAGATACCGTGGGAACAATCAATTGAGCCACAGGCCATATGGGAACCACCTGTGATCCTGTTTATTCCTTTTCTTCAAGTCTTTTTATGGTTATGACATAAGCCATGTTAAAGCCTAAACCATAACCTAAGCATGCTGGTTAGCAATGTTTTCATTGCAAGGGATGAATATTCAAGGCCACAGTACCTTCCAGGCCCGAAGACTGGGCTATCAGGGTGGATTAAGAAATTGTCAATTTCATGCAAAGCAACATTTCTGATTTAGTTACTGAAAATGTGCTTTTCTATAGAAAGCACATTACGAGATAAGTTAGTCTAGCAGGGACTTCGCCTCAGACTGTTTTCTCAGACCTCCAAAGTAAGGTAGGGAACACACCGGAATAGTTTAATCCATCATTTGTATTTTTCCATGTGATAATAGAGAATATCATCTTCTCTCATTTCATTGTTCTTTCAACCTTACTAACTTCTCTCTTCCTTCCTGTCAGCATCTATTAAGTAAGGCTGCAACTTTACTTCTGCCCTTCCTCATTTACCAAAGGACAAGGGAATGAAAAATGGAAGCTCTAATGGCTTAGTTTACACTCCTGCTAATTTCAAACAGATTTCCAGATTGCACAGCTTTTAAAATGAAAGAACTTTTCCTCAGAATGACCCTGTGACAGACAAACGCTAAAGTGACTCCAACGATCCCTGCTCTGCTGGTATTCATAACTTCTTTTTTTTTTTTTTGGCTGGTATTCATAACTTCTTTTTTTTTTTTTTTTTTTTTTTTTTGAGACGGAGTCTCACTCTGTCGCCCAGGATGGAGTGCAGTGGCGTGATCTTGGCTCACTGCAAGCTCCGCCTCCCGGGTTCACGCCATTCTCCTGCCTCAGCCTCCCGAGTAGCTGGGACTACAGGCACCCAGTTATTCATAACTTTATGTGACCCCTTTCCCTTGAATGTGGGTGGGACATGGAGTACGGGACTTGCTTCTAACAAACAACTATGTAAGATTCTATGTTGGTGGCAGACAGAGAGATCCTCCTTACTGGCTTAATGAAGTGGCCACGTGGACCACAGGCAGCCTCTACAACAGCCAGTCAGAAACTCAAGCCCTCAGTGCTACAGCAATGATTACTGCCAACAGCCTGAGTGAGACTGGAAGCAGATTCTCCCCTGACTGAACTTGCAATTGAGATAGCAGCCTGGTCAACACCTTGATTATAGCCTTGTGAGGCCCAGAGCAGAAGACCCATCTAAGCCATGCCTGGACTCCTGACACAGAAACTGAGAGATAAGAAGTGTGTGTTAAACTGCTATATTTACGGAAATTTGTTAGGCAGCAATATAAAACTGATACCATCACCAACATAATAATTCATGAAAATAAAAATCAACATTGACATCTGATAATGCTGGCTAATTGCAGTATGCCGAGAAAGGGTGCTAAGATACACCAACTCTATGTGCCCCGAGCGTTTCTTTCCCGATTGTTCATAAATAAAATACAAGTTCTCCCTCTGCTACCATGACATGCTATTTCACATGCTGGCATGTAACTGTCTTTGCAAATGTGCTAATACTAAAGTAGATGCTGAGAGGAGCTGTTTTTTTAATATGGAAATAAAATATCTTCATTTCACCCAGTAAGTGGTTTTTTTTCTAGTCCTATTTTAAATACACAATATTTGCATGTTTTTTAAAAATCAGTTTTACATCAAGGCAGAGCATCAGTTCGATCAAGGATTAAAAGCACAGCACGAGCACTTCTTTTCCTCATTTGTTGCTTCTGCTGCCCCTCTCCTTGCCCTTGGCCCTGGTCTCCTTGGGGTCTGATAAGGTCTTGAGGTTTTATGTATCACAATCCCCTTGATAAATCCTGTGTCATTTATTCTTGAGGAAAAGACATGGAAGTATAATTTTAGACCCATTCCTATGGCAAGAAACCCTCATAAATCATTCTGTCTACTCTTCCTTCCACTCCCGATGTCGCCTAGGCAACTTTACAGGTACACTGTTTCTGCTGTACTGGGCATCTGGCTCTGCTGAGGAGTGGAGCTGAGCACATTCTTTCCTCAGTTGTGGTCTGGGAAACTATACTGGCGCAAACTGTATTGGTGGGAACAATGCAGTGTTCAGTCTTCATGGCACCTTCTCCCTTGCTGGAGGGAGGCCATCTGTCAACCTTCCCTGATATCATGAAGGACCATCCAACGCCCAGTCACACACAAACCTTAATAACCCTCAAGGACAAGTGGAGCAAGATCTCAGACGATCTGTTCCCTTTTAGTTACAGGAAACTTGATAATGAAGATCTCCACCCTGGTCAAGAACAGAGGAAAGACCTAAGTAAGTCTTATTATATTTTTAATTATTTAAAATATGCTTTCATTTATGATTGAAGACTATTTTACAAGTTTGTCTGTTTCTCATAAACTATTTAATACCAGGAAGAAAAAATAAATGTCTATTTGTACACAAAGCAAACCTTCCACATAGTTACATTGAAGAGAAATAGAAACTTTGCTAAGACAAGGTGCTCCAGGCTCTGGGAACCTCTTCCCTACAAGCACACACACTGTGTCTCAATCCTCCATCAGCCAACACAGAGCACCCAGCACAGAGCCTGGTCCACACAGTACTCAATGTTTGATAAACGCTAAATGACTACAAGGGGCAGAGTTCTAGGTAGGAAAGTTATAACAACCATTTCCCAGGACTTCTGATAATAACCTTCATAAGAAAATATAAATCTGACAAAACTACAAGTCTTTGATGGCTGGGACTTTGCCGTGTGTGTGTGTGTGTGTGTGTGTCTGTGTGTGTGTGTGTGTTTCTATCCTTAGACTACCTGTACAGTCTGAAGTCCATATTAGGAAGACTCAATGACTACTACACATTAATAAATCAAGATGGTCCCAGATATACTTATATTATCCTCATATAGCAAGACTATGGCTATGTAGAACCCTCAGAAATTAGTCATGTGGGATAGTTAAGGTTTTATCCTATTAAACCAGACACTTTTAAAAACAATTTCACAACGGAATCTTTCCAAAATGCATTACATACTTGACTTCACCCTTAAAAAGAATGGCCAGAACATATTTCAATCTTTGACTGGTAACTCTAAGTCATCAAAATGAATGTAAACTACAGTACTGTGTTAGCATGCAAGAAAGTTTTTTAAAAAACTGTTGAGGCCGGGTGCGGTGGCTCATGCCTGTAATCCCAGCACTTTGGGAGGCCGAGGCGGGAGGATCACAAGGTCAGGAGTTCAAGACCAGCCTGGCCAATATGGTGAAACCCCGTCTCTACTAAAAATACAAAAACTAGCCGGGCGTGGTGGTGGGTGCCTGTAGTCCCAGCTACTCAGGAGGCTGAGGCAGGAGAATCGCTTGAACCCAAGAGGTAGAGGTTGCAGTGAGCCGAGATCGCGCCATTGCACTCCAGCCTGGGCGACAGAGCGAGATTCCATCTCAAAAAAAAAAAAAAACAAAAAAACAAAAAACAAACTGTTGAAGTGCTCTAGGTTATTGCCTCCAAAAGTAAGTAATCCCGCACAGGTTTTTTTTTGTTTTGTTTTGTTTTAAGTCTTCTTCATGTTATTTTTGTCACCTGACACACTATCAGATATTAACTATTATTATTTGTTGTGTACCTGCTTCAAACTGCCTTTTCTCCTCAATGTGCTACTTAAAAATCTGTTGTGATTTCAAAGGCGCATGACCAGCTTTGGCCATTCAATAGATATTCATATTCAACGTGTGGCCAGGTACTATGTAAAACACTGGTGATACAAAGATATATGATATATACATAGTTCTTATCCTCAAGGAGCTCTAGGTTTTGTGGGAGAAGCAGACATGGAGACAAATTGGCAGGCAATTATAATTCTGGTGTTGCTGGAAATATAGAGCTAGTACTCTTAACTCAGCCATGGGCTGGATGGAGTGAGTGACAGAGTGTGCATAAAGGAATGTTTCCTTGAGAAGGGTGCTAAGTACAGCCCTAAAAGATGTGCACTGGAACTACGTAAAATAACAGCTGTGTTTGAGGGCCAAAGGTAAGGCCTTCCCTTGGTAATTATTTTATGCTTATCTGTATGTACTATACGCACTGGCCTTTTTTTCTTACTTAGTGCTTGGTGCTCTGGGGAATTGAAATGTTTGGATTGCTCAGTTCTTGCAAGGTGCAGTGTCACTGTAGAGAGCTATTACATGCTCTTATGGGGTGGCTGGAGTGAGTGGTATAAAAGGACACTCCCATTTGTTCTTGTCTTCATACTGGAGTACTCCAAAGGGCTCTTCACAGCATCAGCCATGCAAAATGTGCTAGGACTTTTCCATTATCTTAAGGGGAATTTGTTCACTAGCTTCTCATTTACTCTTCCTATACTGGAAGTTATACCAAAAAATATTACAGAAACTTTAATAGTAAGATTTGGAAGATTACATGCTACAAAGCTGAATACGGCAATTCGTTACTTAATGTGCTGGAACCTAATAAAAGGGTTCAAAATACTCACAATAATCAACTGTTTGAACAGATAATTGTTAAATCTAAAATGCATGGAAATAACTAAGAAATGTAAGAAGAATATTAACAAGTATAACGGAATAACATCTATATTCTAAAACATCTTTCATATATGCTCTACATTTATTAATATCTAAAATATATTTAGCTTATAAAAAGTATCATACACTGAACTAGACACTGGGGGCAGAAAATAACATGATAATGAGACTGATCCTACCCTTGAGACAGGAAAATGAGATGGCTACACAAATAACACAGAATATGAAACATCTCAGAAGAGAAGTACAGATAAAATCTAGAGGAAGTAAACATTACTTCCAGCTAGGAGGGTTAGAGAAGGTTAATGAATGGGATGTCCTTCCTTCTGGGCTTGGAAAGAAGGATAAGCTTTGAACATGAGATTAGAGAGGAAAGAAGAGAGAGTATGGACTCTAGGTAGATATCACAGCATACATAAAGGAATTGGATTGGAAAACAGGGCGGATGAGAAGCAGTGGGAGAGAATGCTGGCTCAAATGCCAAGCCAAGAAAAGTGGACTTCATATAGCAGGCAGAAAGAAGATACCATTCATAACCAGAGATGTGACAAAGACAGACACATCTGGTAGCAATGGGGTAGAGTGTGTAAAATGTGCAGCTGCGGGAATTATTTCAGAGGGGAGCGCCTATAATACCACCAGAGAGGGGAGTTGAGCATATCAGATGTTGCAGAGTTAAATTCAACAGGATGTGGCTTTCCCAATGTGACATAAAGGGCGAGAGTCTGGGCATGTTGGTGAAGTGGGGCCAAAGTCAAATTTGAAGTGATTAAAGACAGTGAATAGTAAGGAAATTAAGGCAGCCAGCTCAGCTACTTCTACAGGCAGTCTGGCAGTAAAGAGGAGAGCATTTATCATTAAGTGTGACTTAAGTTAAAGATAAATGGCATTGAATGAGTTAGTAAGTAAATTATGAATAAAACTCATATCTTTTTTCTGCTGCAAGAACAATCAGCCCTTCTATGAAGTATAATACTGGTTCATTCTTACACCAAACTTTTAAAGATGTATGTATGGTTAATCATTATGAATGTGTCTCCTTTCTCTGAGATTCTTTTTTATATATGCCTTTAAGAAAAATTAAAACACAGAGAACTTTAACTGGCATGATTTTGAAACTGACCACTACACACATATGTATATTCCTGTTTTATCAGCCGAGATTACATGACAAAATAAAAATAAATCTATTTTCTATTCTATTTATTCTGATTTTTACACTTTTTATTAATCTACTTGCTTTGTTTTGAAACCCTCTACTAACTGAAAACTAAATAGTTTGCCTTAAAGGAAGATAATATATTGAGTCAGAGAAGCAGCTACAGGCCATGGGGTAGTAAAATTCAAATCTGATCCAAAGTTAGGTTTTTCTTTTCATTATATTCTCTAACAGTTCAATGACTAATGTACTTCTCTTCTGAGGAAAATCTGCCCCGCAAAAGAAGGCCTGCTGCAAGCTGCATTAAGAAGGCTGTCTTCCCCTGGGTGAGGGTGTGTAACCCACGGAGATAAGAAGCCACAGGGGAAACCACCACACAGGCCACTATTTTAGTATTCAGCTGCTCCAGCTGCATGGTTGTCCAAAATAAGCCCTTGGCTTTATTATTTTCAATTCCAATAACTACGTTTGGCTTTGCATTTGTACCTAAGGACCAGTTATTTTTCCAGAAAGTACCTAAAATTATCTCCTCAGGTCCTGGGCTGTGAACTCCGGTTAAATCACAAATGCATCTGGCTTTACGTAATGTCTACGGGTAACAGTCGGTGGAAACTGGAGCACTGATATTTTCAAATATTGGCAAGCCAGTTTAAAAAAAAAATCTATTAAAAGATGCATCTAAATTCCAGGTGCTTTTTGTTACCAAACAAATCTCAAGCTAAATTCATCCCTAATAAAAATGCTCCTAGCCCATGTAAATGGCATTTTCCCCTCTTAAACATCTATTCTTATTATCTCAAATAGTGTCCAAAATGGTCATCCCTCATGGTGAATAATCTATTCATCTGTAATGCAGAAGGAAAAAGAAAGAAATTTCATGTTTTTAATTAGCAATTGTCTAACGCCTAGATCCTTAGAATGCAGACAATGTTTCTTGAGGTGGATCAGTAATTGGTTAAAACTCAAGGTTAATGAAGCTACAGTCCTAGGTTTGAATGAGTCAGTCAACCTCACTCTAAGAAATCCTGTGCCATGAACTCAGAAGGTACCTCTGGCCCAGTTGTATTACAAATGAGTATTACCACTGGAAGGCCAACCATCATGTTACTATAGAAACAAACAAATGTGTATCCCCAAAATGGATGGAGATTGCTTTTGCTTTTCAAAGTTGTTTTCCCAAAACATTTTTTAAAATACAGAAAATAAAACAAAAAAAAGAAAGAAACCATTCCTCCCTGCCCCTGCTCAAGAAAGAAAAGAAAAAAGAAAGGAAAAGAAAACAAGGGGGAGGGAGAAGAAGGGAAGAGAGGGGAGGGGAGAGGAGGGAAGTTTGGTTATTTGATTACTAGCTAGGCTTAAAATTCTATGTCTATTTTCTCTAGTTTTTAATGCTTTAATTAATTTTTTAAATTTAATTTAATTACTAGTTCGTGTTGCCTTTTTTTCTATTGGAATGGCACTAATTTATAAAAGCTCTTAGTAAGTACGTTAATCTCTTATCTGTCATAATTGATGCAATTCTTCCCTTTTCTTTTAATTTCCTTTCTGAGTTTCATTTCCAGAATTTTAACAAAACACTTTCTACATAAAAATCGGGAGGAAAACATTACTGGAAGAAAAACCTCTATATTCAATTTGCTACAAAGTAGAATTTACTGGAATGTCCCTTTCTATCCTCTAGCTATCTTTCATGCAAAAAGCCGAAGGAACACTTTGAGAGTACTTGATAGCATGCAGAAAAACAAAAAGAAATCACTCCATTGAACATGTGGAGTTTCACAGTGCTCTAGGCAACTGTATAGCAAATAGTCATCGCACACATGCATACAGACGCTAGCCATAAATATTGTTTGGTAACAGAAGGGAGAATAAGCAGAGAGGCATGTCATTACATGAGATGACATGACTACTGGTTTAAATGTCTCCCCAAAACTGGAAAACAGACAGACACAAAACACAGAAACCATTAAAATGAGACATTTCTCAGCTTCATCACAGGCAAAACCAGATACATAAATGATGGGAATGTAACATGAGACAGACCAACAGCTGCAGAGAAAATAAAATAAAATAAGAACCTAGCTGATGAAAAGAAATATTCAAAAAAATCCAACTTGCAGAGTATTGGGGAGAGTATGTTTTTAATATAAAGTCTACCTCAGTGTATTATGAAACACAACCTTTTTCTCTTCTGTCACAGAGCACTAGTGACGTTTGGTGTTTTTCTCCCTTCCTTTATTCTTTTTCTTGTACAGAATCAATATGTATTTGCCTCTTATTTTCCTTTTCTTAGGAACAAGCGCCAGGACTGACTTAAGCATTACACAGATAGACATACCAAATTACAGAGAACAGGTATCTACTGTTCTAAAAACCTGGAAACAGAAAAAATGACAACCTAAAACTGATTTGCTCCTACCGCTTTTGAGAAAAGTAAAAACATAAAATATAATTTTATTCTCAAATTAGAATGAAAAATAGAATGCTCCCTGGTTCCTGAGAAATTTTTAAAACTTTTATATAATCACAATTTGTAATGGTTGAAAATTATTATTGGTACTTGAACTTTACTTCCTCCCACAAATAATAATAATGAATAATAATAATGGCAGCAAACACTCATAGAATCTTCATAAAACAACCAGCAATGGGCTAAATGCTTTACATGGTGTCTTAGTAAATTTTCACAACTTTGTGTTATTATCCTGTCTGTATCTAGAGATAAGAAAGTGAAGATTAAATCACTTAAGTCACTTGTCCAAAGTCACGCAGATAGACAGTGGCAGACCCAGGATATGAATTCAGGTACAACTGGTGCTGAAGCCTGAGTTCCTAACCATTGTTCTAAGGGCTTCTTACACTGGAAGGATCCCACAGCATTACTCACCCTGGGTTCACATAAAGCTTGTACCCAAGCATGTGTTCACAGGTATTTCCAGTTGGATTTCTTTCCATCTGTGTTGCCCTCAGTGGTCCAATCTTCCTTTTTCTTACCTGGATGATCATATCCCCCCAACCTGTCTCCTAGATGCCATCTCTCAGCACCCAATCTAACCCAAACTCTACACTGCCACCTGAGTCATCTTTCTAACACATGGGAATTGATCTGCTCCAGCTTAAAGATCACTAACACAAGGCATGACTAAAACAGATGAAGAAACTAATACCTAAAGATGGTAAGTGCTATTCCCTAGGTCATTTTTCTAGGAATTGGAAAATCTGCTGGTTTCTTAGCCTGTGCCTGAACTATGATTGACTACATAGTGTTAGAGTAAAAAGTAGCATTTTTGCTACTGAATTTAGAATCTCAGACTCAAGTATTTGGATGTCTATGATATTCTACCAAATGCCTATGTCCTCTACATACATGCTCAAATAATGTTTCAGCTTCCTTTTTCTTTGATTATTGTCGTTTGTTAATAAGGAGGAGATGGGAGGCGGAACCAAAGCCAGGAAGTTGGCAGCCACCAGCTTGCCTTAGTGCTGCCTCCATATGCTCACAAGGAAATCTCTGCACCTGGCCTAGCTTCTGTGCTGAGCCACAAAACAAACATGAATGCTTACTTTTTTTCTTTCTTGAGAATTAAGAGAATATGCTTCATTACATATATTTAATAAGTCATGCTATATAATCATATAAAATATATATCATAACTCTATATTGTGTGCTAATAATTTTATATATAATAGCTTTAATCCCCTAATAGATTGAACACTACCCCATTCCTATACTTATTCTATTCTATGTTCTTATTAAAATAGCAGAGAAATGTGGCCAGGCACGGTGGCTCATGGCTGTAATCCCAGCAGTTTAGGAGGCTGAGGTGGGCAGATTACCAGATGTCAGGAGTTTTGAGACCAGCCTGGCCAACATGGTGAAACCCCATCCCTACTAAAAATACAAAAAAATTAGCTGGGCATGGTGGCAGGCTCCTGTAATCCCAACTACTCGGGAGGTTGAGGCAGGAGAATCACCAGAGAGGCGGAGGTTGCAGTGAGCCAAGATTGTGCCACTGCACTCCAGCCTGGATGACGTCAAGAGCAAAACTCCATCTCAAAAAACAAACAAACAAACAAAAATATATATATGTATGTATATTACAAATTAGCCAGGTGTGGTTGTGGGTGCCTGTAATCCTAGCTACTCTGGAAGCTGAAGCAAGAGAATCGCTTGAAACTGGGAGGTAGAGACTGCAGTGAGCCAAGATCGTGCCATTGCACTCCAGCCTGAGCAACAAGAGCAAAACTCCGTCTCAACATAAAATAAAATAAAAATATAAAATAAAATAAAATAGCAGAAAAATGGAAGGTGTTCAATAGTTGACCAATTCCTAAACTGTGCTGAAATACATCCTGTCACTAGATATGTATGGTATTACAAACAGAGCGACTATTTAACCAACACACCAGACCTGTCTACATCAGGGATAGGAAAATGCAGTCTGCAGGCAAAATCCAGCCCACTGCCTGTGTTAGTAAATACATTTTATAAACACAGCCGTGCTTGTTAGTTTATGTAATGTCTATGACTGCTTTCATGCTACAACAGCTGAGTTAAATAGTGTAACAAACTGTACAGCCTGCAAAGCTGAAAATATTTACTGTCTGGCTCTTTACAGAAAAGGGTTTGCTGACCCCTGGTTTACCTTAAATAAAAGCAATGCTTCTCTGGTATTTTCTACTAAAGTCCTTCTAATGGCAGAAGAAAATAAGAATATATTTCAGGGGAGTTATGAGCCCCGCTTAAGAAGCACAGGTTTAAATGACCGTTTGTCCAGTTACATCATTTGGGAAGTCGATCAGTATCCCAATGATGCTGCCATTCCTCGAAACTTTATAAAAATCCTAAATATAGCCTAGCATACCTTCTTTTCAATATTCTCAACTCTGGTAAATATTATTATTTCAAGGGTAGATTTACTTTTTGTAACATGCAAACTGTGTATAGCCCAAACTAGTACCAGCATTAAGTAGTCAAATTGGGTATTTCTGGTTTTTATCATGGATAAATTATAACTACCTATTAATGAAGTGGGTGTTTCTATATGAGCATTGAACTGGTTCAGATATCAAGTGTGATGGTGAGATTTTGTGTGTCAACTTGGGTAGACTACTGCCCCTAGCTATTAAACCAAACACTAAGTATTGCTGTGAAGGTATTTTGTAGATGTGATTAAAATACACAATCCATTGACTTTAAGTAAAGATTATCCTAGATAATCTGGGTGGGCCTGGTTCAATCCATTCAAAGGCCTTAACAGCAGAGCTGAGGCTTCTCTGATAAAGAAATCTGACCTGCAGACAGCCGCTTCAGCTTAGACACAAGAGTTCCAGCCTGCCCTTCCTGATTAATGGCCCACCCTACCCATTTCAGACTTGCCTAGCCAGCCCCCAAAATCCTGGAACCCAACTCATTGCCTCTCTCTCTCTCTCTCTCTCAATCTCTATTTCTCTCTGTCTGTCTCAGTGTATGTGTGTGTAGCCTACTGATTCTGTTTCTCTAGTGGAACCCTGGTATATCAAGTCTAAAAATGTTTCAAAAATAATTTTAGTCATCTTTTACAATTGTCATTTTAGAGAATACCAATTCCTTGGATAAAAATAGCTAGCTAGAAATGAAACTCATTACTGTACAGTCACTATTATATCTGAATTCCTCATTCACTCTGGCAAAACATAAATTCTAAAAGAATCAAATCATGTTAAACAAAAACTACTTTAGAGTACTGGTTTCATTTCAGGTGTCATTGAAGTCATAAAAATCATTATGTCTCAGATAAACTATGATAGTAAAAAGATGAATGAAATGATTAAAATTTCTGCTACAGGTCGTGCCAAATCACACTTAAAATAATTTCTATAAAAATAATAAAGGAAATGATTAACACATTGAAAAAATTTAATAAATTGTGGGGAGGCATCCAAAGGTTTCCTGGATCTAAAACATCAAAAAGATGAATAATTTGAGAAGCATTTAAAATTGAAGCATTCAGACCTGCCATGCATATATTATTATCCTGGCCTTAATAAAGATTAATAAGAATGAGAAGAAGTTCTTAGGGCCATGTTAGGTACCTACTATGAGCACACTAAACAGTAGCTATTACAGTTTCTACATGTTAAAGTCCAAATTTTATTCTAGTCATATAACTATTGTTTTAATCAACATTTGAGGTAATACCCTTTTATATTTTCAAGTTATAATTTTTGCTTTTATTTGGAAATAAAATAACTAATATAATTTATTTTCTCTTCCTAGAGTGAGGTCAGCTAAAAACAAGAAAGAAATTTAAAGCATCCTGGGAAGTCATCATACCCTTTTTCTCCAAGAAAATCTAGTTTTGCTTGTTTTTGTGTATCCCACAACACCTGTGTTTGACTATCTTTTTCACTTTGGATTTGGATTTTGGTGTGATATACACAGTTCCAAAAAATCAATGGATAGAAAACTCAATGGCATAAATAAGGTTGGTATTAAAATATGCACAATAGGCTTCCTCTGCACAAATATGGTGATTATTAATATATATTCAACCAAAATATTTAAGTACCTAAATGCAGAATGTTTAAAGCTAGATTATCTATTTAAATTAAAAGCCTGAAATTTGGAATCTTCAAATTTACTTGCTGAAGTCATTCTGAAAATCTGATGGGTTCTTTCTCATCCACTCATCAATCCCATAAGTTCATACATGTGAATTGAGCATATTTTTGTTGTTCTTTAAAAATCACTACACACGTGGGAATTTAGCCTAAGGAGATAATAATAGGCATGTAAAAATATTTATCTTCAAGGATATTCAGCAAAAATATATCTATAAATATATTATTTGCAAAAGCAAAAAAACCTAAAAACTAAATATACAACAAGAAAAATGGTTAAATATTAAATATCTATATGATAGAATAGTATGCAGCCATTAAAAATCAAGTTATAAATGACAGGAAAATGATCACTCCATTTTAGTTTAGAAAGCAAATTATATAAGTGTGTGTAGTTTGACATCTTTTGTTTAAAGTGTATAGATGATACGTTAGCTATCTGTATAGGTACACAAACATAAGGACAGTTTCTGTAACATGTATCACTGAAAAATGGAATGACAAGCGGATCACGAGGTCAGGAGATCGAGACCATCCTGGCTAAAACGGTGAAACCCCGTCTCTACTAAAAATACAAAAAATTAGCCGGGCGTAGTGGCGGGCGCCTGTAGTCCCAGCTACTTGGGAGGCTGAGGCAGGAGAATGGCGTGAACCCGGGAGGCGGAGCTTGCGGTGAGCCGAGATCCCGCCACTGCACTCCAGCCTGGGCGACAGAGCGAGACTCCGTCTCAAAAAAAAAAAAAAAAAAAAAAAAAAAAAAGGAATGACAAACATTCCAATAGTGCTCAACTCCAAATGGTAGAACTGTAAGTGATTTTTTTTCTTCACTACAGACTTGAAATTTTCTACTCTATGTACTAGTGGTGTATTTTAATCAGTGGAAGAAAAGGTTTCTTAAGCATGACATAAAACTAGAATCCATTAAGTAGTTGTCTTTGGAGGATAGAATTACATGGAACTTTTATTTTACACACTTTTTCCATTTTCTCTAGTCTTAAATATTTTTAAACACACTTGTTTTATTTTGGTAACAAATAAAAGCATATATAGCTTTAAAAACAAACAATACAGGCTATTTTCTAAAGCAGGAATTTAGGGGAATTTTCAAAAAATATTTCAGTTTTATTTCAGTTAAAACAAGTTATTTAAGAATAAGTTGACAGAATAATAGCAGCAACAACATCAAGAAGAAAATCCTCCTGTCTTAAAAAGTTTTTCTAAAAGAACCAATGAGAAAAAGTATTTATATGTGTATATGTAACCTGAATTCTAGTTTTAGAAAGATAGTACATGAACATGAAACAATTTTTACAGTTTGCTACAATCACAAAATCCTGTATGAAATTATAGTTGTCCCTCAATACCCATGGAGGACTGGTTCTAGGAATCCCCTCACCCTGTGGACCCCAAAAGCAGAGGATGCTCAAGTCTGTTACATAAAATGTCATAGTATTTGCTTATAACTTATGCACATCCTCCTGTATACTTTAAACCATATCTAGATTACTCATAATACCTAATACAATATAAATGCTACATAAATAGCATTTACTCTATTGTTTTACTCTATTGTTTAGGGAGTAATGAGTAAAAAACAAATGCTATCCATGTTTAGTACAGACGCAACCATGCATTTTTTTCAGAATATTATTTTCAATATGCCATTGACTGAATGAATCTGCAGATGTGGAATCTGCAGATTCTTGGGGCAGACGGCATTTGTTTCAGTGCATTTGTGACTACATATGAATAACACATAGATTTATTGAAGAACCTAAAAGAGAATGAGAGGCACTTAGGAAACCAACAACTCTGACTTAATATGAGCAGAATGCACCCAAGCACTATCCTCCAACCTTCAGTGTCACAGTGGGCTGGTGTCATGACTTAATTGCTGAGTTACAGCTAATTATAAGGTAAATGAAACACTAAAAGAGAATTCACCCCAACCAATTAACTGAGTGGTTATTAATTGTACTGGAATGTCCTACATATGCTAATTCAAACCCATAACAACATCCATACAACCATGACTCTTCTTGTTCTATCCTTTTTCAAGCTTTATAATAGTAGAAATGACCCTGATGCAAAGCATCTATCTTGCTACCATGTGGCTGACATTCAGCTCTGTCCAGCTCGACATAAATTTCTATGCCTCACTCTGGGTTTTAAGCAGTAACTTAAAACTGCATGATTACTGCATGGTAACAAATTGATAATAGCATAATAATTACATTAGAAAGAATGAAAGTAACATGTTAACTTGGATTCACAAT
Source organism: Homo sapiens (assembly GCF_000001405.40). Classification (NCBI taxonomy): domain Eukaryota; kingdom Metazoa; phylum Chordata; class Mammalia; order Primates; family Hominidae; genus Homo; species Homo sapiens. The sequence continues at coordinate 117,078,452 of NC_000007.14, read as the reverse complement.
GCTTATATGATAACCAAATACATGCTATTCATCTGTTTCACCAGATATATGGATTAATTAGCAACTAATGAGCAATGCTCCTAAAACTAAAGTTGTAAAAACATAATTATAGTTTTTGAAATCTTTGCTTTTCTATTCTACTGTTAAATTGTTAAAATGCCCAGCTGCACCTTCTCAACATCAAGGAGTTACAAGCTATGCTTTGGATTTGATGCCAGTTGTATAAAACTACTACATGAACATGGCTGCACCTATGAGTTCTTCTCTCTGTCCTTCAGTCCCTTCTAGCCACATGGAACCTTGTTTCCTAGAAAAGATTTAGGGATCAGATTTGTTCTCTCTTGGGCTAATAGCTTAATGTCTCTGGGTCAATTTTTCTTATCTATAGATTGAGAGATTTGAACTACAAGGCTCTTTTCACCTCTGAGACAAATGACAAATCTCTAATGACAACTCCAGCATAGCACTTAAGTGAAGAATCCAAAACCTTTTGCAACTCATATCACAAAGGGCTAATCTCACTAATAAATATAGTTCTTAGCAATCAATATCACATTCCAGCCTGGGGGACAGAGCAAGACCCTGTCTCAAAAAAAAAAAAAAAAAAAGAAAGAAATCAATACCTCTTTCACAACAGAACTCAAACCCACACTGATTACATTGGCAAAAATCCAAAAATTTGATAACATAGGTATTTTTTTCAGGTTTGCTTAAAATGAGGCAAATCCACATGCAGCCTATAATAACTATTATTACTACTACAACATATTATCCATTCTAAATGGTTAAACTCAATGAAATTGTCATCTGGAGCTATTATGGCTTGCATTATAACACCTATTTAACACAATGTCTGCAGTAGCATAAAAGCAGAGTTACTGGATTCCTAAATGTGACTCTTTCTCTGGTTTGAGGACAGTCCTTTAGAATCTTCAATAAATATGTGTGCTAGCCATACCCTGTCATAGATGTATATGTTATACTTCTACCTTCCTCTAAGTGATGTTACAGAAAATAATAAGACAATATTTATAAATCACTGAGAATTCCTGATGATGGGGACAGGAGGCAGATAAATTCTAGACAGAAAAGGGCAGGTCCATGGCAAAGCCCCACCCTCCAGCTGAAAAACCTGAAACCACGGCCCAAAGTGAGAACTTATATCCCTGTTTTCCCACTCAAATGTTCCCTTTTCCTAAACTGCCCATGGTCTGCCCCACCCCGCATCCTGTGCCTATAAAAACCCTAGACTCAGGCAGCAGAGAAAGGAGAAGCCTCTGGACATCAGAGACTACAGCTGGACATCGCAGAGAAGTGGCTTGACTTCGGAGACACAGCTTGACGACATTACTTCAAAAAAGAATCTGGCTGGAGACAGCCAGACTCCAGGGGAAGATTACATAGCCCCCTGTCCCCTTTTCAGCTCCCCTTTCCACTGAGAGCCACTTTCATCATCAAGAAAAATTCCCCACATTTACCATCCAATTCGTTTGTGTAAACTTGTTTCTCCTGGGTGCCAGACAAGAGCTCAGGAGCCATGAATGCAGATACAAAAGGCTGTCACACTGGCCCTTTGCCCTCACTGGCAGAGGACAGCCGCCTCATGTGAAAGGGTGGAGGGCCCTCTGAGCTGTTAACACTTAAGCCATCCGTGGATGGCAGAGCTAAAAGGGCACTGTAACATGCCTCCTGGGGCTTCAGGAGTCGCAGGGATCCTGCCTGGATGCTGCCACAAGGCCTGCACAGAGTTCGCTCCTACCAGTGCCCAAAAGTGCTCACTCCAGCTCCTGTACCCACTCACCTGGGTGCTCCCTCCCACAAGGGGTGGAAGGCAGTGGGTCTGAGTGGAGTTTGATCCTGCCAGTGCCCAAGTGGCCAGCTGACTCCAGCGCTCATGCACTCCAGTTCCTACCTTGTTTGCTCGCATACTCCCTCCCATAAGGAGTTGAGAGCAGCAGGCTGAGTAAACAAGGCACCTGTTGCGAGACCCATTAAGGGGTCAAGGAAATATCCTGCCTCACTAGCAAGAAATACTAAGAAGTTTTGGGTGTATGTGTATACATACACATATATTGGATTGGCTAATTTGTAAATTGGTATCCTGATCAGCTAAATCCCAAATTGATAATCTGGAAATGAAAAATCTACTTTCAGTTTCACCACAGATTTATCAAGATAGTTTCTGTACCACCTTTGTTTTATAATCTATTTTTTAAATTGTTACTGAAACACCGGAGGTTTGGTCTAGGTCCTGCTGCTCGCCACACTGAAAGCCAATCACTAAGGTGGCAAGTATTGCCAAGGAAGAAGGCTTTAATCAGGTGCTGTAGCTGAGGAGATGGGAGTTCAGTCTCAAATCCATCTCCCTGACTGATTAAACCAGGAGTTTATATAGCAGGTAAGCAATGTAACAATGTGTAAGAAACCAGGAAGTTGGGAGGGGCAAAGAAGCAAACATGGTGAATGAGGGGATCTCTTGGCATATGGTGCAGGGATCTGGTTTCAGTTCTTTGGTACTTTGTGTGAGAGGCCTAAAGGTAGTTTCCTGAGGAAGGAACTCAAGAGAAATCAAATATAAGTTTCAACTTTTTTAATGCCAGAAGGGTCAATTTCTATGTTTATCAAAAAGAACAGTCTATGGGGCAATTGGGCTGGTTTCAAAATGAGATATCTTGAAATTCTCTTATTTTTGAGAAAGATCAGGATAAATTATTGACTTATGGGAATCCCCTGCAATTTACGAAGCAACTGTTCTAGAAAACTCTAAAGGCAGGGAGATGACAGGATGTATGTTCTTCTCCAGCTCTCTTTTTTCACACTGGTTCAGGCCTCACACAGACAGGCCTGGAAGCAGGAAAAAGTACAATGTGGAGGAGAGCAAACAAACACATCTTTCCATCTCTCACTTCTTCCTGACATCCAGAGGAGTGGATGGCAGGGAAACAATGGGCTGTGCTGAGAGGCTGAACTTCTCAGTCTTCCAATTAGTCCAAATATCTTAATTTGGGAGCAAAGAAACGTGTAGCCACTACATTATCTCGCTCTACCTCCCATTCTAATCCTTCTCTACCTACCTCCACTCCTTTATTTCTGTAGGTACAACTTCTACCATGAAACAAAATAAAAATTGTCACTATGTTAATTGAGTTCAATGGCATATAATATATATTCAAAATAAGAAAAAATAAACCTTTGAACTATGAGTGCTTATGAACTTAAGTAACATTAAGGATACTGGCCATTAGTATAAATTTTCATGAATAGGATATATTTTAATAGATTTGCAATATGTTTTAGAGTAATTATTTTCATCTTTATTCCTCACAAAAATCCTTAGGAAGGAATAAAAATTATCCTCACCATATTAGCATACCACTGGTATCACCTTTATCAACAAAAGAAAGTTTTTAAATATTCAGTTACTTGGATTTAAGCTAGAAAGAATGAACAGCACCCAAAACTACTAAATTCACCCACTAACCCAAATTGTGATAGCATCACATAGTTCAGCTGCAATACTAATTAATTTGAAATTATTCTATGAGATTATACATCTGTACCAAAAAGAATACAAATACAAAAAGGGCACTATTCACCATAGCACCACTGCTTACTGGCCAACAAACCTGTCAACTAACTACAACTCAATGTCTTAGGAGAAGCCAATCACATCTAATTTTGCAGGGGTTCTAAATAGAACACCATTGTTTATGTTGTGGAGTGCTGGTTTCCTTAACTTTACCTGACAGAACTACAAAGATTTAGGAGGTTTAATCTCTCAAAATCTTATTAAAACAAATCCTATTACTCTGCCTCATTATTTGAAGTCACAGTGTATCTAATGACTTTTCTTTTACATGTACTAATCAGGCCTGGCCACCCACAGATATTTGTAAATTGCATTATCTTCTGTCTAACTAGCTCACAGTGTGTGGGGTGAGGGGGGTCGCCATAAACAGTTTCGGTGTGATTTACTTTTCCTAACTGCCAAAGCACTCTCTATGAGGGGGAAAAGATCCGCTATCTAAACAAGATAGTAGCTTGTTTTTGTTTTTCGTTTTTGAGACAGGGTCTCACTCTATTGCCCATGTTGGAGTGCAGTGGCACAATCTCAGCTTACTGCAACCTCCGCCTCCTGGGTTCAAGCGATTCTCCTGCCTCAACCTCCAAAGTAGGTGGGAGTACAGGTGTGCGCCACCACACCTGGCTAATTTTTGTATTTTTAGTAGAGACAGGGTTTCACCATGTTGGCCAGGCTGGTCTCGAACTCCTGGCCTCAAGTGATCCACCCGCCTTGGCCTCCCAACGTGCTGGGATTACAGGTGTGAGCTACCATGCCCAGCCTAGATTAACTGTATCTAGGAAATCATATAACAATATCTAGTTTCTATATTGTTAGAGCACAAACATATAGAACAACCAGTTTAAAGTGACTAGTGTAATTTTTTTCTTAATTTCAAAAGGATTGAGGTCAAAAATCCAATTCCATGATCTGCTAACAATTTTAACTATTATTTTTTCCACAGTGCTTAAAACAATACTTCAAGAAATGTTCAACATTCCACGAGAACAATATCCACGTGAGATGAAAAGAAAAGTCTAAGTTAGTTCCTGATTCCTGGAAGCTGGGAAAGTATGTATTTTATTTGTGTATTTGCTTAACAAACATTTATAGGGCTAATTATAGGCCAGATACTTTTCCACAGATTTCTAAAATATTATTATTAATTCTCATAACTACCCTCTGAGGTATGTACTACTACTGTCCCCCTTTTACAGATGGGGTAACAGGTATAGAGAAGTTAAGGACTTGAGTCATACGAGTAGTGGCAGTAGAAGAAAGAGTTAAACCCGGGTAGTTGGGATCCAAAGTTTGTGGCCCTAACCACTCACACTGCCCTCCACAACAAGCTGCCTCTTTTCAGGAGTACCAGAGACATGTTACCACTTTAGGCAGTTATTATTCAATAATTGTGGACCTTCCTCAGGATAGATGGATGAAAACAAAAGGCAAACAAAGTATATCTGTCCCTATAAAGTATGCCTAAGGTGTTTGTGTCATTCATCTGAACAGAGTTCTACACTACCATGTCCCAAAGTTCCTTTCACTAACATATTATGTAATATACTATGATTTGAATTTTCCTTAATATACCATGAATGGTTTTTTATTTCTAAATCTATCTCATTCATTTAATACTCCACAGTACTAGATTGTGTAGAGGCCTACAGATGTGGTTAAATAGTCTATTGATTTCTTCAGTTGTTATTATTCAGTTGTTATTACTGATTTTATTCTGCCTTTTTTACAGGTCTCATTCCAGTAACTACTTAATACCCCCTGTCAGTCTCCTTCAAAGGCTGAAGCCAGCCTCTGACTGAAGCGCAGCCGCAATGTTTCCTGTCTGGTGCCAGCACAGCTTGCCTGGACTTCTGAAAATTGCAAGCGCTTGCTCCTTGCTAGTCACCACACTCCCCCTTTCTTAGTTGCAGACTCCCTCTTGCTGTGGTTTACCAGGTGCCCTTATTGCCCCTCATGCTTGTGTGCCACTTTGGACTTAATCTGGCACACTTAACTCCCTTCATCTACGCCTGAAGCTGGACAAGCTGAAGTGACTGCGTCACTTTCTCAATTCTGGCTCCTGCCCACCGACCTTGCTCTGCTAGGAGGAATTAGCTCTGCCTGGCCAGAACCCAAGAAGTGACAAATCAAACTCGCTCAATAGGTGGTAATTAAACTTCTGGCTCTAAAGCCCAGAATAGGTTGTCAATGGGATTTCACAGTGGCTCCCTGACACTAAGCAAGGATGTATTTCTACATCTAGTTTTAAATCTTAAACTCTAATAGGATTCTCAGAAAAGACAGTAAAGACTAAGGCCAAAAAAAGTTGTTTAAAGGGGAAAATGACAGTAAGTACAAAAGATAATCTGGGGAAGACCTGGCAATTCTGAAATCAAAACATCTGTTACTAAGTGGATCATGACTGCTTAGTTTCTAGGTGAGCTGAATAAAAATACTAACTGAACAATGATGTAGGTCGTTGTCAAATCTAATCAATTTCTTGTTTGTTTGTTTGTTTTTTTCCATCAGTCTAGAATCTTTAAGTAAGCCATTCAGAAGATGTGATACTATAGAATGATACCAACTGAGGAATAGAGTGGAGAGGAAGGGCTGAAGATGACTTCAGAAAAAGGCCTGAGGCGTGACAAATGTTGATCTCACTCACTGATCTATGCTGTATTTCTTTTAAGAATGTATTAATATAAATGTCCTTTTCTTCCCACATCCAATCCCTATTACTACACCAAATACTTGTTCCTCTAGGAAATGTGAAGTTGAAAAAAATTTCCCCCATTAAATGAGAATTATTCTGCTTATGACATTAGGATATATGCTCTCGCTTTAAAAATAGGAGGCTGTTGAATTCATCATTTGAGTATATTAAATAGACTGTGGAAGAGTATTATCCTCCTGGAAACCTCTTATCCCTCACTCTTATACCACGAGGGATTGCCAGTTAGGTCTAATGACCAATAATATCCACAGCCATAGGTAATCAGAAGAGTTTCTGGTTTCTCTAAAGTGGAAAATAAATTGCTGCCAAGGCAAACCAAATAGCATAGAGTTTTGTATGATCTGCCTCTAATGCTTCTCTGTGTAAACATGCTAACTAATGACATCTGGAGAACAAGCTATGTCATGCAGCTTCCTCAGTGATAACTTTTTAAACACCTGGTTAGAGATCTTTATCCAAGGGTGTAACTGAGTTACCGCACTCCTCAGCCCTAAGCCACCTTGTCAGTTTACCCCAGTGTGCCATACAAATATTACTTTCTATACATGCCATGATATGGAAAAGGTTCGGAAGGCCTGAATTAATATTTATCAAATATCTTACTTTGGCAAAGCCCATATTTTCATATGGTGTCTTTGAAGAATAAAAACATGTTTGAGCTGGAAAGATCCCAGATAACTTTTTCCCAAATGGGACTCCTTCAAGTGTAAGTTCCATAGAATATTAAATGTTAAATTAATTGGGAGAAGGAATTTGAGAAATACTGGGTTAAAGTTTAAAAGTTTTTTTTTTTAAGTGCAGGATGTCTAAGACATTTGGATATGCTGAATGCAGTGTCATTCTCTAGCAGGAGGGTGTAATACAAATTAGTATTTATTTAAAGATGGAGCTTTTAGAATATAGTTTGTTTTGTTTTTGTTTTTGTTTTTGTTTTGAGACGGAGTCTCGCTCTGTCGCCCAGGCTGGATGGAGTCCAGTGGCGCGATCTCGGCTCACTGCAAGCTCCGCCTCCCGGGTTCACGCCATTCTCCTGTCTCAGCCTCCCGAGTAGCTGGGACTACAGGCGCCCGCCACCACGCCCGGCTAATTTTTTGTGTTTTTAGTAGAGAGGGCGTTTCACCGTGTTAACCAAGATGGTCTCGATCTCCTGACCTCATGATCCACCCGCCTTGGCCTCCCAAAGTGCCGGGATTACAGGCTGGAATATAGTTTTTTAGATGGTGGTGAAATGCACAAAAAATGCACATAACATAAAATTTACCATCTTAATCATTTCTAAGTGTACAATTTACTACTGTTAAACATGCTCACATTGGCCGGGCGCGGTGGCTCACGCCTATAATCCCAGCACTTTGGGAGGCCGAGGCGGGCGGATCACAAGGTCAAGAGATTGAGACCTTCCTGGCTAACACCGTGAAACCCCGTCTCTACTAAAAATACAAAAAGAAATTAGCAGGGCATGGTGGCGGGCGCCTGTAGTCCCAGCTACTCCGGACGCTGAGGCAGGAGAATGGCGTGAACCCGAGAGGCGGAGCTTGCAGTGAGCCGAGATCGCGCCACTGCATCCAGCCTGGGCGATAGAGCAAGACTTGTCTCAAAAACAAACAAACAAACAAACAAACAAAACCAATATGCTCACATGGTTGTGCAACCAATCTCCAGAACTTTCTCATCTTGCAAAACTGAAACTTTATACCCTTTAAATCACAACTCTCCATTTCCCCCTCCTCCCATTCCCTGACAACCACCCTTAGAATACCTTTTGCAAGTAATCATTCACAAAATATAATTTGGAAAATGGTGCTTTATATTTTATGGTTCATCGTCTCCTTTTACAGATGAGAAATGGGCCTGAAGATGTTAATAAACTGTACAACATCACAAGTTAATAGTGAACCAGGTCTTGAACTCACTGGACTTTAAGTCTGGCCTCTTTTCACAACACTCAGAGTAGAAAGCTGAAACAAGCTGCTAATTAACCAAATTCCATCACCAAATGTCCTGAAAGTTATTTGTATCTATCAGGTCCATTTCAAAGAAAGGACTAAAAGAATTTTCCCTACAGCCACACTAAGTCCACGATTCTCCAAAGCAGGTACATATAACATCAAGAAGCCCCAATTTAAACATGCCATGCCTTTCTAGAGCATCAATTTCATTTGGTGATTAGAAAATTAACTGTTTTATATTAAAGTAATCACGGATATATTGCAGGGTAAAGTGCAAAATTAACCTAATTTAAAAGGACTTCAAGGGTACAGTGTTTCAGCAGTGAGCTGCTTTTGCCTGTGGTCCAGCTGCCAAGGGCATCCGTTCCTATCTCTGTCTCTAGGGCCTTTGAGAAGCACTGAACTGAAGGGAAGAGCCTAAAATATACAGTAGGACCTGGAGCAAAGCTCAACAGGGGCACTCTGGTAACCCATAAACCAAACTGTGCTTCTACATGCACCTGGTGGGTTCATATCAATTACTAAAGCTCTTAAGTACTTGTTTCTTGATGAGCACCCAAAGTCTCCACAGAAGTAACAAGTCAAGGGGATCTTCCAGTTAATAATCAACCAAAGGAACACAAAAAGGAGTGATATTGTCTCTTGCTAGACATCAAGTTTATGATGTAATGGGACAACTGACAGCAGAAGGGAAAAACTGAATTACGTATCAAGCTCCTATTTGGAATGTCCATTGGAAAATGGCATTTAAATTCCAGTATTTACTTCCTCTTTCTGCAAAATCTACATCCAGAAAACTTAAGTTATACTGTATGCCCATTGAAATTCATTGTTGCAATGTACTTACTAAAATTCAATTACATCTAATCATATTATAATAAAAAGTGAAAAATGATTTCCCCCTGTGTTCTGAAAATTGTCCAAACAGGCAAGCCACAATCTTTTAAAAATAATTCTGCAAAGGGAGGAAGGATATGATACTTTGATCACTAAGTTTTAAATTTTCATCTACAGGCTACTGTCAACATTCTAAGCTTTTGAAATTACCAGCAGATTTTCAAATACAAAATATATAGTGATAATATTCTTTCCTTCATTTTAGCTGTGCTGAAGCAGCTGGCTTGAAGCAGCTGGCAATCCAAGAGCAAAATGCAGCAGAGTGAAGCCAAGCACCTCCTTGACTAGTATCACGTGCTAGTGCAAGGTCGGCTTTGGTTCCACTTGGCATTTCCTTTTAACCTGCCTCAAAAGATCCCTTCTCAGAATATCTGCATCAGTATGTTAATCCTGGCACTGGGTTCTGGGTATTCATTCTTTCCCCAGCTGCTCGCTGTTTCACACCCTCTAAAATCATGGCTCCCCATGCCAAAATGAAAGGCAAAATGGCATATTAATTAAATACACAGAGAATGAGTGCCATGTAAGGTAAGAGGCATGTGCCATGAATATTAATGTAACCCAAGCAATTACAATCATTTGAATCTACTTCCTGTGATAAAAGCCTATACAATGAGAGCTGGCACACCACGTCAGCTGCTCACTGCACAGAAAAGGATGCAGTTAACCTTGGTGAAGGTTAGGAAGCTCTGTTTTAGTCACTAAAAGGAAGACTTCATTTTTCTAATAGAGTAAGGAACAACTCTGGATTTCCAACTCCCCAGGACAGCCAATTATTTTCAGGAGCACCGCTCAATTATAAAAATAACTTTGAATTTGCATTAATTGAAGATGTGTAACATACTGCAGATAGGTGGTGGTAAAGTAGAAAAACGTAGGATGAAACAATTTGTGAGAAAGTTTAAATCATTCTTAGCCATTGCTAGTTAATTTGTAAACAAATTACTCTGTACTTCGGTAAGTGAAATAATATAATAGTAATAAAAACAACTTAGTGCTAGATTGGAGCCACTACCTACCCTAAGACATAAAAAGGAAATGCTTCTTATAAAATGAAAGAATAGTGAAAAAGAAAAAAAAAGAAAAATATATGATTCATTATTTTTGAAATGTGCATTTATAATAGAAATAGTATTTACCAAAATAAGACCAAGCATCCTAAACTGTGAACCCTACAATAACATATGATGTTGCCCTTTACTCTTTATAGCATAACTGAGGTTTCCAGAGGCCTAAATTATCAGACCTGCCAAATCTTTCCGTGTAGATCTAAAAGAAAAAAGAAAAAGAAAAACAACCTAACAAAACACTAATATGTAAGCATGAAATAGAAAATAACAGGAGCTTTGCCAGCTTCATGAAATTTCTCCATAGGCTATATCCCAGCTCAGCCAACACCATGTCAACAAATATCCACTGGATGCAGAATGAAATGTCACTGTGTAGAATTTAAGAGAATTTAAGGGAAGCATCCTTGCTCATAAAGTTGAGACAAAGCACTGTAGCTGAATTGTCTGTTTTGGGTCTGACAAAGATTGTATGAGTCTTTGACCAAACTTTAGTCAGGCTCCTCAAAATCCTCTTCCCAAGTAGATCTCAACTTTTAAACTTTGTGTCCATCTTTGCATCGTCCAATTATTGCAAAAATCTTTAGCCACAATCTCCCACCCTTCTAGTCACCCTCAAAATCTGACCAAATTCCCCAACCCCAACCATCCCCCAGGAGACAGCTCATCACTCTGGCCCATATTCAGCCAGACTCCTGTTAGGTCATTTTATCTTCTCAGTAATTTTCAATCCACTGACACACACCTACCCACCCTGCTCCCTGGCTATAAAACCCCTACTTTTCCTTGTACTCAGAACCAAGCTCAGTTCTATACTGGGGTCTCTTTTCCCCTCCTGCAATAGTCCTGAATAAAATCTGCTTTTACTACTTTAAATGCTGTCAAGCTCTGGTTTTCTTAGTCATTGTGCCACTTTGGAAAACAGTTCAGCAGTTCTTCAAAATGTAAATGATAGAGTTATCACATGATCCAGCAATTCTACTACTAGGTATACGCTCACAAGGATTGAAAACACATGTCCATGCAAAAACTTGTATAAAAATGTTCAGAGAAGTATCGTTCATAAGCCCAAAAAGTAGAAACAACCCAAATGTTCACCAAGTGAAGAAGGGATAAATAAAACATGGTATATCCATATAATAAAATAATAGTAATAGCAACGGAGCACTGATACATGTTACAAAATGGATGGACCTTGAAAACATTAGGCTAAATGAAAGAAGCCATTCACAAAAGGCCAAATGTTTTATACTTCCATTTATATAAAATTTCTAGACTAAGCAAATCCACAGAGACAGAAAGTAGATTAGTGGTTTCCAGAGAATGGTGAGAGGAAGTGGAAAGTAACTGCTAATGGGTATAGAGTCTCTTTCTGGGGTGATGAAAATACTCTAAAATTAGATAGTGATGATGGTTGCACAACTCTGTGAACATACTAAAAACCACTGAATCCCACTTTTTTTTTTTTTTTTTTTTTTTGAGACGGAGTCAGTCTCACTCTGTTGCCCAGGCTGGAGTGCAGTGACATGATCCCGGCTCACTGCAATCTCTGCCTTCCAGGTTCAAGCGATTCTCCTGCCTCAGCCTCCCGAGTAGCTGGGGCTACAGGTGCACACCACCACACCCAGCTAATATTTGTATTTTTTAGTAGAGATGGGATTTCACCATATTGGCCAGGCTGGTCTCGAACTCCTGACCTCGTGATCCACCTGCCTCAGCCTCCCAAGGTGCTGGGATTACAGGCGTTAGCCACCACGCCTGGCTGAATCTCACATTTTTAAAGGGCAGATATTGCTGTATGTGAATTATATTTCAATAAAGCTATTTAGAAAAAAAAAGTCATTGCTACAGGTTCATTTGTTCAATATCTATTTGTTGAGGGCCAACTAAATACCAGGCACTGGAGCTACAATAATACATAGACACGGTCTATTTCCCAGAGTTTATAGTTTTGTTGAGGAAACCTGGGTTTAAACCCTGGTTCAACACTTGTGGGAATCTGGGAAAGTATTTTACTTCCTCATCTACAAATAAGGTTTAAAGGCAGGTGATTGGCACACTGGAAGGGCTTGCTAAATGTTATTTCTAAATGAGTATAAAGGCAAATTATAAATGTCAGGAGAGAGAAAAAACATGAATAAATCAGGAGGACTTAGTTTAGGAAGTAGGAGAATGTATTTCTTCAGGAAATGACATTTGGGCTGAAATCTGAAGGATCAGTTGGAGGGAGTCAAAGAATTTAAGGAACTTGAAGACCTGCAGACAAAGGAAAGTTTAAGTGCAAAGTTCCTGAGGCAAGGAAGAGTTTAAGGTATTTCAGGAACCATGGTCAGATGATACTGAGCAAGTGAGGGAGAGGTAAGCAGGAGCCAGAACGTGCTGGGTCTTGAAGACCAAAATAAGTACTTTGGATTTTATTCTAAGTACAATGGAAAATCACTGACGGTTTTTGAACAGAAGGATGGCATGATCTGAATTACATTTCAAAAAGATGACTGGCTGCTGAGAGGTGAGGAGCATAGTACAGTCAGAAGGCCACTGCTGTGCTCTGAAGGAAATATAATAATGACTTGGATTATGCTATCGCAGAGATTCTAACAACCTTGACAGATACACAGAAATAAAAAGGACTTGAGGCAGAATTCCTTCCTATTCTGCTCTATATATGCAGCCTGCACTGGATAGAATACAAAAGGAAGAGTGAACTGGTATAAAGTGTACCATAAAAGACTTCAGGCCGGGCGCAGTGGCTCACGCCTGTAATCCCAGCAATTTGGGAGGCCGAGGCAGGCAGATCACGAGGTCAGGAGATCGAGACCATCCTGGCTAACACGGTGAAACCCCGTCTCTACTAAAAATACAAAAAAATTAGCCGGGCATGGTGGCGGGTGCCTGTAATCCCAGCTACCCGGGAGGCTGAGGCGGGAGAATGGCGTGAACCCAGGAGGTGGAGATTGCAGTGAGCGGAGATCGTGCCACTGCACTCCAGCCTAGGCGATAGTGCCAGACTCCGTCTAAAAAAAAAAAAAAAAAAAAAAAGACTTGAACCAAAAAGCCCTCAAATTCCTAGTTTTATTCATAACTTGCTATAGAATCTTGGCAAATGCTTCCTCACTGAGTCTCAGTTCTTTATCAGTATAGTTAGAATAATACCTTTTCCTCAAAGGTTACTCTAAGACTTAACTGTCTTAATATATGTGAAAGTGACTGCAGAGTTGCAGGCAGTGTGCTTATAAGTGTTAGACAGTTTAAGAGATACACCCAAAGGAAAACAATATACACAATGAGATTAGTCATTTTTCCCCCTTTAAGGTCAAGGTGTGTTTTGTTTTAATGAGGATAAATTAAGCTGCTTCAATATACGATGGCCTGTAGAGAACACAGTGGGGATCCATCAACTCCTGTTCCATGGCACGCACTTCCCGGGAAACTCTTAAAATTTTTGCAGGTGAATCCTCTCCTACAGACACATCTCTGGGAAGCAAACAGTATTTTAAGAGAAAGCTTTTCCTTAAAGAAGCCCAGACCAGGCAATGTACAGACCTGAAGAAGAACAGTATACATTTGCTATAAAACAGCTTTATGAAGCAACAAATAAGAGAATTGGTTTTAGGAGATAGTTTGGCAAAGTTCATGACAAAATTATCTGTATTACAGCATTAAAATTTGACTGAAGTAAATAAATTACAGTCAAATTTCACCTGCAAACCCCAACACGTTGGTCCTGCTGCTGGTGAAGACACCACTATACACATCATAGTCACCACTTTTCTGAAGGATGTTTGTAATAAGGGTACACTTGGGACTTTTCTCAAGTTAATTAAACAGTTGTGAAAAAAGCAAAATCTTTTGAGACTTTGCTGGAAGCCCCTGACAGAAGCATAGGGAAGTAGTTTTTTAATTACCTTGATATTTCATTAATGTTTTTCTGACTTTTCATAATAATTACATCACATTTATTAAATTTTTTCTAAGAAAGCATTAACTAAAAGAAAAGCAAAAGAATATATGTTTATTTACAATATGTTAAGTAGGATAATATAAAAGAAAAAAAACTTTTCCCATGTATATTGTCCCATAAATTTTAATGTTTATCTTCAATAGAAAAAGGTAGTAGCTTTTTCTTGTTGAATAAAATGCCGTATTAAAAAAACCAAAGGTAATAAAATAGAAAATGCCTTTAAATAAATGCTATATTGTGTTGTCATAGCTATTATTTAATTACTGAAGAAATATGAGGAAATCTAATTATTTCCCTAAATAGAAATTTAATGTTCTGAAAATTATTGTGCTTCAAATCATACAAGAACACTGATACACATTAGTATAAGTAATGCCTGTCGGGAATTGCTATAAATGGCACATACTGGTATTAAATTTCGTCCCCAAGATGTAGTACCAAAGGTATTTTCCATGTTAGTGTATGTTTTTAAAAATTCAGCTACCTTCAAAGAAGCAAGTTAACTATGCTTCTATAGGAAGAGATATAAAACCAAGAAAACAGCAGATGGAATTATTTTATTTTATTTTATTTTGAGACCGGGTCTTGCTATGTTGCCCAGGCTGGAGTACAGTGGTACAATCTCGGCTCACTTCAGCCTCACCCTCCCAGGCTCAGATGATCCTCCCACTTCAGCCTCTCAGGTAGCTGGGACTACAGGTGCATGCCACCACACCCAGCTAATTTTTGGATTTTTTGTAGAGATAGGCTTTCACCACAGTGCCCAGGCTCGTCTTGAACTCCTGGACTCAAGTCATCTGCCCATCTCAGCCTCCCAAAGTGCTAGGATTATAGGCATGAGCCACTGTGCCTGGCCCTGAAATACTTTATACAAACATAAATGCAAAAATCTTTCTCCATGTCCTATCAATTGAAAGAAACAAAAATGAACAGAAACAAAAGCTTTATCATTGTGAAAACATTTAATCTTTGTCCTGGGCTTAAAGCAAAAAAAGAATTGGAACTATATTTTATAATTCACATAAAATCATCAGTCATATTATTTAAAAAGTCTTATCACCCAGATTTCTAATTTAATTCTGTCTAGGACCTCAAAAAAGAACACAGTGAAATACAAAAACAAAAGCAAAGAAACAAAAAAGCAAACAAGATTCTATTTCCAGTTTTATCTTTGATTTTGATTATTTTTCTGTCTATAGGACAATATCCGTATGCTTAAAAAAATCAATTCTTTAAAATATCACTATTGATTAATGAGAGCATCTGCAAAGGTCAAAACCAAGGGATTTCTTAACATTCTTTTCTTCTACTTGAAAGATGTAAAAAACTAAAGGAAAGTTTCCAGCATCCTATGCTCCACTGTATCTGACTATGTAGGGGGATTAAGGCACTAATAATTCCAACTAAAATGGCAGAATTAACCCATTATTTTGGCACAGAATAGACAAACTGAGTTGGTCACAGGAGTGCTAGCCAAGTTCAGGATGTACCATTTTTCTATCCAATGTTTGACATACAGAGTAGATGAACATAAACATTCACTTTTTTCCTATGAAGAATCTACATTTAATTTAACTTACCCATGATAAACTATTGTATTAATGATTATATCTTTTAAGGAGACCTCATAAATTTATTGTATCTTAGAAAAATTTAACATGTATTAAATATAATGTTCCAGAAAAGGAAAAGGGAAAAAAATAAACACATGAATGGCACTGCTACTGCTGCTTAGCATTCTAACAGACCAGCTCACTGAAATAAATTCCATAGACTACTACGAAAGTATGATTGAATTTCATATCACAGTGAGTAAAAGATTAGTAAGCTACCACCTTTAATCAAACAATACTGACTCTGATCTCCATGAGAGCACATGTGCTACAATTAGAATGAGCTCCCTGCTTAGGGGCTGAAAAAGTATAAGATAGGGTACCTGCTGGCAAAATTACCATCTATTATGGACTGAATTGCATTCCTCCAAAATTCTTACGTTGAAGCTGTAGCCCCTAATGTGATGGTATTTGGAGATGGGGCCTTTGGGAGGCAATTAGAATTAGATGAGGTCATGAGAGAAGCGCCCAAGGGACCCTCATAATGGGATTAGTGCCCTCATAAGAAGAGACTCCAGAGGACTTGCTGTCTTCCTCTCTCCCTCTCTCCCACCTTTCCCCCCTCACCCTGTGAAGACACTGCAAGAAAGTGGCCTTCTGCAAGCCAGAAAGAAAGACCTTGTACCAGGGAACCAAGTCAGCTGGCATCTTGATCTTGAACTTCCCAACCTTCATAACTGTGAGAAAGAAATTCCTGTTGAGCCACCCAGCCTATGAAATTTTGTTATGGCAGCCTGAGCTTCTGACTCATATACCATCAAATCAGTCACACACAAGTTATCCTTTTGAATCAGGACAATCCAGAAATATAATCTGAAAATGTGCTTAGATTCTTAAGCTTCATCCTACATATTAATTTTCCAAGTGACAACCAATATAAATATTGTTCCTTTTCTTTTTCTGGCACAGTAATGGCTACACATTTCCTTTTAATGTCAGTGTCCCTCTCTATTACCCTTATATATATATAATCCTCCATCTTTGCTATGTCTGTGGATTCAGACCTTCCTTTAATTACTAATTCAATTTATATTCTTCCCTTGTGCCTTTACAGATATAAAATTCAGGCCCTTTGGTCTTCTGAAAAGTAGAACATTTACATCTAAGTTTTTCTTATCACTGAGACTGGGATTCAGATAATTTACATAAATGTTCTCTGGGTTTCTAATTATTTTACATAATAAATAATTTGCATCAAATTACTTGTAAAAAGCATCATAAATTATTCCTACTACCCCTCCCCTACCCCAATCAAAAGTGTAGAAAGTGAGGTTCAAATAAATTTAAGCAGGCTGGCCAGTGAGAAGGGTGAGCCAATGGACTTGAATCTTTTAAGACTTGCTCTTCCTGCTTCCCCATTTAGTGTAGGAATCCTTAGAGCTCAATTTTGTGGTTAAGACTGCAGGAAAAAAAGCCAAATGGCCAATCTGATTCCCCACAGCCCACACATCTCAGAGACCCAAAACTCCTTTTAATTGTCTTTAAAATGGCAGGACCTAAAACCCCTTTTAATTGTGTTTAAAATGGCAGGACCTAAAACTCCTTTTAATTGTCTTTAAAATGGCAGGACCTAAAACTCCTTTTAATTGTCTTTAAAAGGGCAGGAATTGGATTTATTTTCCCATTTATTTATGGGAAAGGCAATATTATATTTTGTTTTTTTTGAGACAGAGTCTCACTCTGCCGCCCAGGCTGGAGTGCAGTGGTGCAATCTCAGCTCACTGCAACCTCCGCCTCCCAGGTTCAAGCGATTGTCCTGCCTCAACAACCTGAATAGCTGGGATTACAGGCGCCCGCCACCACACCCAGCTAATTTTTGTATTTTTAGTAGAGACCAAGTTTCACCATGTTGGCCAGGCTGGTCTCAAACTCCTGACATCAGGTGATCCATCCACCTCAGCCTCCCAAAGTGCTAGGATTACAGGTGTAAGCCACTACGCCTGGCCAGGCAATATTATATTAAACATTATTTTATCTCATGGTAATCACAGGATTGAGAAAAAAATTGATATATATGAAAAACATTATTTTAATTATTTTTAAAACCCTGCAAACTATCATTTTAATAGAATTACTTTATTGACTATTAGCTTTCACACAATTTTATTATCCTTGAAATCACACTGTGGGTTCTATTCTATTTAACATTACACCTTAAATGTATTTGTCAAGCATTTAGTCTTCATATTTTTCATTGTAATGACTTGATAAGATTGTGCCATGTTGATGTAGCATCACTTACATACCAGTTCCTCTTCAATGAACACTGAAGTTAAACACTAGGGTCTGTATAAGCGAAATGTTTCTATAATTACGGCTTTGCAGTCATGAGTTACCTGATATTCTGCTTGCCTTCTCCACATTTCCTTTACAACTGATTCTGCAACTGATTCTGTAGCTCTCAGGCCTATTTTGATCTCCATTACCCATAGACTCTTATTCTTTAACCAGCCAGTGTCTAGCCCCACCCAAGGTCTGTGTGCCTCAGGTACCCCCAGACTTTCCCACCAAAAGATCCCACTGCACTTGTGTCAACTGGTTATGCTGATCAAACCCTGTAAAATCCAGAACAAAATTTTAAAAGCTAATCAGACAAATCCTAAAAATGGTGGAGGTGTAAAGTCCAAGGTCAGGAATATATTAAAAGAAAACAAACAATTACTTGGTATATGAGAATTTGATTTTTTGAGACAGGGTCTTGCTCTGTTGCCCAGGGTGAAGTGGGGTAGTGCGATCTTGGTTCACTGCAGCCTCAACCTCCTGAGATCAAGCGATCCTCCCACCTCAGCCTCCCAAATAGCTAGGACTACAGGCACACATTACCACACGTAGCTAATTTTTTTTTTTTTTTTTTTTTTTTTTGCAGAGATGAAGTCTTACTAAGTAGCAAAGGCTGGTCTTGAATTCCTGGGCTCAAGTGATTCTCCCACTTTGGCCTCCCAAAGTGCTGGGATTACAGGCAAAAGCCACCGTGCCTGGCCAAGAATCTGATTTAATATTAAGATCCACAGTACTTCTGACCAGAAGCAGTATTTCTGTGAAATATAGTCTCTGAGGGATGACATAATTCTCAACTCCAGAACAAGTTTAGATCTATACCTCTAAAATTAGTAGGAATTTCATATATATCCATATATATGCCAGAAATTCCATATGTTACATACACAAACACATTCTCACACATACACAAGAATGAAACTTTGCCATTATTTCTGTCCATTCTAGCATATCAAATAGGCAAAGACATATTTCTTGCCTTGACCACTATTTTCTTTTTAAATAATAACCTATTCAAAAGCAGAAATTATATCTACTATTTCTTTTTATCTTTAATTTTTGTGGGTACATAGTAGATATGTATTTATAAGGTACATTAGATGTTTTGGTACAGGCATGCAATGTGTAATACCAGGCATCAGGGTCAATGAGGTGTCTATCACCTCCAGCATTTATCCTTTGTGTTACAAACAATCCAATTACACTCTTTTAGTTATTTCTAAATGTACAATTAAATTATATTTGACTATGGTCACCTCATTGTGCTGGCAAATACTAGGTCTATTCACTCTATTTTCTTTTTTTGTACCCATTAACTATCTCCACATCCCCGTGTCCCCACCTTCCCAATCTCTGGTAACCATCCTTCTATTCTCTATCTCCATTAGTTCAACTGTTTTAACTTTTAGCTCCTACAAATAAGTGAGAACAGGCGAAGTTTCTCTTTCTGCGCCTGGCTTATTTCTCTTAATATAATGACCTGCAGTTCCATCCATGTTGTTGCAAATCACAGGCTCTCATTCTTTTTTATGGCTGAATCGTACTCCATTGTGTATATGTACCACATTTTCTTTATCCATTTATCTGTCAATGGATACTTAGGTTGCTTCCAAATCTTGGCTATTGTGAATAGTGCTACAATAAATAGGGGAGTGCAGTATATCTGCTATTTCTTTGATACCATCACACAGTAGTTGTTGAAGAAATATGGCCAATCTATTGACTTAAAAGCTGAGTAAAATTTTTCTACATTGTGACTTCTCATAAAACACAGGATGGATATGAAAATAGGATTTATAATTCTTAAATATTTCCCTTTTTGATAATTGGCTTCCTCTTAAGAATTATGATGCTCAATTTTACCATAATGCACTATGAAATCAAAGCAAATTCAATCTTCAAGTAAAGCAGCACCATGTCCCTTCATGAAAAATAAGTCTCCATAACAACCAATAGAAAAGATATATAGCAGATGGTATTAAATAGAACATATTTGAAGTTTTCCAGATCAAGTGCTTTTATGCAAACTGATCATTAATTTCCAAAGACAGATAAAGCTTTAAAAAATCATGTTTATATTTCACTGGAAAATAAAAATAAAAAATATCATCATACAAACATTATAGGAAATAACCGCTCTTGTGCACAAAGCAAATGTGTTACTGAATTCCCTATCTTATTTAGATAGATAACCTGACTGGCTAAAGAACAATTGAGTTCCAAAAGGTAAAGCACATGTGTTTCCAACTACTCATTCACACAGGTTAATCAATATTCCTGATTCTCTTGACACTCACTAGCAAATATAACAATAAAGAATTAAAAAGTAGAAACCTGTGAAAAATTAGTTTGCTTTCTAATGATAGCATATCTAAATCCTGGCATCTGTGGCCCCCACACAAGAAACAGTCATTATCCTAAGTCAGAGGAGTGGAAACAACTGAGGTTCTGCAAAACATCCCACTCAGGTAGGATTACTATAACTACCAGACTTTACAGGTGGTAACTGAAAAAAATAGAAAGGGATTTTGATTGGTAACTTTTACTTAATAGTACAAATTGTTAGTCCCAGAAAATTAATATGACAGGCCCATGTTCATATACTACATAGTCAAGGAACTCAGGTTCCCTCACTCTACTATATCACTATCTCTTTTCAAAGGTATTTTGTAAAGAGGAAAAATAAGTCCCAATAAAGAAGTTTCTTGTACTATATTCAAATGGATGATTTAGTATGGGTCTGAAATAGCTTAATATCTAATAATGTTAGACATCTTCAATTGGGCAATTATTTGCTGTGTTTGAGCACTTGAAGTCAACTAATCAAGCAGAAACACGTTAGCACATAACTCAATCATACAATCTCTTATTAGGAGAAGCCCTAACTCACAGCATGTAAACAAGTATCTTAAAACTTCCTAAGTCTTAGCTCTTAATTTTTAAAAATTCACAACGAATCAACAATATGGAAAGAGTATCAATTATATACAAACATAAGGTTGAGCACCATGTGAAAAACAGGGTAACAAAAGAAACAGTCCTTGACCTAAGGAATTTTCAAATCTAGTTTTAGTTTTATACTGGGTTAGCTATCACTCAAAGATGCTGGCAAAAGAAAGTCACTTTCAGATATATGAAGAATAAATGGAGTTATTCTACTTGAATACATAAGTATAATGACATAAATTAGGTAATGAAATACAGCTCTAAGTATGTATATGAAAACCTTTAAATTGGCCACAATTTAAAATAATTACATTTTAAATAGTCTACCTTTCAAAATCATTAGAGAAAAAAATATAAAGACTCAATGAAAACTAAATCTACAGCTTTAGATCATCCACAAACAGATAACCACCGACTGTATCTCAGATACTGACACTATATTGAAATGGGCAGGATCAGAGCTAGGACCCTTCAATACACCAAGAGAATCCTCCCTCAGGGTGACCTTGATGTAAAGGAATCTCTTATAAATGTAATCTCTTATATGTGTAATTGAGCATCATAATTCTTAAGAGGAAGCCAATTATCAAAAAAGGGAAATACTTAAGAATTACAAATCCTATTTTCATATTGATCCTGTGTTTTATGAACAATTACAATGTAGTAAAATTTTACTCAGCTTTTAAGTCAATAGATTGGCTATATTTCTTCAAGATCCTTGTGTAAAGATTTTGTGTAAGATCCTTTCTACTTTACACTTTCTTCTATTTTATCTTCTTTATTTTTTTTAATTTATTTTTATTTTTATTTTTGAGACGGAGTTTCGCTCTTGTTGCCCAGGCTGGATGCAATGGTGCAATCTTGGCTCACTGCAACCTCTGCCTCCTGGGTTCAAGTGATTCTCCTGCCTCAGGCTCCCGAGTAGCTGTGATTACAGGCATGTGCCACCACACTCAGCTAATTTTGTATTTTTTTTAGTAGAGATGGGGTTTCTCCATGTTGGTCAGGCTGGTCTCAAACTCCCAACCTCAGGTGATCAGCCCGCCTCGGCCTCCCAAAGTGCTGGTTACAGGCATGAGCCACCATGCCTGGCCTATTTTATCTTCTTTAATCTCATGTAACTCTCACAACTCTGAGCAAGAAATATACTCAGCAGCACTGCACAAAAACCCTTTTATCACCTGGCACAGCTTTCCCATCTCACCTAGTGTGATTGTTAATGCTGAGTGTCAACTTGGTTGGATTGAAGGATGCAAAGTATTGATCCTGGGTGTGTCTGTGTGGGTGTTGCAAAAGGAGATTAACATTTGAGTCAGTGGGCTTGAGAAGGCAGACTCACCCTTAATCTGGTGGGTACAATCTAATCAGCTGCCAGTGAATATAAACCAGGCAGAAAAACGTGAAAAGACAAACAAGACTGGCCTCGACTCCCAGCCTTCATCTTTCAGGAAGCTGGATGCTTCCTGCCCTCAAATATTGGACTCCAAGTTCTTCAGTATTGAGACTCAGACTGGCTGTTCTTGCTCAAGCTTGCAGACAGCCTACTGTGGGACCTTGTGATCGTGTAAGTTAATACTTAATAAATTTGCCTTTATATATATGTATATCTATCCTATTAGTTCTGTCCCTCTAGGGAACCCTGACTAATACACCTGGTTAATTAAGCCGGAACAAAAAGTCCTACTGCCAGTTTCAATAAAAAGAAGCAATAGTACCAGAAAGGGGGAGACTTGTAATTTACCCAAATATGAACACCAAAAGCACCTAATATTTTATCAGATAAATAAATTCCCACTTCCCAACTGAGCAAATAAGGACTTAAAGGTCAGAGTGTAGTGGTTGGAGCACAGGTTATTGGTGACAATGACCTGAGTGCAAATCCTGGGTCCAGCAAAGAGAAGTTGTACAATCTAGGATTATTCACTCAATTTATCTGCACCTAAGTTTCTTCATGTATAAGTTGGGGAATAATCCCAGCACTTTGGGAGGCCGAGGCAGGAGGATCACCTGAGGTCAGGAGTTCAAGACCAGCCTGGCTAACAAGGCGAAACCCTGTCTCTACTAAAAATACAAAAAATTAGCCAGGTGTGGTGTCATACACCTGTAATCCCAGCTACTTGGGAGGCTGAGGGAGGAGAATTGCTTGAACTCAGGAGACGGAGGTTGCAGTAAGCCGAGATCATGCCACTGCGCTACAGCCTGGGCAACAAGGCAAGACTCCATCTTAAAAAATAAAATAAAAAAATTAAGGAGCAGAAAATAAATAAATAAATAAATTGGGAGATAACAACAGTACCCACATGTCACAGAGGATTATATCAATCAAACTGAATCCTTGGTATAGTGAATTACTTTTTAGTAATTGAGCAATTACTGGGTGACTATTAATCACTATTATACATAATTCTGATTACTTCAATTAAATTGTCCAAGGCCATGTATTTAATAAGAAGTGGAGGAAAAATGTTAACTTAGAACCAATGAATGCATGACTGGGGTTCCCTATACCACATTACCACCACACACAATGCCTAATATTCCTAATTCATCTGCTTTTCCTTGTATGTAGCCCTTTCTTCATCTTTGTAAAGAAATATCATGAGATGGATGTATTACTGAAATCCAAATGTATTTGCTGCATTTTCCTGGCATGTCCAGCAGAGAGTTCAGTGACAAACATCTGTCAGATACTGGTTGTTTTTAAAAAAACAATGTGCTGGGGAAATGCTCACGTAGAACTTAGGTGAAACTGTTCTGTTCTTCACCCATGAAGACATATTTGTCATATTACCAAATAAACCAAAAACCAAAGCCCACACCTCAAGCATAGCACATTTATAGCACAGACAAAGTGTGATAAAGGAATGGCCTAACAAAGGCAGAATTCACTTATATTCTGTGTTCATGGTGTCCTTTGAAGAAGAAGAGGAAAACTCAACAATAAATGTCACCTCCTAAGTAAATTACCAGCTCAACTCTACCCACCTCCACCTCCGGGATGCATGTGCGACGCATTGTGTCACAGGCACAGCAGTAAGAAAGAGCAGTTCCTGATCTCTGAAGGATTTTAAGAGACTTGTGCTGCAACACTGGAGACCAGCTTGACAATTCCAAGAATGGAGGCCAGTAGAGAGACACAACCTTACTGAACAATGCCTCCACTTCACTGGCTGTGTTCTTTTGTGTTTATTTTACAGTTTTAACAAAAGCAGATCATACCTAAAGGGGTGTGCGCACAGATTTTAAAATACAGTAAGTAGAGAGTGCTCAGAGTGTGGGAAAGCTAGCTAAGGTCAAAACTGTCTAGACCGGCGGGCACGGTGGCTCATGCCTGTAATCGCAGCACTTTGGGAGGCTGAGGTGGGCAGATCACCTGAGGTCAGGAGTTTGGAACTAGCCTGGCCAACATGGTGAAACCCCATCTCTACTAAAAATACAAAAATTAGCCAGGCCTGGTGGAGCATGCCTGTAATCCCAGCTACTCGGGAGGCTGAGACAGGAGAATCACTTGAACCCATGAGGCAGAGGTTGCAATGAGCAGAGATCCCACTCCAGCCTGGGTAACAGAGCAAGACTCCGTCTTAAAAAAAAAAAAACCGTCTAGTCCTCTGTTCTGTTCTGTTCTTCACCCATGAAGAACATCAGTACATCACTCTCCCACACCATACATAACTCTCTATCTTCCCTCCCATATAATTACTTCCCACCAATCATAAATTATAAGAGCATCTACATCTATCTGACCATCCTATTCCCAACATCTAGCCAGTTTCTGGAATGTGGAAATTGCTCAATCAACAGTTGCTGACTGAAGGGTGGCCAGAAGGAGGTGGCCTGCTGAGACCCAAGGGACTGGCACAGTGGAGGGCTGGGATGAGGATAAAGCAGCTCAAATTTGGCAGCTCAAAGCTGTGGTAAGAGGGCTGTCCCTATCTTTCCCTAGTTCTAGTCATTGTTGCAAGGCAAGATCCAGAGGTACAAGCAACAAATGGAAATGCTGAAAAGCTTCAAAGGAGGAGGGCAAAGATCCCCGTGAGTAACAGAGCTGACTTCCCTAACAAGAGTAGTCCGTGTTTAACTCTGGCACCTTCGAGAGCATCGAAAAACACTGTAAGAGTTGAGAGCCCGGAAATGGCTTGCCAGGAGACTAGGGTTTTTAGTGCAATTGTTCTGATGCCCTGATCATTATTCTATAGCTGCCTGGAGTAGACAGTGGTTTTTACAAACTATTTTGGTTTGAGTAGAAAATTTAGTTTGTTTCGTTAAAACAATGTGCTCTGTAAAAAACTGTCTGGCTTTTTTTCCTTAATTTAAAATTTCTCTACGAAGAACAACAAACAACTTAAATGCTCAACAACAGGAAAATGATTAAGTATTCCATGCAATGGAATATCATATAGCCATTTAAAATGTTGTCTTTGAGTAATAGTTGATAAGATACAGAAAAGAGTCAGAATGTTAAGTAGAAAAATGAGGATATAAAATTGCACATAAAGTATGAAGCAACACACTGACTAGATTTTTTCGTTTGTTTGTTTGTTTTTTTGTTTTTTGAGATGTAATCTTGCTGTGTCGCCCAGGCTGCAGTGCAGTGGCGCGATCTCAGCTCACTGCAAGCTCCGCCTCCTGCGTTCACGCCATTCTCCTGCCCCAGCCTCCTGAGTAGCTGGGACTACAGACGCCCGCCACCACGCCCAGCTAATTTTTTGTATTTTTAGTAGAGACGGGGTTTCACCGTGTTAGCCAGGATGGTCTTGATCTCCTGACCTCGTGATCCACCTGCCTCGGCCTCCCAAAGTGCTGGGATTATAGGCGTGAGCCACTGCTCCTGGCCCTAGATTTTTTAGAGACTGGAAGAGAATGTTACTTCTTGGCACTGGGATTGTAAGTGATTGTGTACAAATTCTCTACTTTCCAATTTGTCTACAGTGAAGATATTTTATTCATAACAAAAAAAGTTATTATTAAAAGAATAATACCTGATGAGAATAATCACCTTCCTGAAACAAGTAACTACCAGTGTCAGACTGAAAGTTGCAAAGATATAACTCTAAAATCCTTTCTGGTGGTGCATAGAGAAAAAAAAATCAGCTGAAAGCAAAACTTATCAACCTGTTTAGTTCCCCATAAATAGAGTTCAGGCGCTAGTACAACAGGTCCTGGAGGAAAGATAATCTTTCTAGTTGAAATACATACCTACAAAAAGGAGAATG